>NC_000007.14:42664484-42967514 GCF_000001405.40 Homo sapiens | reverse complement strand
CAGAGCTGGCCAGATCTCTAAAGCTTCTCTAGTGCCTATGAGCTTTCTTTCAAAAACAATGCCTGACATTTCTCTTTCTAATGAAACTCTCAACCTTCTCTTTTTTCTTTGAACATACCTAAGATCACATTGTCTGTGTGTTTGCCCTGAATCTCAATTCTTGCTTCTCAAATAAAATGTTTTAATGGTTGAGATTCATTTCTATATTTTATTTGACTTCAACGAGGGTAAAACAAGAGCAAGGGCAGATTTAGGAAAGAATGAAATGTTGGATTTGCACTATTCTCAACTCTCCAGACAGGAATGTCTGGAAGACTTGGGAAACACATACAGGGTACTTGGGAGGGCATGTCTGTTTAGAGATGTCCCTGGGTCCTCATCAGAGATGGGAAGCAGCTGCAGCTCTGAAAGTAGAAAAGACCTCCCAAAGGAGGAGGAAGGAAGAGGGTTAAGGCCAGAGTGCCAGAGGACACCAACCTTTTGGGGGAAGTATGGGGAAACAGAGTGCCTAAAGAGGTCATAGTAGAACCAGAAAATAGTGTGCAACTGAAGCTTGAGATTACCCTCCTGCCCCCTTCTTGAAGAAACAAAGTAAAAGAAAAAAAGAAAAAACAAAACCCTGTAAGATGCACTGTAGATCGATAATTCTAAACCAAAAATTCAGGAAAGGAGAAGGTGCAACCTATTCAGAAGTCCTTTAATGTTCAGAAAAAGACCATTGTAGGTATGGTTAACAAATTGAAGACAAAGACAAAAATGATTTAGGGGGTGTCTGCTGGGGGGTGGTTGTTGATATAATGAAGGGAATATTACAATAATAACCTAGAACTATAAATTCCAAATAAAAGAGCAAAGGTTGAATCATAGAATTAAAGACATATATTTATATTTAAAGAATATTTTGTGACAAAACAATAAAAGTTATTGTTTCAAAGGTATCACAATACTGTTTTATCCTGATATACATTTATTATTTACTTGATACATTTGAAAGCAAATGGTTTCAAACTAATGATTTAAGCATGATTTCTAACATCTATGTTACTTCAAAAGAAGAAAATAAATGAAATATAGCCTATGTAAGATGAAAACATAGTTTACAACAACAAAAAAGTAAACAACAAAGAAGAATAAAAAGCAGGACACCTTAAAGGCATCAGAAATATAGAAAAATACACCAATTTCACTATGAGTGTAAGCCATTTAATCAAAACTATTAAAATGTGAAAATATTAGATTAGACTAAAAATACCAGAAAAATTTAAAAATAGACAAAGATACACTCAGGAAAATGAAAAATGAAGGCCAGGTGTGGTGGCTCACACCTGTAATCCCAGCACTTTGGGAGGCCAAGGTGGGAGGATCACCTGAGGTCAGGAGTTCGAGACCAGCCTGACCAACATGGGGAAACCCTGTCTCTACCAAAACTACAAAATTAGCTGGGCGTGGTGGCACATGCTTGTAATCCCAGCTACTCCGGAGGCTGACGCAGGAGAATCGCTTGAACCAGGGAGGCGGAGGTTGCGGTAGCCTGAGATCACACCATTGCACTCCAGCCTGTGCAACAAGAGTGAAACCCCGTCTGAAAAAAAAGAAAAAAAAAAAGAGAAATGCAAAATGATTTATGCCCAGTGCCCATCATTTGGACACTGGTTGGATAAACATTCACACAGTGGAGTGCTACCCTCTCTTCTGACATTTAACCGGAATAAGGATGATCTCTATGTCCTGCTATGGAGATGTTCCCAGAGCAGATCCCTGCAGTGGCCATTTAGATGATTCTCTCCCTCCAGACAATGGCAAGAGTGCACTTCTCTGCTATAGGATAGAAAAATAACAGTGTTTTCCCTGCTCTCTACTCTCAGTCACTCAGTGCAACACTTCTGCCACCAGTTGTACAGGGGTTTTCCCCACATGAAGCAATTCTTACCCCACATGAAGCAATTTCATGTCCTCTCTGTCTCCTCCAGGCACCTCCATGTGTTCACCTATGTGGAAGCTCCCCAAACCCAGTCGTTTTGGGTTTTTATGGAGGCTTCATTACATAGGCATGATTGATTACATTAATGCCCATAGGTGTCAACTCTACCTTCAGCCTTTCTCCCCTCCCAGGAGACTACAGGATGGGGCTGAAAGTCCCAACTCTCTAATCATGCCTAGGTCTCTCCCATGACCAGTCCCCGTCCTGAAGCTATTTAGGGGCTGCTAGACAGTAGTCATTCATTAGCATACAAAAGACATTCTTGTCACTCCAGGAGCTAGCTCTTATCACGTTTAGGAGCTGTATGCCAAGAAATGGGGACAAAACCCAAATATATATTTCACAATATCACATCCACCCACTTGAATTTTGTCTTGCCAATAAAATGTAAGTGATGTGCACCACTTTTCTGTGAAATTGTTAAGAGGAAGCATGATTCACCTTTCTCTCTTTTCCCTTTGCCAAGGCTACAAAATGTTCTAGATGGTGGCTGCTCCTTTAGCAAGGATCCAAGTCAGGATGACAGGGACACAAAACAGAGCTCCTGGCTGACTAGCAAAGGGCACGTAACATGAGCCTGACATAGACCTTTGTTGTATAAAGTCGCTGAGACCTTGTGTTAGTTTGTTGCCATAGCTTAACACAGTATCCTGACAGATACATAAACAGGCACGCAGAAATAGAAAGCGTTTGGGATATAGAAAATGATTCTCCCAAATATGGCACTTGGGCATACTGCATGCTTTTGAAAATTGAGGCCCAGTGCAGTGGTTCATGCCTATAGTCCTGGCACTTTGGGAGGCCGAGGCGGGAGGATTGCTAGAGCCCAGGAGTTTGAGACCAGCCTGGGCAACATAGTGAGACCTGTATCTTAATAAAAAGGAAAAAGAAAGAAAATTGAAAGGACTCAGAAATAAGCCTCAGAATCAAGGTCCCTCTAACCCTCTTCTCCTTCCTTTCGACAGCAGAGAGAGGGACTGTCTCTGAAATTTCCTTATCTAACCAAGAAAGCTTCTTGCCAAAAGAAATACAATTGCCTGTTCCCTCCCTGTTACCTCATTATCTACAGCAGAAAAGAAGGTTGAAGAATGTAACCACACCTGGATAAACTTTTCCACAAGATAATGCCTGCCTCTCCACCTCACATTCTAAAGATAATCATCATTTACAAGTTAATTTCTGTATCCCTGGTCCATTCATTTTCCCTAATAATCGTTTACCACCCTTTAAAGAACTGGCTACATTCCCTATATCCTTCCTCCTCTATGAAAAAGGGTATAGAAGCTTCTGTACCCCATTAGGAGATTGGGGTAATCACTGTTTGATTCCCTCACCCACATGTTAATAAATTTGTATGCTTTTTCTCCTATTAATCTGCCTTCTGTCAGTTGATTTTCAGTGAACTTTTACAGAATGCAGGGGAAGTTTCCCTTGGCCCCTACAGTTTTGCACTGTGAGCAGGATAGCAAAACTGCTCTGCTCTTCTGGAAGCCACAGTCAAGGGAGCCCAGGACTCAACAAACCCGTAGGATAAGAAATTCTTACCAGCCAGGCTCCAAGCCTCTCTTTGTGCAATCTGGTCCAGTAGACAGTAAAAGTCACTGTCCCTTTCCCTCTCCAAAGTCTTTTTTTTTTTTTTTTTTTTTTTTGAGACAGAGTCTCACTCTCTTGCCAAGGCTGGAGTGCAGTGGTACGATCTTGGCTCACTGCAACCTCTGCCTCCCAGGTTTAAGCAATTCTTGTGCCTCAGCCTCCCGAGTAGCTGGGATTACAGCCATGCACCACCACTACCTAGTGGTGGTGCTAATTTTTGTGGTTTTAGTAGAGATGCGATTTTGCCATGTTGGCCAGGCTGGTCTCAAACTCCTGACCTCAGGTGATACACCCACCTGAGCTTCCCAAAATGCTGGGATTATAGGAGTGAGCCACCGTACCTAGTTGAAAGTCTTGATTAATGGAGGAAAAGGATTTGTGAGCCTAGTCTTAGGTGTAGCAACTCTGGTGTACTTTTTGGTATGAAAATTCATATTGTCTTTTTCCTCCCAGAAATAGTCTTGTCTTTTGTCTTTGTCTTTCTGTGTTGTTCTGTCATAAAGAGGGATTGTGTCAATATGAGATAATAAGAAGGGTCAAAATCTAGTTTTAAAGAGTTTAATCAAGAAGAAAGCTGGGAATGGCCATTCTGGGACACACAGATTTCAGAGAAATAGGATCAGTGCTCTGAAGTTAAAAGTTAAGTTTTTGCTTATATAGGAAGAAGACAAAGAAATTTAACAGGATTATATTTCCTATATACTGGTTTAAGAGTTATAACAAATTAATTAGTTAGAGTTTGTTTTCTTTTCTGTATGGCTTGTTTTATTCATAGCTGATTTTCATTTCCTTTCCAATTTAAAAGAGTATGTTTAACATTCCATCTTAAGACAATGTGGTAGTCATGAAGTCTTTGTGTGAGAAAGGTGAGAGGGAGGTTAATCTACAATGAAGATCAACAGAGGAGAAGGAAGGGGTCTTCCTTGGTGCCCTTCTGTCATTCATGTCATTTTATTAACACAAAACAATACAGGTAAGGAAGGAGGCTTAATCTATAATCAGAGAAACAAAGGTTACAGCTGTCTGTTATGTGATGCAGGCCCATAATCACATTCCTTTAAGGTTCAAAATAATTTTAGAGTTCCAATACCTTCAATTTGGATTACTTATTTTTACATTTTTCTTCTTTTTGGAAGAAAGTTCTTCAAGAACTTTTTGAAGAAACCATCATAGATGAATTTAATGGTTGGACTCCTTTTATGTTGAGAAATTTTGATCCCATGTCACTAGGAAGGCACACTCCTAGGATGTCATGTCCCCTAGCAAAGGATGATTAAACCAGCTGTAAGCTGATGTAGTATAGGCTGAATTTAAGTCAGCATAAAGAAAGTGATTTTGTGTGTTAGGCTAAATAGCTATATCTTCAATTTATGCAACTATTTGGGGGACCATTATTTTAGTCTTTTCAGTCACAAGTTGACTCCATTTTAAACAAATGCTGTAACAACAGTGTAGACAAAACCAGAACAAAACACAATATGCAATTACAATTCCTAGAATAAGTAACAGCTTTTGCTGTTAAGTTACCCAAGATCCAAACCATCTACTTAGCTAGTCACTTAGAGAAGATTTGGGATCTGAAAAGTTGGTTATTGAGGTTTTCATATCAGCCATTCATTTATTGATGTTATTAGACTCATCTAGTATAGAGACACAACATTCAGTTTTTATGATGGTACCTTGGGCTGCAGTGGGTGTGTCTAAAACTTGTTGTGCCATACAGCCTTTCTTGTAATAGCAACTTCATTGTTTAATAACAAAGTACTGATGTGGCTATCATTTAGAGCCTGTAGTGTATAATTGATCGGGGCCTCTACATGCCAAATAACATTCTCAAATACCCAGTTGTGGGATGAAGATGGAAGCTAAATGATCATACCAATGGAACACAGAAAAAGCCCAGCAGGATTATAAATGAGGAAAATTTGCAGGTTTTGATAGGGAATGAACTATTTGACCTTGTGCCCAAGCATAACCCAAGGAACATTGTCCTAGCCATCCTGGGAGTAGCCATGTCCATAGATTAGTGCCACATGACCAAAACTTTCCATTTGAAGCTAACCAAGAAATACTCAGTTGTTGTATCTATTCAGTGGCAGGCCAATCAGTATTTTGTAATGTAATGGTGTTGAAACACTGTTCTTTGGGTATCCATCCCATATTTCTGGTGCAATTAGGCCAGTTATCTTTAATGTAATTTCTCTGGTCCCAACATAGACAACGTAGCTGAGCTGACGGGAGGGAATAAGCCAGATAAACCCATCTTAAATTTGTGTTATATGATACTGAAGTTGAGTTTTCTTATAACTGAGTACCCTATTTTTAAGGTTTTTTTCCTCTTCCTTCTTCAGTCCTTTTCTATTAACTTTTTAGTAATAAAATAATATCCTTTACTCTCCTTCTTTCCACAAGGCACTCCCTTGCATTGCTAGCTTATCTAATTATGCTTGCTTAGAAGTTCCAGAGATTGAATCTTGAGACAATCCAGGTGCCTATGGAATTATCCCCCACCAGGAGATTACTTCAAGCCTGCAGCTAATTTACAACCCAGTCAAGCCCGAGATGGCACCAGCTCATTCACAAGTTGGAGCAATAACTCAAGATAAGTCATCAGAACAAGTCATATAGACCCACACCACCTTGCCACCCCCAACTCCCGCATTTCCTCCATACCAAACTTCCCCTTCTCAAGCTCTAGTGTTTTGCCTGAGAATTTTAAAGTGGTTTCATCAAGGCAGGAGCCTGAACTACTTCCCACTGTCAATATTGGAACATAAAGTCACTTCACTTTCTTTCTATCACACCTTGTCCTTGTTACTTGATTCTGCAAGTGACAAACGGCCAAATCTGCATTCAGTTACAATTTTTGGTGTCCTGTACAGGGAAGCTGTGCATTCTGGGTGATCCTAGTCTGTCAGTCTGGCTTCATGCTACCAAATGGGCCAGGGGGCTGCCTGTGAGCACCAGCTGCTTATAGCTAGCTGACATTATGGCCAAAACCCTGGGGAATTTCCCTGAAACTGACAGTTTTGTCCTGGGGAACCTCCCTGCTCTTTCTGCCATGGCACTGGCTGGCTTCTACACTTCACTGGTACAAAGAAAGTGACCTCTGAGTAAGTCGACACACTTTGGAAATTGGATGAGGCAGCTGGTGTGCACCCAGCTTAGCTCTGTCTTTTTGGGTGGTATTGCTTGGACTCTGCTCTGCTTAGAATTAGGTGCTCACAACACAGTTTGGGCATGCACACCATTTGTGTTTGTGATGCCACTGGAGCTTTGCTCTGTTTGGACTCAGCTGCTCTTGGAGCCATTTGTGATCAGGATGGAGGAGGTTTCCAGACTCTTTACCCAGCCCCTTGAGCGGGGACTTTGTTTGGGAGAGCGCCATTTGAAATTGTGACTGTGTGAGTGTGTAGCATTTATATTTGGACCCTTATCTTTCTTTATTTCTTTTCTTTTCTGCCTACTTTGTATCTGCTATTATTAAGTTACTAGTACTGAGATTTTGTTTTTCTTATACAGTTCAGCCACTTCTAACTAAAATGTAAACAGTGAAAATTCATTCAAAATTGAAGGAAAAAAAATTCAAATGCCAGAAATATTGGCTGCTTTTCGTAGCTAAAATCTGGTAATAAAAGATTTGAAAGGATTTTATTTTGAGAGCTTTATAGTTAAAAGTCAACTTACTTAAAACTGATATTTAAGACATATATTGTTTTAAAGCCCCTGCTTTCTCTCTGTAAACACTTCTTAGCAGAATTCCGTCTGACTCTCCATATACTCCTGTCTGTTGTTCCTTCCTCTTTTATCCAGTCTTTTTTACTTTGTAGGGGGAGACCAGAAATTACTTGGCATTATGAGAGAATTTTGACCTTGATATGTAATAGCTAGATTTAAAAATATACTTTGTAAAATGGCTGATGGCAGTTATAATAAATAATTCTTCTTACAGGGCCATACAACTTTCATTGGGCATTTAAATAAGCAGAGTATGCTCCTGGACAACTGGAAGGTATGGAACGGGGGATGGGCTGATTACAGAAAGGGCTGATTGGCTTTGGGTTGCCCACCAGCCTCACAGAAATGTCCTTTTGATGGTATACACTGTGAAAGCATTGCACTATCTCATCCTGTAGCACTTCCCTCTTTGGGGCACCCAGGATTCGGTGGAAAAATGAGATCTTTGATTTGGGGAGGTCTGTTTGCCTTCCAGCTGTGCCTGCTTGTTAGCCCTACAAAATGCATGTTTCCTGGCCCTATTCCTTAAAAGTCTCCACCTTAAAGCCAGTAATCTTAAAGCCAGATCTAAGTTCCAATTAAGAAACTCAGATCTTTTAGAAAATTTCCATTTGTAAGAGTGTCTGCCTTTGCTGGCTGTCTTGACTGAACTTTTACCCACACCATTTTTCCTCACTCTAAATAGAATATGAATTCTCTATTTTGTTTCACCTAATAAATATTTCTACGAAAATGTAAATTTGAAGCTGTCTGGCTGGCAATTGTTTGGGAAAGGGAACAGGTAATCAAGAGACCGATCGTCTAAAACAAGAAAAAGAAACTTAAAACTGGCAAATGAAAAATAATATCACCTGCTTCTGTCTGTCTCTCTGTGTATTTATATGTGTTGTGTGTGTGATGTTTCACTACCAAAATATAGAAAAGGGCTCTAATTAATTGGCTGAAAGAAAAATAAGCAGCTAAACACAATATTTTATTAGAAAAATAGAAAAACTTTAAAATGTCATGTGACTTTAGTAATCTTTGGGAAATAAAGACAGTGGTAAAGATTATTGGTAAAATAAAATAAAATTGTCTTCAGAATTTAGACACTTACTCTGAATTAAGCAAGCCAGATACTGTCTTTGCTAGATGTTTTAAGATCACAAACTGCTTCTGTGACATTTTAATAATTGTTGGACTCGCCAGCTTTGGAGCCATTAAATTCTAAGTAAAGCCAGGGCACACATGGACTTAGCTGTGCTCCCTGGCTATGCTGGAAAAAGTCAAACATTATCTGAAGTTCTATCCTGTCTCCTAGGTTCTACACCTGGTATATAATTAAAATTGCTTACTTCCTTTATCTTTCATTAAGAATAAAAGTTGCTAGGAGTTTACATTATAACATATGTAATTGGGACTACTAGAAAAACAGTTTTACATGCAAGTTGTCTAAAGAAAGTAAAATATGTCTTGGTAAAAAGTTATAAAAAGGCATGGAAACATGGTTTTTTATTAAAGATAAAGTAATTTTGCCTAGTTTAGATGGTTTAAAGATTATTTTAAGTTAAAAAAACGAAGTTTAAGTAAGTTATAAAAGGTTTATAGAAGATTAATTTTTTTTTTTTTTTTTGAGATGGAGTCTCACTCTGTCACAGAGACTGAAGTGAAGTGGTACGATCTTGGCTCACTGCAACTTCTGCCTGCCAGGTTCAAGCCTCCCTGGTAGCTGGGATCACAGGCACATGCTATCATGTCCGGCTAATTTTTTTATTTTTTGTAGAGATGGGGTTTCACCATGTTGGCCAGGCTGGTCTTGTACTCCTGACCTCAAATGATCCACACACCTTAGCCTCCCAAAGTGTTAGGAATACAAGTGTGAGCCACTGTGCCCAGCCTGATTAATCTTATAAAATAAATTCTGCATGTGAAGAAGCTGGCTAAAATTAAAGGATATTATTTTGTATATCCATAAATTGAGTATTAAAATAAAAAGACACTGATATAGGGCCAGAATCTGGGCCCATGTATCAAAATAACAGAGGTTTCTTAGAGCATTGATCTGCTCTTTAACAAAAAATTATAGAGTTATAAATGGTTTATAAAAGTCTTACCTTACGGTCAAACTAATAGACTGGCTTACAAGGTTTTATAAAAAATTAACTTTAGGTCAAGCATGGTGGCTCAAGCCTATAATCCCAGCACTTTGGGAGGCCAAGGCAGGTGGATCACATGAGGCCAGGAGTTCAAGACCAGTCTGGCCAACATGGTAAAACCCTGTCTCTACTAAGAATACAAAAATTAGCCAGGAGTGGTGGCATGCACCTGTGATCCCAGCTACTGGGGAGGCTGAGGCATAAGAATCATTTGAACCTGGGAGGTGGAGGTTGCACTGAGTTGAGATCATGCCACTGCACTCCAGCCTGGGTGACAGAGGGAGACTATGTCTCAAAAAAGAAAAAAAGAAAAGAAAAAAAATAACTTCACTGTTAGTAATGCAACAATACAAAGGTGAAATTTGTTTTTCTTTTTTAAACAAAATTTTCATATAATATTGAGAGATAATGAAAGGGTTTTCTTTGACTTTTGAGTAAGCTACAGGAAAACAAAGAAAACAAAGAAAAAAAAGACAGAAAGAGAGAAGAGACAGATTTAGTTGGCCTGGTGTTTTCTTTATTGGGTCTTTGTATTAGGCTTTTCTTGCTATGAAGAAATACCTGAGACTGGATAATTTATAAAGAAAAGAGGTTTAATTGGCTCACGATTCTGCAAGCTTTATAAAAAGTATGGTGCTTGCATCAGCTGGGCTTCTAGGGAGGCCTCAGGAAGCTGACAATCATGGCAGAAGGCAAAGGGGGAGGAGGCATCTCACAAAGCAAGAGCAAGAGAGAGAGAGAATATGGGTGCCACACGCTTTTCAACAGCCAGATCTCATGAGAACTTACTCACTATTGTGAGAACAGCACCAAGTGGGTGGTGCTAAGCCATTCATGAAAAATCCACCTCCATAATCTAATCACCTCCCACCAGGCCCCACCTCCAATGCTGGGAATTACAATTCAACATGAGATTTGGGTGGGGACAAATATACAAACTATATCAGTTTGTTGTTTAGAAAACTGAGTCTCCCCTCTATTAGTGAGTAAAGGTTTTTGTCTTTTGATATTTTTGAGTTGTCATTTCAGCTAAATGAATAATCTGTGATTCCATTTTGTGTTATCAAATGTTTTAAGCCGTTGATATTTGACAAACCTTCCAAAATTGAAATTCCAAGTTCTAAATTAAGCCTTTTTAGATCTCATTAACCTTTTTAAATATTACATCTCCTGAAGTCTAAAAGAGACATATTTGACTTATTTGGATATTAAAATCATACAGGAAGCATTGTGAAATATAAAATAATGTTTAACTTTCTTGGATTCATTATACATTCATATAAATGTATTACTAATATCTGTTCCAAAACTGTGTAAGATTCCTATAATTCTGATATATCTCAGTATATGCTATCAGTAATAATTAATGGTTGCTATGTTAAATTATTGTGTGCCACAGAGATAATGAAATTTCCTTGTCAATTGTGTCTTCAACCAAGGCTGCTCTGAAACTGTTGTCATCTATAATTGTTGTTTTATTTTGATTCTTTTCAAAATGCGGATTTATAATCAGCTATAGGACTCTGATCCTATAGGTAGGTGCTCTTGAATGCAGGTTTCTGATAACTTTTGAGAGTATGACATTAGAATAAAGTAAAAAACTTCCAAGACTCCCATGAAGAGCTAATGTGTTCATGAATATCAAGCAGAAAAAGAGTTGATTACACAGACTGAACTAATGGAAGACCAAAATAATCTTTTTATGACTTTTTGTTTAAAGTATTGGTAATTCCTTTGTTTTTCAAAGTCCAGAAAATCTTTCTTTTTCTTTTGAGTGATTTACAGAGTATATTCTTGTGAGAAAAATTTGAAACATTTCTGTCCTTTACCTGATTTCTCCAGAATTTGAAAACTATTTGTAAGTATACTTAATTTATGGCAGTATGTTTATTTCTATAAGTTCAATAAAAATCTGTTTTCTTTTTTTTTAAACAGGACACCATTGAAGGCACTGGTTATTTTACCAAGGCTTTGACTGGAATGGCATGGTTTCAGTTATAAACAGACTGCTTTAAGGAATCAAAGTTGACTTACAGAGCTGATAAAAGGCCCCTAAGAAAAACTGGCCTCACCTCTTGTCTATATAGTCCCTATATAGGTTTCCTGACCTGTGGTAAGTAAAGAATGTCACTTTCTGACAGGCCTAGGAGCTCCAAGTTTTTATGGGATCTTGAAAGGAGAAGAATTTACCCAATTCATACAGATATTTGCAGGCAGATAAATCCATGGCTGAACTCAGGGCTTTAAACAGTCTAATCTGAGATTTCTTATAAAAAAATAGCATTCCAGCAAAGTCAATTTTTTTAAAAGGGCCTATATGGCAAATAATTATTCTTGCTGCACTTTATACAAATAATGAGGCTAATCAGGCCAAATATAATAATACTAAAACTTGTTTTACAAATAGTTCCATGATTTGTCTTTAGTAAAAATGGGGACTGAAAAAAGAAAATTTGTGTTTCAAAAAAAAAAACTATAGTACACCTATTGTTAGAGTGTAGTCTTGTCCATTGTTTTTGGATCTGTATTATTTTCTGCAATTTGGAATGAATCTTTATTTTTTCCAGGCAACAATTCCCCAGACTAATGCTTTTAAATTTCTTTTTCCAGTTTTTTGACTTGGACTCAATAAAATTGCTGCTACCTTTTTACTGAGGCCTTACAAGCTAAAGCTTATTCCTTGAGACACAGGTGAGAAAAATGAGTCAGATTGCCACTGCCTTCTTCTTTTGAAACTGAAGATAGATTCTGCCCAACATCAACTTTGTTTTTCTTCTGTTTCCATAAAAATACCTCCTATTCACCTTCATCACATATTGAGACCTAGCCCATCTGCAATGGCACCTCCTGGAATGGGAAACAGCCATTTAACTAAACTGATCCATTCTTAAGAACTAGACAGGGTTTATAACCATCTTCATGAATATTCATAGCTCCTCCTGTAATCTGTTAAATATACATATATACATACACACACACACGTATATATACATATATACATACACATACACGTATATATACATACATACATAAGACATGCAAGAAATTCAAGCCATGTTAAACCCAGACCCTACATTGCCATTAGATGGTTTACATCCTAGTTTGGGTCAGGACCATCCTGATGGGAACAGTTACTGGTAATTCTCACTATAATTGTGGGAAATAGGGATACTTCTGTGCTGTGGGTTTTACTGCTGCAGCGCCTTTTGCATGGGATACTAGATAGACTTTCTCAGGGACTTGCAAGGCTCTCCACCATAATGCTGCAACAGGTTTCATCTGAGCCCAGGTACCTGAGAACACTTTCACCTCCAAGTAGATCAGTTCCATTCCAATACCTTTTAACTACACCCCTTTGCAATAGGAAGTAGCTAGAATGAATATGTCACTTGAGTTCCATAGAAATAGAATGGCATTTGATAGTGAGGTGTTGTAACCAAGGACCCTATTTTTGTTATTTTTTTCTTTTTCTTTCTGCAGTCCTTTCTACAACTTATTAGTAATGAAATAATAAGCTTTACTCTCCTTCTTTCTACCAGGTACTTCCTTGCATTGCTAACTTATCTAATTATGTTTGCTTAGAAGTTCCAGGGATTGAATCTTGAGACAATCTGGGTGCCTATGGAATTATCTCCCACCAGAAGATTACTTCAAGGCAGCAGCTAATTTACAACCTGGTCAAGCCTGAGATGGTGTCAACCCATTCTCAAGATGGGACAATAACTCAAGATAAGTCATCAAAACAAGCCACGTAGACCAGCACCACCTCTCACGCCCCCACCCACCACCCCCCACCCACCACATATCCTCCATACCAAACTTCCCCTTCTTAAACCCTAGCATTTTGCCCAAGAATTTTGAAGCAGTTTCATTAAGGCAGGAGCCTGAACCACTTCCCCACTGTTAGCTTTGGAAAATGAAGTCAATTTCCTTATACTGAACCTTGTCCTTGTTATTTAGTTTTGCAAGTGGTGAGCAGCTGAACCTACATTTGGTTGCAGTCTTATTTCTCAATTGGGGCAGTGTCTGTTTCGTCTCTCAACTGGGGCAGCACAGCGTTAAAGCTAGTGAATTAATTTCTTTTATGGAGAAGTTCTTCCCTTACCCTTTATTTTGTAAGGTATTAGTAATAGACCAGTGATGGTTATTATGTTTAGTCATACTAGTGTTAAGTACCAATAACTGTGCTGGGGAAACATGGATATATAATATTTCTGATATTCTATCCAATCTTGCCCTTGAAGAGATTTCCACCATGGGAAATCCAGAACTACTGGAAAGGGACATGAGACCACATACCCAATGAGCATCCTTTTGTAACCTATTAGCATAGTGTTGGGCCCATTGCAAAAAGAGGTTGCTTTATGGGCAACAAGTGGTATAGTAGTACCAAGGCATGAGAACTAAGGAGAAAAAAAAAAGAAGTTGGGTGGAAGCTTGTAAAATAAAATATTCTCCATCTATTAACAATTGTTAATATTAAGCATTAATTTAGATACAGACCTGGTCCAGGTCTTGGGACACCCAACCATGTCTGCGACCATCTTCTTCTCAATTGGCATCGCCTTATTTTAAGTAGAAGATTACTCTCTGGTGAAACAGTCTATTCAGGAGGCTCAGCTTTCCTTAGATGTGAGACGTGAATCCAGGAGTCTATGCCTTCTAGTTTAGCAGCACAAGAATTAGTAAGAAGTACCTGGTAAGGTCCGCTGTATCCTGGTTGGAGACAATCTTTTAAGAAATGTTTCCAATAGACAAAATCTCCAGGTTCAAGTCTGTGGTTCTTTAGATTTATGTTTCCAAGAAGCTTTCTGTGAAAAGATTATTTTACTAAGTCACAAGGTGGCACAATTTCTAGGAGACATTTTGATAGGTTTGCCTGTTATTTTAAATGGAGATAACTGTTATTTTACCAAAAGGAGTAAATCTTTTGTTTAGCAAAACCAATGGAATGGATTTTGGCCAAGGAATTTTAAAAGCCTCAGTTAATTTTGCCATTTGGGTTTTTATTATTCTGTTTGTGCATTCTACTAACCCAGATGATAGGGAGTAATAAACACAATGGAAATGCTGAAAAATAGGCCAGATGCTACATGCTGATTGAATTATCTATCCAGTGAATTATCTATTCCAATTATTCAATACCTCTGTTGCTATGAAGTTCCAATGAAATGTCTGGGTTGGAATAATTTTTTCTACAATAATTTTACTTACTGCTAAGGCTATTGCTCTTCTTCATGGAAATGCCTCTACCCAATAAGAAAACATGCAAATAATTACCAGGACATATTTGTAGCCTTATGAAAGTGGCAATTAGAAAAAAATCTAGTTGCTGTATTTCAAAGGGAGTCTCAGATAAAGGAAAGTGTCTTTGGGAAGTAAGTAATGCTTTTCCTGGATTATATTTTGGGCAAATATGACTGCTTGTATACCTTATGAGCTATCGTTGGAGAAGGTTTCCAGTAATACTGTTTTTCCTGGGCAACCATTTTGGCAGGACTCCAGTAAGTTAGATCATGCACATGTGTTAAAAATGATAACTGTAGGCCAGGTGCAGTGGCTCGCACCTGTAATCCCAACACTTCAGGAGGCTGAGGCAGGAGGATTGCTTGAGGCCAGGAGTTTGAGACCAGGCTGGGCAACATGGTGAGACCCCATATCTACAAAAAATTTACAAATTAGCCAATCATGATGGCGTGTTCCACCTAGTCAGGAGGCTGAGGTGGGAGGATAGCTCGAGCCCAGGAAGTCAAGGCAACAGTGAGCCATGTTCATGCCACTGCATTCCAGCCTGGGTGACAGACTGAAACCCTGTCTTTAAAAATATGATGGCTGTAATTCAGCAAGAAGTATGGGTGAGTTGTTTCACCTGTACCATTCTTCATCTTTTGGTGAATATTTACGCCCTTTTGTGTCCCAAACTTTTTGTGCTGATTTTGGGACTCTGGATTAATTTTATATCAATTTCAAGTGCTTCCTTAAAAGTTAATACAGGTAGATTTTCCTGTTTAGATGCGTTTTGAGTAGCACTCTTTGTGACCTTATTAGATCACTAATTTCCTCTGCATTCTGGAGTATCTTTTTTGGAATGACCCGGAATTTTAATAATGGCCAATGATTTTGGCAATAATATGACTTTTAGTAGTTGTGAAATAAGATGTCTTTTTTTTATGGATTGACCTGAAGAGATTGAGAATCCTCTTTGTTTCCATAACACTTCAAAATCATGGGCTACTCCAAAAACATATCTACTGTCTGTATAAATACTAGTGAATATATTTTTCTGCCAATTGACAGGACCTATTTAATATTATTAATTCCACTTGTTGAGGTGAAGTGGCTTTTGGAAGATAGGCACTTCCTGTTTCTTCAGTTAAAGACACTATAGTGTATCCAGCCCTATAGAATCCAGATTCATCCATTAAGTAAGGTCCATTTATAAGCCAAACAACAATATTAGTATTTGCAAGGGGGATATCTCAATAGATGTGACCTGGGAGAAAGACATTGATCAATTAGGGCTATGCTGTTGTGCAGCAGCTCATCTTAAAACAAAGGCAAAAGAGTTGCAGGGTTTACATTGTTACACCTAGATATGGTGATATAAGGAGCTAAAAGAAATAGGACCTCATGTGAGGCCAGTCTGAGAACTGAGTAATACTGAATATGGTATGAGTTCAGCAGTGCCTCCATAGAATGAGAGATGAAGATAGTAAGGGATGTTCCCATTGCAATGTCTTTAGTTGCCTTAACAAAGCATAAGCTGTTAATGGTTTGCATACAAGTTGGCCATCCTCTTGCTACAGGGTCTTTATTGGCTATAATACCCCCAAGTCTATTTTGATCTCCATGTTTTTGAGTTAGAATCCCTAAAGCGTTTCCATCACTTTAGTGTTTAAATACTGAAAATGGAAGGTTATATAATAATTTGGATGTACTAAAGCTGAGGATTTAGCAAAGTCATTTTTGATCATTTCTAATGTTATTTGATTTTTTTCTGTCCTGTCTAGAAGGTCTGTAATGTCCAGTTATAAGAGAGTATATAAGGGCTGGGCCTTTGAAGAGAAGTTGGCTATCCAATTTCTACAATATCCTGTCAGCCCCCAAAACCCTCTCAATTGCTTCTTGCTTCTCAGTGGTGGAAAAGCTAGGATTCCTTTCAACCTAGCTGGATTAATAGGAAGTCGTTCCTTGACTGTTACATGGTATATTAGACTGTTCTCACATTGCTATAAAGAACTATCTGAGACTGGGTAATTTATGAAGCAAAGAGGTTTAATTGACTCACAGTTCCACAGGCTGTATAGGAAGCATGACTGGGAGGCCTCAGAAACTTACAGTCATGGTGGAGGGTAAAGGCGAAGCAAGCACGTCTTACCATGGTGGAGCAGAAGAGAGAGAGAGAGTGAAGGGGCAAGTGCTAAACACTTTTAAACATTCAGATCTATGAGATCTCACTCACTGTCACAAGAACAGCAAGGGGGAAGTCCGCTCCCATGATTCAATCTCCTCCCACCAGGTCCCTCCCCCAACAATGGGGATTACAATTCAACATGAGATTTGGGTGGGGACAGTGGGCCAAACCTTATCAGATGGCCTATGTACTTTACTTGTTTTTGACAAAATTGAAGTTTTTCCTTTATAAACCTTATCACCCTTTAGGGCCAATTGTTGTATATGAAAGCCCATTGTTCTTTAAGCAAGTAAGTAAATCATCTACTTATTGTATTAAGACAGACTTCTCAATGAAGTCAATGTCTGAGTGGTCTGTTTTTAATATTTGTAAAAAGTAAGTCAGACTTTTTAGTGTATCCTTGGGGCCTGACTGTCCAGGTATATTGTCTATCTTCCCACATGATGTTAAAGATAAATTAGCTATCTTTATCTAAAGGAATACTGAAGAATGCACTACGTAAATCTATGACTGGCCGGGTGCAGTGGCTCACACCGGTAATCCCAGCACTTTGGGAGGCCAAGGCGGGCAGATCATGAGGTCAGGAGATTGAGATCATCCTGGCCAACATGGTGAAACCCCACCTCTACTAAAAATACAAAAAATTAGCTGGGCACGGTGGTGCATGCCTATAATCCCAGCTACTTGGGAGGCTGAGGCAGGAGAATCACTTGAACCTGGGAGGCGCAGGTTGCAGTGAGCCAAGATTGTGCCACTGCATTCCAGCCTGGTGACAGACCAAGACTCTGTCTCAAAAAAAAACAAAAAAACAAAAACAAAAAACTATGACCGAAAATTTCCGCATTAGATGGGAAGGCTGTGAGCAGTGTGTGAGGATTAGGCACAACTGGATGCTGTGGAATTACTTTGTTGTTTATTGCTCTCAAATCCTCTACAAACCTCCACCCTCTACCATCAGGTTTTCTTACCAGGAGAATTGGTGCATTGCAAGGACTTGTACACAGAATGACCAGTACTCTTTCTATATAATCTAAGATTATATGTTTTTTTTTTTTCTTCTAGGGCTACAGTTCTGAAGGGATATTGTCTGCTATTTGGAAGCCATTTCCAATGAGTCTACTTAAATTATCTGCTATTTGGAAGCCATTTCCAATGAGTCTATTTAAATTTTTATTGAAGTAGTTGAAACAATATTTTCCTGTATCAATGCAGGACTTTGACCACAATTGATCAGGTATTGCCTTATTGCATTTTGTAATTCATCACTTAATAAGTCAGTGACTTGAAGGCAAGATGGATAGCAATTGGATTCGATTTTGAAAAAATTCCTTTTTTTTTGAGATGGAGTCTGACTTTGTTGCCCAGGCTGGAGTGCAGTGGAATTATCTCTGCTCACTGCAACCCCCACCTCCCAGGTTCGAGCAGTTCTCCTGCCTCAGCCTCCCAAGTAGCTGGGACTACAGGGGCACACCACCATGCCTGGATAATTTTTGTATTTTTGGTAGAGATGGGGTTTTACCATGTTGGTCAGGCTGGTCTCAAACTCTGACCTCAGGTGATCAACCCACCTCGGCCTCTCAAAGTGCTGGGCTGACAGGCATGAGCCACCACTCCCAGATGATTTTGAAAAATTTTCTGTCTGTTAATTATGTTTTATCATGTATAGCATCTAATTCTAAATACATTTCACCTTTCTAGGAGAAAGAAATATGGGTATTATATAGTTCTAAGAAGTTTTCTTATTAGATGGATGGAAACTAAGGAAACCAAAAGTAAAACATGTGTCCCCTGTAAGGGACCTAGTTGAAAAGTTACAGGTTGAGACTTATGCGCTGATACAGGAGTATTTATAACACCCGCCATTTGGACCAAGTGTTTACTCGGAGGAGTGGGACCTTGCAATAAGGTAGGATGTATTAGAGATAATGTTTGGAACCTAGGAGGGGCCTTGCCAAGGGCTCCTGAAAACTTTGGCAAAAGTCAATTGGATAAAAACAGTCCTGCTGGTACCAGGTATTGATTGACAAAGCAGCAGCAGTCAAGGCAAGATTCACTTTGGGTCCCTTCTTGGGCAGCCAGATATGTCAACCTGAAATGATATAATAAAAAGGGTCAGAATCCAGTTTTAAAGAGTTTATTCAACTGAAAAGCTGGGAATGACCATTCTGGGACTCACAGACTCCAGAGAAATGGGATCAATGCTCTAAAGTTAAAAGTTAAGTTCTTGTTTATATAGGAAGAAGACAAAGAAATTTAATAGGACTAATTTCAACATTTTCTATACAAGTTATAGAGTTATAACAAATTAATTAGGTACAATTCGTTTCTTTTCAGTATGGCTTGTTTTCTTTATAGCTGGTTTTCATTTCCTTTCCAATGGAAAGAGTGAATTTAACCTTCCGCCTTAAGACAATGTGATAGCCATGAAGTCTTTGTGTGAAAAAGGTAAGAGGGAGGTTAATCTATAATGAAGATCAACAGTGTAGAGGGAAGGGGTCTTCCTTGGTGCCCTTCAGTCATTTACAACTAAAATGTTGTAAATTAAAATTGTTACAAAACAATGCAGGTAAGGAAGAAGGCTTAATCTGTTATCAGAGAAACAAAGGTTACAGCTGTCTGTCATGTGACTCAGGTACCATAATCACATCCCTTTAAGGCTCAAACCTAATTTAGAGTTTCAGCAGCTTAGATTTTGAATTATTTATTTTCACCACAGGGTAGAACATGGGCCTAAAATCTCTATAAGGCTGTTGTTCAAGCTGGCCTTGCAAACTGGACATTTTTGTGGTTTTGACCAGACTTTTGTCTATTTAGACAAATTTTGTTGTGAGTCTCCAAAATAAAACCGGATGAGGTTCCCCTCTTGTCTTATTTTATATCCTTGAGAGTTTGAGTAGTGACCAAGTGGGAGTGCTGTCTTTTGGTCTCTACCATCTGAGAGGCATGATGTTCTGGTCACATTCAGTGGCCAGACTAAACAAATTAGAAACCCCAAGACAAGTAATATTTTAAGCAGCACACTCTTTGTTCCAAACCTGTCAGGCTTCAGGATAGGTTGTCTTAAGTAGTTCCATCTGTAAGTGGTCTCAACCGTGGTTGCCTGGTTAATCCTGGGGAGATTCAGTCCTAGGAGGGACCATCTGGTGACTGGCAGCCCACACAAATTTGTGAGATATCCAAAGCAATGAATTAATGGGTTTGCAATGATTGGTGGCCCCCCACAAATTTGTGAGATACCCAGAGCAACATAAGCACAAACACCATCCTTAATTGTCTTTAGCTATAAGAATCTTTTGCCATCTTAGTCTACTCCTGGGAATAAATTCTAGGGGCTCATGGGGGCTGCATCTTCTATGCCCTCTCCAGGAAAATCTCTTACCCTAAAATGAAATCATTGGACTAGACATTTCCTTTCAAGTTATTATTACCTATTCTGCTGTAAATATCCATATTCCATTAGAGAGACTGACCAATACAGTGTTTTAGAATTTAAAAAGTACAGCTGACCAGGTGCAGCAACTCATGCCTGTAATCTCAGCACTTTGGGCGACCAAGGCAGGTGGATCACTTGAGGTCAAGAATTCGAGATGAGCCTGGCCAGCATGGTGAAACTCTGTCTCTACTAAAAATACAAAAATTAGCAGGGCATGGTGGTGCACACCTGTAGTCCCAGCTACTTGGGAGGCTGAGGCATGAGAATTGCTTGAATTCAGGAGGCAGAGGCTGCAGCGAGCTGCGATGGTGCCAGTACTCCAGCCTGGGTGACAGAGCAAAACTCTGTCTCAAAAAAAAGAAAAAGAAAAAAGTTCAGCTTTAAAATTAGTACATACTAACTCTAAGGAGGCAGTGAGGCATGTGACAAAAGAGCCAAGACTGGGTTCAGACACCAACTTCCCTCCATGAGCTCTGGATTGTGGGCAAGTGTTTTCATCTTCCCATGAGTCATGTTCACCATCTATAAATCCCAAGGCAATCTAGCATAGTGTTAGACTCCCTAGGATTAGAATTTGCAGTCAGTTTAGGCTCAAATCTTAGCCCCTTTGCTGGTTTGACACTGGCAAAACTTTGCTTCTACACCCAAGTGTACATCACAGGGTTACTTCATTCCTACTGTGAGGCTCTATTCCACCAGATGATGACACAATTGCCAGCTCGGGACAATGGGTTCCCTTTGTGCCCAACACACACATACACCCATGCACACACACAGCACACTGTCTTTCCCACAGATGCTTTTACCTTTTTTCGTTAATTTTTGGAGTGCTTGCCTAGTGATAAAGGAGAGAATGGGGATTCTCAGCATCCAATGAGAAGTCATCAAACTTCTGGCCCTTAGTCTTCATATACCTACAGTCTTAACTGTCATCCTTGGTTCCTGTCTGCATGACCTTATCAGGACCAGAGACTGCTGTGGTTCTTTACTTCTCTGAAACACTGCAAAGGGCTCCACCCACTTAAAAACACCACACATCCACTTCTTCCCAGGAGTCTTTCTGCCTTCCTGGGGCTCCACCCAAAAAGCTTACAGCAGCCCTCCCTGCAGGGGTGGACCGTGGCTGGGGACTGGGTGAGGTGGACAGGACAGGGATCTTTTTCATATTCCTGCTCTCTGACAGGGTTGTCCAGGGGAGAGAATACAGTCATGGGTTCTTAGTTTCTGTTTCTGGTTGGGCCAGTAAAGCCCCTTCCTCATCCCTCTTTTCTGCTCATTACTAGAGACAGAAAGTGAAAACCATGACTTCAGGCTGCTAAAAGCCTAAAACAAAACAAAACTGAACAGCAACGACAAAATAAGGTGGGTTGGACAAGCTTGCTAGCTTCCCTCATACAACCCCCCTCACCCGCCTCTGGCCCAGGGCATTTTTGTCTAGTTCTTGGGGCAGGAAAGCCCAGCTACTAAATAAACATGTGTTTGCCCCAGTCATTTTTCCAAAACTTTAGTTCTTTGCTTTTTCCCCAAAAAAGGCTAGGATTTTGAAATGCTTCCCACCCCAACTTTCTGCTTTTCCTTCCTGGGGAAAATGAATAAAATGCTCTGCCTCTCTGAATCAGATGAAGGCCAAAAGACACAAGAAAATGTCACAGAAAAAAATACCAGTTAAAATTTTATAATATTATGCCATATAAAAATTTAATAAGTAGTGAAAAAAGAAAAATAGCTCAGAGCAGCCTGAGCTATGTGAGGTCTGCAAAAGCCTCAGAGAACCTTGCAGACCTTTGCAAAAGCCCAGAGAGACAGGAACATGGGTCTTCAGTCACACTCCACCACCTGGGGCAATTGTTTAAGGTTATTTTGTTCCTGATTTGCTGCCTCACCTGTTATCTTCACGTTCCTGGAATATGTGTTACAAAGAACAATGTATAGCCAATCAACAGCTTGTGTTATTTAATGCAAATTCCTGGTAAACAACTTAGAAGTTGCTGCTTCTTTTTTCCTTTAAAAACCTGCTTGTGGCCAGGCGTGGGGCTGACGCCTGTAATCCCAGCACTTTGGGAGGCAGAGGCAGGCGGATCACCTGAGGTCCGGGAGTTCGAGACCAGCCTGACCCCATCTCTACTAAAAATACAAAATTAGCTGAGTTTGGTGGCATGTGCCTGTAATTCCAGCTACTTGGGAGGCTGAGGCAGGAGAATTGCTTGAACAGGGAGGTGGAAATTGCAGTGAGCAGAGATTGCGCCACTGTACTCCAGCCTGGGCAACAGAGTGAGACTCTGTCTCAAACAAACAACAAACAAACAAAACCTGCTTGTAACTCCTGCTAGTCTGAGTGTATATTCAGGGCAACTTGAATTTATGTTCCTGGGCTGCAGTTCTCAAACTTGGCCCAAATAATCTCTTTACTAATATTAATTTAGCGTCAGATTTTTTTCCTTTATGTCAACAGTAATTTATGTAAAACTCTTGACACAGTGCCTGATGCATAGTAAACACTAATAAATAGTGACCGCAATTATTACTATCTGCTCCATAATATTATTTTAAGGATTAACATAGGCAGAATGCCTGACACATAATAGGTGTTGAGTGAATGCCACCCATCATATTGAAGAAAAATGATTTCGAGCTCAATGTAAAGAATATATTAATAAAAATATTATTTTTAAAATATTAAATATCTGTACATATATTAATAAATAGTTTTTGAATGAGAAAGTTTACTGGCAATAACTTTTTCAAAAGCTTTGAGAATGTGTCTTACCTATTGCTATTTTTAACCCCCTATAACTACATCTTATGCTAACTAGAAGTACATACTTTGATTTCCCTGGCCTTCATACTCTGCAAGATAAAATCAGGAAAAATAACCATTAAACCTCTGGAAAAACACATGACATATGACACTGGCCATTAAATCATCAATATATTTGACTGAATGGAATTTTTTATTTTGTCTACATCTAGTGGCAGAAAAACATGAAAAGCAAAATTATAGATGGGGCTGTGGTGACGGCAGGTTCAGACACTCATGCTTCTAGACATATGTATTAGTCCATTCTTGCAATGCTAGAAATACCTAAGACTGAGTAATTTATAAAAAAAGAAGTTTAATTGGCTAATGGTTCTGCAGGCTGTACAGGAAGCATAGCAGCATCTGCTTCTGGTGAGGCCTCAGGAAGCTTCCAGTCATAGTGGAAGGCAAAGGAGGAGCAGGCACATCCCATGGCTAAAGCAAGAGCAAGAGAGCGAGGAGGGAGGTGCCACACACTTTAAAGTGACCAAATTTCATGAGAACTCACTTACTATCATGAGGACAGTACCAAGAAGATGGTGCTAAACCATTCATGAGAAATCTGTTCCCCGATCCAATCACCTCCCACCAGGCCCCACCACCACCAATGGGGATTACATTTCAATGTGAGATTTGGTGGGGACACAGATCCAAACCATATCAACATATTCCAGAAAAGCATGAAAATGAATCAGGCTTCTAGGGTATTGTCCTAGGTCCTCCTCCTGGTTCAACTTTCAGGTGTAACAATAGAGAATGCATTCTTCTTCCTAATAAGCGCAAGCCTTGAGGCCCATCCTCTCATGATGGAGCTGCATTAAAGACCTCCCCTGAACCTGGCTTCATTGCATCCACAGTCTCCTCTCCTACTTGATAATTCCCAGCAGCATAAATACATATTGATCTCTCAGTTTGCAGTGCACACACTTACAGACACTCATACACACAGTGGCCTCTTAATTCCCTATCTTCCTCTAGCTATTGCTTCATTTCTCTACTCCCTAGCAGAAGAAAACTTTTGGGAAGAACTGTCTAGGAACACGGCCTCTACCACCTCAGCAAACATCTTCTCTTTAGCCCACTCCAGTCTGTCTTCTGCCATCAACACTGAAATAAAATCACTTTTGTCATCTTGCAGATGAATTCCAATTGCCACAATCATTGGGTACTTTCCTATCCTCATCTTCACCTCCCAGCAGCATTTGACAGGATGGCTGGTTTCCTCTTCTTGAAATGCTCTCCCTCTTGGAATCTGTGGCGTGACAGTCTAATGTCCTCCTCGACAGGCTACCCCTCTCCTCGGGGCTCAGTTTCGGGTTCTCTTCTTTCATAAGTACTTGCTGTGGATAATCTCATTCATTTTAATGGCTTTAAATACACTCCATCTGCTGACTGCTTCCAAATTTACATACTCACATATCCATTAGCCTGCTTGCCATCTCAGTTTCGATGTCCAATAAGTATTTCAAATGTAGCTTCTCGAAAATGGGTATCTTGAGTTTCCTGCATAATCTGCCTTCACCTCTCACAGGCTCCCTAATCACATCCTCTCTGTTACTCAAGCTAGAAACCTGGGAATTATCCTGTTTTCCCCTCTCCTGCATTTCTACAACCAAGTCCTCACCAATTCCACTTCTGAAATATGTATCTCTATTTCCTCTAGTTCTTTCTGTCCTTGGCCACCATTCTGATTTGGGCTACATCATCTTCAGCCTGGATTTCTTCCAGAGACCCTTAGCCTGTCTCCCTAGATCCCTTCTTGCCCCTTCCCAGCACATTCTCCTTACACTGGCATCCCTTCCTGTCATTCCAAACTGAATGCCACTTGGGACTCAGGATATGTTATGGGGGTAGAGTCAAAGGAGTTGCTTATGTGGGATGAGAAGGGAGAAATCAAGAATGAGTAGGATTTTGCTGGAGCAATTTGATTTGTGTCAAGGTGGGAAAGTTTGGATGAGGTACAAGTTTGGCTAGTGGGGTAAGGGATAGGGGTGATCAGCAGTTCCGTTTTCAATATGCTAACCCCGAAATGTCCATTAGTCAATCAGAGGTAGTCTATGGTTGGAGAAATGTTAGACATATTTGTTGAATGAATAAGCGAACCAAGCTAGGCTATCAGAGAAGCAAATTTACAGGGAGAGATTTGGAAAAGTTGTTAGGCTATGATCTACTGAGACTTATGTGACGTTCTAATGGAAATCTCGTATTATTTGGAAACATGGGTCTGGAGATTAATAGAAAAATGAGACCTAGATACACAGACCTGAGGGTCATCACTGCATATTTAAATTATGGAAGAAAATAAGATGGCTCACTGAGACTTCTAGAAAATTAAAATATTTTCATGTCACATTTTTTATTCAAAAAAGTTAGTGTTATTGAGTCTGATAGAGGAAAATATTGAGCATCGTCCCTGGCTTCTACCCACTGGAAGGCAGTAGCTCTCATCATCCCTCACCCCCCTACCCCAGCGTGACAACCAAAAATGTCTGTAGGCATTGCCAAATGTCCTCTGGGGTGGGAAGGGGATCATCCCTGGTTGAGAACTACTGATTAGAAGAATGTCAATGAGAAAATCAGTAGTTCTTTTTAGTTACCGAAATGTAATATTGGGGAATATTGGAAAAGAGTTTTTATCCTGAAAGATGCTCTTGGAAAGGATTTTAGAATTAAGCTGGCTGCATGTACCCAAGGATGTAGGGTTGGAAAAGAAGAGGATCAAGGAGGGAACACTGGCGAGAGCAAACTGACCCAGGGCGGAGGGAGAGAAGCCCTGGACACAGTGATAGGGAGGCTCAGTTTTGTTGGCAGCCTCTAGCTTTCACTCAGCGTTGCAGACAGCCTTTTCTCCCCCTGCAGTAATCCTGTCTGCTAGCCACAGGCTGATGGCTTTGGCAGAAACAGACAATGTCCCCAGCATTGCTGTACCTGATGGTTTATTATTTCATTTGAGAATTTCAGTGCAATTCACCTGCTGCCCCCTAGTGGAGCGGCTTGCTGATGCCTAGTAAACTGTAGCAGTTCCTCATGTGAGTTTAAAGGCTGAAACTGTAAAGCTGGCTCTGAGCTTGAACACCAGGGTCCAGAGACTGGAACTCGTTAACCCTCTAGCTTTCTTCCTGTCCTACCTCCAAATTGCATGCCTAATGCTTACTAGCGACTCCACAAACGTGGAGGAGGTGAGTGCACAGACCGTCACCGGGGCCAGCAGAGGAACACAGGGGCAGGGTAACACGAAGGTTGGAAGTAAGGTAAAGAGTAGCCCAGGGACATTCCACTGAGCACCAGGGAATATCTCTCTATTTGCCTTAGCTGTTGCTGTTCTGGATGCCCTTTGTGGAAAAAACGAGAGGACAGCAGCTGGAAGCGACACCATCCTGTTTCAAAGGCAAGATGGAAATGTTATTCACTAATCTAGACCATGGAATGACACTGCTCCCTAAAAATTGCAGTTGAAGACAGAGCATCTATGTTTGTGTATTTGCCAGAAAAACACTAATCGTAGCAGAATTCCTTAGCACAGATTTAGAAATATTGAGGGGCAAATCCTGCCCCTGAAACATAATTGCATATGGGAGGGTGGAGGCAGGTGTAGAAAACAGTTATCTGAGGAGAGTGGGAGGGCAATCCCCGTATCATGAATGTTACAAAGGCCCCTACTCATTGAACCTCTTTAAATAATAAATTTTTAACTTAAAAGTCACACTACACAAATTATGAAAAAATCGTATTTTTAAAAGATCACAATTTATTTACATTAGGGTCATCCATAGTGCACCAAAACTATTTTTGGTTTCCCAAGAAAAAATATGTATGCATAAATCTTCATGTTAAATGGCCAGATTCTAAGTATATAATGAGGGTAGAATCAATGGGATTTTTGGATTTGCTCGCAGGTTGGATGTGAAAGGGAGAAAAGGTGGGATGTCAGAGTCAAGAATGACTCCTTCCAAAATAACCTAGTAAGATGTCTCAACATCTTCATGTTGTAGGGAATGAGTAGGGACAAGGGAATTAATTTCTAATTCAAAACCTGAATCAGTTACATAATTGGTTTAATTCCAACTCATAATGATTTTCTGCCATAGTAAAAACTGGAGGCATGAAGTGATAAAATGTATTATAAAGAAAACTTTGATGGGACAACCCCTTCGTAAAAGTGAAAGTACTCTCCTTTATGACATGGTTTTCTGACATGGACTAGATATCTGGTTTTGCTATCTAATAATTGCCTAATTTGGGATGCATTTTATAATAAGTTTCTCCATTCATGAATTGAAAACAGAAAACAGTCACTCTGCCCACGTACTCTCACTAGGTTACCTGCATATAGAGCCTCTGTCTTAGCTCAAGCTCCTGTTAAGAAATTAACAAACAGCGTTTCTTCAACGATTCATCTCTCACAGTTCTGGAAGGTGGAAAGTCCCAGATCAAGGTGCTGGCAGATTTGGTTCTGGTGAAGACCTGCTTCCTGATTTGTAGTCAGCCTTCTCCTTGGAGCCTCACATGGCAGAGGGCAGAGAGAACACTCTTGCGTCTCTTCTTATAAGAGCATCAGCCTTATTCATAAGGGGTATACCTTTATTCCCTAATTACCACTCAAAGGCCTCACTTTCTAATACCATCACATTGGAGGTTAAGCTTTCAACATAAGAATGTTTTTTTCTCACATCTGTAGCAGCCAGATCAATACATGAATACATTCAGTCTGTACTATCAAAGGACAATTTGTTACCTGGAGATACACTTTGCAACCTATTAGTCAACTGAGGATACTGAGTAGGCAGTTGAATATATTCATCCCCAGTGTTCATGAACCACTGATTCCACCTCAAGTCTATCTTTGACACACAGCATTGTATGACTTCTCAGGGTTAAAAATAATTATCTGTAGAGGTTTGTCTAAATAATATGCAGATAACCAATTCCTCTGGAATTTCAACTTTTTAATGCTTAGATCAAGCCCAGCCTTGAAAGAGCTATTTGCTGGGATTCTAACACTTTGGAAGTTTTAAAAATTTTTTACTGAATTGCACTTCAACGTAACATTGGCCTATACCATACCCAATGAAATTGGTGATTTTACCTCTAGGAATGTTAACATAGATTGCGCCATTATACAATTTTCATTATGAAGCCCCAGGCCTTAGTACACTTCAGGCCTTAGTACCAAGATAGTGATGCATCTTCTAGATTATCTGTCTTACTTTGTGAAGACTGATCCATGCAAGTGAATCTTCTTTCTTTCCAAAGAAAAAAATGTTCAGCCTGTAATTCTGGCACTTTGGAAGGCCAAGGTGGGCAGATCACCTGAGGTCGGGACTAAAAATACAAAAATTAGCTGGGCATGGTAGCCGGTGCCTGTAATCCCAGCTATTTGGGAAACTGAGAACAAGAGACTTGCTTGAACCTGGGAGGTGAAGGTTGCAGAGAGCCGAGGTAGTGCCACTGCACTCCAGCCTGGGCGACAGAGTGAAACTTCGTCTCAAAAAAAAAAAGAAAAAAAGAAAAAAAATGTTGAGTCAAATATGCTGCCTAATATAGTATGTGTTCAGGTTACTGCAGCATGTATTTTTGCTGTAAATACTTCCCTGGGCTTTATCTTGTCTACCGATGTTACCTTTAACTATAATTCCCTAAGTTGCTTATCATTATGTGTTTTAAATAGCTACCTCACTTTTTTCATTTTGAATGAGGCAAGAAACAAAATAGCAAACCTTGGGCTCAAGGTGGACACAGGAATGAGAGAGGTAGAAGAAAATAAGAAATTAACTGTAGAAAGTTAAGTTAAAGGCCAGGCACACTGGCTCATGCCTGTAATCCCAGCACTTTGGGAGGCTGAGGAAGGTGGGATCGCCCGAGGTCAGGAGTTTGAGACCACCCTGGCCAACATGGTGAAACCCTGTCTCTACTAAAAATACAAATATTAGCTAGGCGTGGTGCCAGGCGCCTATAATCTCAGCTACTTGGGAGACTAAGACAGGAGAATCTCTTGAACCCAGGAGACGGAGGTTGCAGTGAAGCTGAGATCAGGCTATTGCACTCCAGCCTGGGCGACAAGAGCGAAACTCCATCTCAAAAAAAAAAAAAAAGAAAGTTAAGTTAAAGAGCCTATTGCCTATTGTTACAATGAGATAAAATTGATAAAACGTGAAATAAACTAAAAGGACATATTAAAAGAAAAATGCAAAGAACATTCGTATCACATTTTCAGTGTGCTATGGAATCTGCTCACATCTTTACTAATAATCTCTTCCAAAACATAGGCTATCTCATATATTCTGAATATGATTTTGATTTAATGTAAAATGTAAAGAAGTACTTCTATCACCTAAGTAAATTAGTATGTTTCATAAAAGTAATTTCCTCCAAAAGCAATTTTAATTTGCTAAGAGAAAAATAAGAACAAAAACCATTCTTACTGCCACACCTACCATCTTAAAAAACAATACCAAAAATGCAAATAATAACCTATTTCCATGTGTTACTTAAATGGAGTTATCTGTGTTAAGTATTCTTGTCTAAGAAAAGGCACTGGCAAACAAAACCAAAGCCAAAACACAGAATTTTTGCTATGAATTTTAAATTTTTTATTTTTGTTCTGGAAATTTTATGTTTACTTAAAACCTTGTATATAATAGAAACATAATCCATTGAGCCTTTGGATAAACAAAATTTTCGGAGTTTACTCATAATATATTCTTCAAATTATCCCACACAAAACTGCTTAGAAAGAATGTGTTAAACTATACTGATGATTTAAAAACAAGCACAACAACATAAAGAATCTTCCTCTATTTCAGGAGAAATGATTTACTGTGAAGTTACCCTTTTAACATCTTTGGTGTCAATTCTGGGTGAACCAGGATGGTCGCTTTCTGTCTCGTTCAATGATCCTCTTGCCCTGATCTTGTTCAGACGGTGTCTCTCCCGTGTACAGCACCACAGTCTCTATGGTGGGAGCCTTAAAAGGGCCCCCTTCTTGCTTCCCTATCTGTCGTCTGATTTCTGCAGTCTCCTTGCACACCTTTTCATAGCAGTAGGCACAAAGGACATGTTTCTGTTTCAGGTGACCACATTCAGGACAAACGTCTATGTTGTTCTTTAAAACAATAAACAAAAACGTATTTTAACATGAGGCAATATAACGAACAAATAACCACTGACAGGAGCAATGCTTACATTTTAACTTTCTTAGGATGTTCAGGCTACATGAGGTCATCATACACCATCTAGTTCCACCTCACTTTAACAGGAAGACTGAAGACAAGCAACACTGAGTTTGAATTAGAGAAAAACTAGAACTAGAATTCAGCCAACCTGAATCTGGTATCTTTACTTAAACACAGCAGTTGTAGTTATGTAAAAAAGAAAAAAGAAATACTCATTTCCCCTAACTCCAAATACTAAATATCAAATAAGGAATTTGTCAACATAATGAAGTGACCCAAACAATCAGCATCTTAAATAAGACACCAAGGAAAAGTGAATTCCCTTTGTCTTTCAATCTATCTTAGGGAAAACAAGATAAGAACATTACAAGTTGACTTCCTTGGCTTCCTCTTTTTATCACAGTGTAATTCAAATTCCTGTACAGAATACAGGTTTCGTATATGGTATAATTTTTCTTTTTAAAAATGAACACTGATTATTCCTTAATGTAAAATTATTTTCTATGTTACATTCTTAGGGTATTTTAATGATATATATATGTGTGTGTATATATATATATATAGAGATAGATATAGATATATATATATCTCCAACTTTAAATATAAAATAGAAACATTATAACCTCTAAAAGATTTATCAACTTATTCTAGATGTAGGTTTGAAAGAAAATACAAAGAAAAATACTAAACAGGATCATTAAAGAAGCTTTAAACACTTGATAAGATTAATATACTAACATTTGTGAGGCAGATAACAAAAGAATTTCCTTTTCTGAAAGGAAGAAAGAGGCTTGTATATTACTTGCCTAACCATATTCTCATTTTGCTCCACTACTGGAAACTGGATTGCATGCACAACTGAAGGTATGAAGACACCCACAGTCAGCTGGTCTTCCTTTCGTGATCAAAGTACCCAACATAACACACTATATACCGTATGTAACAGAAAATAATTCAAGGAAGAAAATAAATGCACAGGATAAGAACTATTCCTTCAGAATAAATGCGATCAGGGAAGTCACATAATAGATCAGTGCAAGATCTCATTCCTAAAATCTTACGTCCTCTTGAGCAAATTTATGAATTACTGTAAGTCTTAAGTAATAAAGTGTTTTTCAGTTCTACATTTAAGTTCAGCCCCAACCATCACTCAATAATACTTTCTGGCTTAAGTTCTAAGGTTTTGCTTAACAGAATGTGGATGCTTATGAAAGTCAGCTTTCTGTTCTCGAGTTTCATCTGTATGGTGCTGCTGTTGTGGAACGCCATGAAGTAAACAGTAACTGAAATCCTAACTGTTAAAACCATACATGAACAGATCAGAGGTAATACACACTGTAATTTTTCTTTACTAGATCAATGAAGACAGTACATCCATGTTGTCAGCGAGGAGAATCTGAAATTGTCTGAGGATAGGAGAACACAAAGAAAATCTTTAAAAGAACATGAGGTCAAAAATCAGAGCTCGAAAATCTACTGCTTCATAGCTGTGTGACCACAGGCAAATTCTTTTTGCCTCAGTTTTTTCATCCTAATAATGAAGAATATCTTATTTGCTTTGGAGGGCTATAAGACATGATGAGATATAATAAACATAAGGCACTGAGATACATCATAGACACTTAATTGTTGTTAGCTATTATATTACTTATCTTAGGGTTTTCCTTCATGGTATTTTGTTGGAAATGATAAAAAAATAAAACAAATATGTAAGGGCTTGTAAAACCCAAGATTCAGTATACCTACTGCTTCTAGCTTTAATTCTAGGCTCTGCCATAGTTAGGATGTTTACTCATCTGTAGTTCAAAACTCACACAGCTCAAGACTGACACAGCTCACAATTCAGAAGTCATGTAGGCACCTCACAGCCTCGTTCCTTGCCCAGTCTCCAAACTCACTCCTTCCTTGACTGTGTTTCTAATACTCAGGCTAGAGGACAGCAGGCTCTAGCCTTCTCATTATGTATATAATGAGAATACTGTATTTCATTTAGGCCAGAGGAAAGTAGACACATATAATCTGATAATAATTTATTCCTAGGCTATAGGAATCTACCATGAGCTTATTCAATGGAGGACTTGAGGAAAAGCACACCCACAAAAATCAATGCATTACCTTAACTTTAATAAGCTTCTGCGGATTTCTTCTCCTACACCGGTTAACTTCAATGGTGCGTCTATTTTTGGGAGCTGCCATCCAAAAGATACTGTCCAAAAGGCTGGAATTCTCTTTACTTCCACTGGTATCATTTGCTGGCTCTGTAAACATGGCTGGGCCCTGTACTGCTAATGCTGGTCCTAGGAAATAAAACATAAGAGATACAGAATTAGTTTCTAGCTTCTAAATTACTATTTACAGATATCATTTTCCTTAACAATCAATGGTCAAACATACACACACACAAAAACTATATATAAAATTTAGAATGTGAAACTCAATAATGAGAAACCTTAGCTATTAAAATACACTAAAGCTTATACAATTTTAAGGAACACAGAATTTTTTCTTAGCGGATCCTGCTGAAAAGAAGATCAGTGAAATTCCATCAAGTTTCTTATCTCATAAAATACAGGACTCTGATAGGCACCTAACTTGAACAAAACAAGCAAAGAATCACTCAACTGTCCACATTCTATTAATACTTGGCGGGTAGTAAGTACCTGATTAATTTACAAGTAAATCTAGACAGATTTCCTGAATACACTTCTGACCGGCACTGATGTAACTGCCAATTGCCTTTTCTTATATTCAAACTGAGTCAGGTCCTTTATGATACAACCTCTTAAGTCACTTAGTTCCTCATAACATTTAATCTTGATTCCTGTCTGCTCTCTAAAGAAAAGAGCCAGCTCACCATTTCTCTGTATGGCCTTATTTATGTGACTATCAAAGTTTCTCTTTTTCTGAATTGCTTATAAAATCAACATTCCTTTACCCTTTCCTTGCTATTTCTTAGACGTGCCATACTTTTTTTTTTTTTTTTTGAGACTGAGTCTCACTCTGTCACTCAGGCTAGAGTGCAGTGGCGTGACCTCGGCTCACTGCAACCTCCGCCTCCCTGGTTCAAGTGATTCTCCTGCCTCAGCCTCCCAAGTAGCTGGGATTACAGGTGTGCACCACCACGCCTGGTTAATTTTGTATTTTTAGTAGAGACAGGGTTTCACAATGTTGGCCAGGCTGGTCTTGAACTCCTGACCTTAGGTGATGGACCCACCTTGGCCTCCCAAAGTGCTGAGATTACAGGTGTGAGCCACCGCGCCCAGCCCACATACTTCTTTTGATCTTAAGAACTCTTAAAAATACACAAAGTTCTCTAACACTTAACAACTGGCATTTATTTTCAGTATGTCCACAAGTATTGCCAAGCATGCCCCGGTGATTAACAACACAGGCTCAGGACTGTCTGTGAACTTGGGACCATTGTGAGCCTACTGTTTCAGTTGGAAAGTGTATACACCTAATGGGACTGTTGTCAAGATTATCCCAGGAAGTACATGTAGAAAGCTTGGCACATTGCTTGGCATATAGTGGCATATATTTTCTTGGTATATTTCTGGATATTATCACTTTCAGGCTGCTTAGAAATTGAGTAGAATGTAAATGCCAAAGCCATGACAGTTTCAACATCCAAGATACTTCCAATTAAAATTAATTCCAAGTGAAACATGGGAAACAGAATTCAGCTCCTCAGAGCTCAAACACCACAGAAAACATGTACTGCGCGGGAGGGAGGGAGGAAGGGAGGAAAGAAGGGAGGGAAGGGAAGGGAAGAGGAGAGGGGGGAGAGGGGAAGCGGGAGGGGAGGTGAGGGCAGGGCTGGAAAGGAAAGACAGATCCAGAGAGTGGTGAGCCTTGATGCCAAGTGAGACCTGCAGAACTGTCCTCTCAGGACAACTCTGTACAAATCCCTGAACTCCACAGACTTGACCAAACTCTAGCATAGTTTCTAGCAGCATAAGGCTGTATCCTAGGATGACCTCGGCCCCCCCTTTAAAGTGCCTGCCTGAGAAAGCTCAACGCTGCCTGGAAAATTTCCTATTTATTTTGGCCAACATACCCCGATAGTAGGTCCCGAACTCCCTTAGAGCATTTCCTGGAAAGGGCATATAATTGTAAATACGTATCCCTTGCAACTAACTCGGAAGCTTTTCTTTCAAGGCCCTGAGAGCCATTCCTTCGAAATCTAATCATTAGGAAGGATAGGGCCTTTGTCTCCCAGTCTCTGCGGGAGGATAGAATTCTCCCTAAGACAACTGCGAGCTAGCAGACACAGCCGGCTAATCACATTTGCACTGACTTCACTATACTACACTTCTCTGACTCTACAGAGCCCCTACACTCCCGCCTCGCTCATTCTCCCTTTAAAACGCCCAAAGTCACCTCTGCACAAACCGGGATGGAGCTCAGCTCTTTACCTGCAGTAGTTACTGAATAAAATCTGTTTTCAGCGCTTTACTTACTGGCTGGCTATGATTTATCTTTGACACAAGCTTGGGTTACATTCTGTGTACGAATGGAACAAGCAGAGGAATTTTTTTTTTTTTTTTTTTGCGGTGGAGGGAGCGCAAAAACAGTCGTTCTGTTCTCGCTAATATGGGAATGTCACGAACTACGTCCCCGACATGAGGCCGCGGATCAGAACCGGGGCTGAGGGCGAACTGTGTAAGCTGCGTCTGCTACGCTGCCCGAGGTCCCGTCATCAGCCCCCTCTCCCACGGAGCCCTTCTTTACCTACCCCACGGAGGACTGGGAAAGCCCGGCCGGCTCTGCGGAAGCTTCCGTAGCAGTCGCTCCCAGTAGTTTCGAAGCACTCCCCGGGCCGCAGACCACGGCGAAACCACCAAGACCAGCATGGCCAGCGCCATTTTCCCTGCTGGAAGACCGCCCCGGTCCCGCCCCTGCTTTCAGCATGCGCACAGGCACAGAATCGGGCAAGCCTCGCTTCTTAGAACTACAACACCCCGCATGCTCTTGGAGCAGCTCTGACTCTCCTCCAATCATAGAGAGTAAAGGAAAGGTGAGGGGCGGGGAAATGAAAGGAAATCGGCCACAGTGCGCATGTGTGCGGCTGTGCTTTGGCTCTTCGGGTAAAGATGGCGGAGCGCGGGTACAGCTTTTCGCTGACTACATTCAGGTATGGAAGGGGCCCTCGAGGTCTTCAGCGTAGTCGAGGTTGCTGGTACTCTGTCGATTTAGTTTTTCCCATCCTGACGTCGGCATTGGTGCTTCTGGAGGGTCCAGTAGGGAATGGAGTTGGAAATGCGGCTTTGCAAAGTCATTTGCCAGGCCGACCCGGGATTCCTGGAGCTTCCTTGGTCGGAGGCTGCTGGAGGGTCGGGGGGATGCGGTTTTGCGGGGTTAACATGGGGCTGCGGGACGGTGAGGCACATAGCCAAGGATTCGCTTTCACTTTGGAGACCAGAAAAGAAGGCAGTTTTAGCTTAACCATCTCTGGGTGGCCCGTTCCGAACTCAGGATTTTTTTCCTGGCTCAAGTAGACCTGATGCGGTGGTTTCTGAAACTTGGAATCTTGGTCAAATATGTGGGGTTCCCTTTTCTTGGAAAACTCTCAGCTTTACAGTTAAGTCGGAGTCTTGGTCTCCATTTGGCACTAGTGTCTTTCAAAACCTCCCGCTTTCGGTTTCTTCGATGCACGAATTAGAAACATAAGGACTAAAAACCGAAAGCCCCTATCACTTTTTTGTGAACCCCTAACAACGAGGCAAGTTTGAGTTTTGGTCTTTTTTTGGTGGACTGGGGGGAACGTCGGGGAGGGGGATGTTTACTTTAAACAAGATTGTAGGTTTTTCTATTGTAGAAAAGGGGATTAGAATAATAAGTTTACTTTCCAAAATACAGTTGGGGCGAACCATGGCTCTCAACGTGAGAAAACCATCGCCGAAGACTTTTAAAAATTGACTGGGGAAGTTTTCTGACTTACCCATTTTCTTAAGGATCAGTAATGCCCAGTTTACTTAAAATGTACTCCTGACAACTGAAGGCAGGCGGGATCTAACTTGTTGAGTACTTTGTTAGGTGCAACTTAACCTTAACCTGCTCCATCTCTTTCCACTGCTATAATGAATGTTATCTCAGCTTCTTACAGATGAACTAACCGCAGCTTGTACAAATTAAACAACTTGTCTAAGGTCATCGGTGAGTAGCTGAGTTGACATTCAAACTGGGTTTTTTTTCTGATAACAAAAATACACTTTCCATTACATAACGTTGTCTTAAATTCCAAAAGTACTTTTCTCTTGGCAGTTTTCAGTAAGCAGTGGGTGTATGTAATAGTTTTTTTGTAACCTTTGAACGAGATTAATTTAATTATGCAATAAAAGGTCTCATTATATTACATATGACAGAATAGTGTGTGCAGGATGTATTCACTGTTCCTATTTATGAAGAAAACAAATGTGGTCCTTTTTTTAGGGACAGGGACTTGGCAGCCTCCAGCTCTTGGGCTCAAGGGATCCTCCTGCCTCAGTCTCTGGAGTAGCTGGGACTAGAGGTGTGCACCACCCTGCCTGCTAATTTTTTTTTTTAAGGCATGAGGTCTTGCGATGTTGCCCAGGCTGCAAATGTGGTCTTTTATCGCGAAGAAAGTGTAATCCTAGTGGAGCTGAAAACATAAAACAACCGTATACCTTCAGGGACTGAATCTTTTTATAACAAATTTTCTTTATTAAAATAAACTTTTGGCCAGGCAGGGTGACTCACACCTGTAATCCCAGCTACTCAGGAGACTGAGGCAGGAGGATCACTTTAGCCCAGGAGTTCAAGACTAGCCTGGGCAACACAGCAAGACCCTATCTCTGAAAAAAATTAAAAAATTAGCCAGGCATGTGCCTGTAATCCAAGCTATTTGGGAGGCTGAGGGCGAGAGGAGCACTTGAACCCAAGAGTTTAGGATTCAGTGAGCTGTGATTCTGCCACTGCACTCCAGCCTGGGTCACAAAGTGATACCCCATATCTAAAAGTTTTTTTTAAAAAAACCAAACTTGTGTGTGTGTGTGTGTGTGTGTGCGTGTGTGTGTGTGTGTGTTTTAACATGGTGGATTCACCTGTTTTAGATAAAAAGAAAATATTTGTTTCTAGCCTCTCATAATCAGAAGTAAACTAATGGTGGAAGGGACTAGAGACCATACAGGATGAAACAGTTCTTGTGGACTACATTTGGTTGAGGAATTGACAATAAATGAGTAAACAAATTGGTGCCTACTAATACATTCTCTTACTAAGGAATTTTATTTTAAATGGGTGAAGGAAGGAATATGACTTTAGATTGAGTAATCAGGAAAGGCTTGTGCTTGGGGGTGATTTTTGAGACTGGAAGATTAAAAGTAACCAGCTATTTGAAGATTCAGGAATAAGGAGACTTGTAGACAGAGGGAACAGCATGTATGAAAGCCCTGAAACTGGGAAGGAGCTTGAGCTCTTAAAGGAATAAAAATGAGGCAAATGTGCTATAGTGAGCAAGGAGATAATGTGGGAGAGGGCTAATCGTGTAGGACTTTGTAGGCCAGAGAAGGAGATTTTATTTTACGTGAACAAAGAAGTTATTACAAAATCTAAGTGTAGGTGACATGGTCCAAAGGTAACTTTGGCTGGGGGTGGAAGTAAGGTTGAGAAAGAGGAAAACCAGTTAGAAGGCTATTTCAGTTATCCCATGTAGGGATGCTGATGCTATGGAATGGGATAGTGGCATTATGGAATATAAAGATGGTTGATTGCTCAGCCAGCTCACAGGTTAGTGAGCTTTCACGCAGTGAAATCATGCAGTGGTAAAGATAGGTATGTACAGGTAATAGGAACAGAGAAATGGTAGCTATTAAGTTTACATGAGCCTTTAAATGTTACCCAGGGGTATATGAATTAGGTATTGAACAATAATTGAAAGCTGGATGGACCCAGAAAGTTATGATATGATTATTGAAATAGTGACTATTAAAGGAAAAGTTCAGCCTAATTTTTTAATTTAAATGTCAGTTGATGTTATTCTGCTCAAATTAATTATATCAAGAGCCTTAAAGCTGTCACCCTTAGGTCTGTTTCTTTAATTGGTCTAGATGTGTCTCTGTCAGCCAAATGATTGTGGATTCCTGGTATTAGGTTATGTGCTGGAATCCTGACTGAACATAGCTACTTTATTGAGGAAGACAAATATTGTAAAAATAATAAAGAGACCGAGGCAGGAGGATTGCTTGAGACGAGGTGTTTGAGACCAGCCTGGGCAGCATAGCAAGACCCTGTTACTAAAAAAAAAAAATAACAATTCAGATATGATGAATCTTAGACAAAGAGGAAGTGCAGGACATCACAGGCATCAGTGAATAGGTATTCAACTTAATCTTGAGGGTTCAGGGCAACTTCCCTTAGGACATGATTGAATGAAAGGAGTTCACAGGGCAATAGAGAAATGCATTTCAGATGGAGGGATTAGCTTGTCAATGAGGCGTTTGAAGTCTGAGAGTAGTCTATGTGTTTGGAGCAAGGAGGGATGGAGTTGAGATTTGAGTGACCAAGGGAATATTCGTAATTATATGAAGAGAAAATACGGCCTTCTGAAATTTATATTTTCATTAGTAGACGGGAGATAAGGACCTAGCTGTGTCACTTTGGACAAATTACTTTCACTCAGACTTTATCTATGAAATTAGGTTGGTTTATGATGATTCCATTTAAACAACTAGGTTGAAATAAAGGATAACTTTAAAAGGCCAGTTTGAGACTTGCGTTTAGCTACCAAATCCATGGAACCAGATCTGTTAAGTGTGACCATCTCATGACTTCTAGAAATAGTTGTATATTATATAGAGAATACTTAATTGTGAGTGATATCTAGGTCTTATTGTCTTAGGCCATGTCTGTTTTCTAAAACCACCCTCCGACCTGAAATATGTGCTGCTGTTTGGTTTTTAACAGACACATACATGTTCTTAATAACATTACTATTCAGTATGTGCTTGTTACTGATTTTATGCCAGACAGTTTTATAGGAATTACTTCACTTAATCACAACAATGCTTTGAAATAGGTACAGGACACTTGTAGGGGACGGTGATTTCAGTACCCCCACAAATACCAAGTGAGGGCGTATTCAAGTCCTGTAGTCAGCCCTGTGGAATCCACTGATACGGAAAACCAGTTGTGGTTACTGTGTCCTCATTTTACAGGTGAGAAAACAGGCATAGAAAACTTAGGGTGAAAAGAAGCAACAGTAATACCACTGCTCCATGTGGCAGACAAAAAACAACCAAAGAGAAAGTAGTGCTTCAGTAGGAGTATGTTCCAATTGCCTTGTAAACTTGGTTTCTTTCTTTCTGTCTTTCTCTTTTTTTTTTTGAGACGAGGTTTCGGCCTTGTTGCCCAGGCTAGAGTGCAATGGTGCAATCTTGGCTTACTGCAACCTCCACCTCCCGGATTCAAGCAATTCTCCTGCCTCAGCCTCCCAAGTAGCTGGGATTACAGGCATGCACCACCATACCCGGCTAATTTTTGTATATTTAGTAGAGACAGGGTTTCACCATGTTAGTCAGGCTGGTCTCGAACTCCTGACCTCAGGTGATCCACCCGTCTTGGCCTTCCAAAGTGCTGGGATTACAAACTTGAGTCATTGCGCCCAGCTGTAAACTTGGTTTCTGTGCCACTTCATGATAGAGGTCAAAGGCCAGTTACTCCCTGGAGTTGGATAAATTGGATTTGACCTGTATGTCTGTACTATCTCAGAGATGTTCTTACAATAAATATTTGATGATATGTGAACTTACAAATACCTGTGTTTCTTTTAAGCCCGTCTGGTAAACTTGTCCAGATTGAATATGCTTTGGCTGCTGTAGCTGGAGGAGCCCCGTCCGTGGGAATTAAAGGTAATGAAATGCTTCATTCATTTCAGATGCCTGTTAGTAGTTATCCTAATTATTTTGGAATTCATTAGTAATTAATTTATACAGAGCTGCAGCAGTATAATTTTTAACAATTTTTTGTTAATTTACAGTGTTTTGGAGTTTAAATAGTAATAAGTCTAAGGTCATTCAAATTTCTTTTCAAAGTAAATAGTAACACCTTTATCTGTTAGTTGTGATATTCACAATAGTCTTTCTCATTCAGAAAACTGAGTTCTTTTTTTGTTTTTCCACTGATTATATCACTACTTCCTGGCAGTTTTTATCCTTATAATTTAGGAAAGCTTAATTATAAAACATAAGCTAAATGTGTTGTGTTTCACTTTAAAAGCCTGTATCATTTATTGTAAATTTCATGTTATAAGAATATTGGGACAAGTAGACAGAAATCCCTTATTTTAAAACATGTGAACTCTCAGGTATCCTTAGAGTGCTTTACAAAAGTTTATGTAATACCTTTAGCTGTAGGGAGGATTTTTTTGTGTAGTACTAAATGACCAGTGAGGGAAAAACTGACTTACCATTTCTTAGGTAATTTTGGTAATAGGACTCCGGAAGAAAAGGTTTTATAAATTAAAGGAAATAAAGGAGTTTGCGTTTAGCGCATCCATAATTAGAAAGCTGTTAAAACAGTCTTAAAAATGATTAAACATTTATGTCTCTCTCTTTTTTTTTAAGCTGCAAATGGTGTGGTATTAGCAACTGAGAAAAAACAGAAATCCATTCTGTATGATGAGCGAAGTGTACACAAAGTAGAACCAATTACCAAGCATATAGGTTTGGTGTACAGTGGCATGGGCCCCGATTACAGGTACTTTATACTTTTTATAGTGTTTCTCACCATCTCATGAATTGATTGTAATCTGTATTTTCAGGAGAAAAACCAAGGTTGTTTTCCTTTAATCTTCCAGTTCCTCTTTTTTTGTGTGCTTTGTTTAGCAATAGCAGCCTCGTTGAGAGCTGAATTTAGTTTGCCTGTATAGGTTACTTTAAAGAGAATAACTCAGATGTGAAAGAGGAGGTAGATAGATTACATAACTCCTCTTTTCTCTGTTCAGCGGACTTTCTCTTCTGACATATTCCTCTTCTACTATCCAGGAACTGGGCGTAAGGGCTTTAGTTTTCGCCAGTGCAGTTTAAAAATGATAAAAGCAATTTAAGTTATAATAAACTATATTTTAAAAAGTATGAGGCAACAAAAGAAAGTATCACTATCCAGAGTTATCTTTTTTCCTGTTCTTCACAAAGGAACAAAATTCTCAAACACCACTGCAAGTTGTTGAGTGTGGCAGCCAACCAGGATCCCAATGCTTGTGTAATCACCCCCTTTATATTTCACAGGAAGAGAGAATAATCTTGTTACTCAGGGTACCAGCAAGTTGAAAGAGATTGACAGCTTTCTGTGTCTGTCATTTAAACAAGTAAAAGGAGTATTACTTTATTGCTCATGATTTTGTGGAGCAAGATAGGTAGAGGCAAAGTTTCACTTCAGTGAATCAACGCAACAAGGTCAGTGGAATGTGATCAGGCAGTGAATCTTGTCACCACTATATAGGCTGGATACTGCATTGTGCTGCCACTGATAGGATAAACTGAGGGATGGGACATGACTGTCACACAGAGGGAAAATGTGCATATTTCAGATCAGTAGTATATGAGCTGGCAAAGATAAATCCTATTTGTCTTGCTAATATATTTGATTGTTATATAATATCTTCTTAATCTCTTTTGACAAATTTTACTTCTGAAAAAAAATTTTAAGAGACAGGGTCATGCTGGGTATTGCTTTTATCATTTTAAACTGCACTGGAGAAAACTAAAGCCTTATGCCCAGTTCCTGTATAGTAGAAGAGGAATATGTCAGAAAGGAAAGTCCATTAAACAGAGAAAAGAGGAGTTATGTACTCTATCTCCCTCCTCTTTCACATCTGAGTTATTCTCTTTAAAGTAACCCAGGGTCTTGCCCAGGCAGGTCTGAAACTCCTGGCCTCAAGTGATCTTCCTGCCTCAGCCTTTTAAAGTGTTGGGATTACAGGCGTGAAACACTGCACCTAGCCGAATTTTACATTTTTAGTTACAAGTAGTTTCTTACTGTTTCTTAATCTCTGAAGGGTACTCCGTGAAGCACAGGCAGAGAGATTGAAACAGTCTGCAGAAAGTAGTGACCTGAAGTGAGAAAAATATGCCCAGAATTGTGTGCCTGTGTGTTTATGTGTGCTTGTGTGTGTGGGCTGGGGTGAGCTGTAAAAAGACAAGCGGCTGCCCTTGGATGGGGGTACAGTCTTGAAGAAGCCGTGGAGCAAGATAAAGTTCTCATTTTTGTACATTAAATCTGTTACTTTTAAGCTAACTGGTACTCTGATGCTCTGATATTTTCTTCTATATCAACTGGAATCCAGTGTTAGAGTAAGACTAGCTTTGATCCAATAGCCACCATTAAAGAGATACATGTTAAACTTGTGCTGCAGGTACATGCCTGTAAAAGGAGAATGAGTCTTCAGGTAGTAGAGCATGTTCTGTGTAATTAAATCTTATTTTTTCCTTGTTAGAGTGCTTGTGCACAGAGCTCGAAAACTAGCTCAACAATACTATCTTGTGTACCAAGAACCCATTCCTACAGCTCAGCTGGTACAGAGAGTAGCTTCTGTGATGCAAGAATATACTCAGTCAGGGTAAGTTGCTTTTTTTACTTGAAATGTGCCATGAATTGTAGGGGGAAGTTATTTTAAAGAGTAGGTATATAAATAGAGTGGGACTTACCATTTCTGTATTTGCTTAACAAGTGGACAGAATCACTATGATGAATATTTCTGATCTTATCTGGCTCTGGAGTATTTATTTAAGGAAAAAAATGTGTTTTCTTGTTGCTTATGTAACAGCAGAAAGCAGCTTCTAGATATACAAAGTTCTTTTGCCAGTGATTAAAACACTTTATGGACAGACAATCATTGCAACTTTAAATTTTTCTTTTTTTTTTTTTTTTTTTTTTTTTTGAGTCAGAGTCTCACTCTGTCGCCCAGGCTGGAGTGCAATGGCATGATCCCGGCTCACTGCAACCTCTGCCTCCTGGGATCAAGCAATTATGCGTCAGCCTCCTGAGTAGCTGGCACCACAGGCGTGCATCACCATGCTTAGCTAATTTTTTTTTTTTTTTTGTATTTTTTTGGTAGAGATGTGGTTTCACTATGTTGGCCAGGCTGGTTTCAAACTCCTGACCTCAAGTGATCTGCCTGTCTTGGCCTCCCAAAGTGTTGGGACTGTGCCTGGCCGCTACTTTCAAATTTATCTTTCTAACCAGAAATGATGGTAAGCACATGATGAAAGCAGCTCTTGGACGTATTCATATTTCTTTTCATTCCCCAGTTTCTTAAGTTTGGGTGTAGATGAGATAGCATATAGGTAGTTGTTGATACGTAAACCTAGTGGAAAAGCTGCATTAACTGAAAGTTGTCATTTTGTAATAGGTAAACCTAGTGGAAAAGCTGCATTAACTGAAAATTGTCATTTTGTAATAGGTAAACCTAGTGGAAAAGCTGCAGTAATTGAAAGTTGTCATTTTGTAATAGGTAAACCTAGTGGAAAAGCTGCATTAACTGAAAGTTGTCATTTTGTAATAGGTAAACCTAGTGGAAAAGCTGCATTAATTGAAAGTTGTCATTTTATTAGGACACTAAATGTTACTACACACTTATTAACCCCAGTGTCTTAGGTAACACTGTTCAATTCAAATTTTTTTTTATTTGGCTACCATTCCTCACTACCATAAAGAGAATTAGTTTTGAATTGATTCATTCAGAAAGGTGTTAAATACTTTCTAAGGAACTTAAAAGTCTAATTCAGTTTGCCTGATAATTTGCTTTATTTGAGAGTACTGATAAATTCTTGAGGATGACTTTAACACCATGAAAATGCCAAGTAATTTTCATTTTCCTCCCTGCAGTGGTGTTCGTCCATTTGGAGTTTCTTTACTTATTTGTGGTTGGAATGAGGGACGACCATATTTATTTCAGTCAGATCCATCTGTAAGTATCATTTAATGTATTTGAGGGATTTGTTAAAAGTGCTCTTTGAATATCTAACAGAAATAGAAGCCATAAAAACTTTACAATTTAGCAGTATTTTCTTCTTTTCTCTTGGGCTTTAGAAAGTATGAGGTTGTGCATTTTTGTGTGTATATTTAAAATTTTGGTAATTTGGTCTTCTGATAAGGAAGCTGTATTAGTTCTACCCTCTTTTGCCATGTTCATTAACTTCATACACTTGGGTGATTTGTTGAAATAGTTATCAAATGTATTTAAACCTGTTACTTCGGGAAATACTGCAATTGAAGATGTGGATCTGGAGGACAGTGTTGTAGTGTTTGCCATCAGTTGAATCTTGGGGCTGACTTGAGTGAGTTTTCCAGCAAAAACATTAATTTATCTTGAATTCAGTGTTTTGCAAAAATGATTGTGTAATTGGTACCTTGGGTAAGTTGTCTGCTCTAATGCAGAAGAATGGTATCTGAATAGAAGGTGTTTGTAATGGATAATACTACTCCACATCTGTCCCATTTGCTATGAGAACCTTAAGACAAAATTCAAGATTAGGAAATGATCTTTCATGTTTTATGGATTATTAGATAATTACAGGTTCACTCAATGCAAACCTTATAATCTACTTTTATAACCTGAGATGGCAAAAGAAAAATATTTTGGTTGTTAATTAAATCAGAAAAATAAGTATTTTGGGAACTTTGATAGTGTTGTTACTCCATCTCTGAGCTTCCAAAGCTAAATGACAGGCCCTCTTATCTTCCTTTCCAGAAGGTAGCAGAAGCCACCATTTCTGGAATCCTGATTTTATCTTTTGTCCTATTTTCCTCTGTTGTGTCTAAAAAACAATTGTTTTCATTTAAAACATATTGGATTATGTTTCTTTTGGTATTTTTTTCTAATGAGATGCTCTCTTTTTAATTCACTAATGATCAAGAGTTGATCACCATTTTTCAGATTTATATGATAGATTTTTAAATCGCTTCAGTCTATTAAACTAAAATACTACTCTTGATTATTTGCTTTAAGTTAACCTCAATTTCTTTTAACTGGATTTTTTACATAATTTTACACTTAATTGCATCATCACCAGCTCATCAGTTTGATGAGTTCTGATATATGTAAATGCCTGAAGAAACCATTACTACAATGAGGATATCAAAAATTTCCAGAACCTCCAAAAGTTTCTTCATGCCTTTTTGGTTTCCATCCTTCTAGCCTTCTTAAAAAATAACCTATTCTGTGACGTTTTCCATTCTAATAATATTCTGTGACCTTCGAAGTTAGAGAACAATTAATAAAGCTAAAAATTAAATGGCAGGGCAATATAATTGTATTTGTGTTTTAAAATATGGTTTTTTACTCTTTCTTTCCTGATTAGGGAGCTTACTTTGCCTGGAAAGCTACAGCAATGGGAAAGAACTATGTGAATGGGAAGACTTTCCTTGAGAAAAGGTAGGCCTACTCATTGTAACTGCATTCTTTAGCAAACTCACTTTATGGTTTTTGGTGCTCTTTAAGTAAATTAATATCATGGGACTAAAGAAACTTGCTATATTACTCTGTATATGAATCTAGTTACAGATAAACCAAAAACTTCTCTCCCTTCTAGTTTCCTAGACTTCAGTATATTAAGTGGTAATTAATATTCATTTCCTAAGGAGTTCTCTTTCTACATTCTATGGTTTCCTAAATGCTTTTGGTTTTTTTACTTTTTACTTCACTTTTTGTGCCATTTCAGGAGGGAAAAAAAAGAACATTGAATCTGGAATAAAACATTTGGGGAGACAAATTTTTAAATGATTTAATGATAACAGTTTACGACAGTAAAAAAAATTGTGAAACCAAATGCCTGGAGTTGAAGGTATATTAAATATTTGATACATGTGCTTGATAAAAAGTGGAGCACTATGTAAAAATCTGTCGGTGCCCAAGTACAAGCTGCTCTTACTTATTTCCAGCTGTATTCTAGTCTCAGTGTTACTGTAGTCCTTCGGGACTCTCCAAGCTTTTGAAGAAGAAAATGTTTTATTTCTTGATATGTAATAGTTGCACATATTTTTGCAGTACATGTGATATTTTGATACCTGTATACAGTGTCAAATCAGGGTAATTGGATATCCATTACCTCAAACATCTGTCTTTTCTTTGTGTTGGGAACATAGCAGATCTTCTAGCTGTTCTGAAATATACAGTAAATTGTTAACGATAATTTCCTGACTGTACTACTGGACACCAGAACTTATTCCTCCTGTCTGACCGTATTTTTAGACCCCTTAACCAACTTCCTTCAGTTCTTCTTCCCTTCTCCCTTCCCAGCCTCTGGTAACCACTGTGCTACTCTCTCCCTCCATGAGATCCACTTTTTTAGCTCCCACATATGAGTGACAACATGCAATATTTATCTTTCTGTGCCTGGCTTATTTTGCTTAACGTAATGACCTCGAGTTCCATCCATGTTGCTGCAAATGACAGGATTTCATTTTTTTATGGCTGAATAATAATAAAAAACTTCGTAACTCCGTTTAACAGATGAGCCTTCACAGTACATTTTTCACGTAACGTTAAGGTTATTAAAAATCTTAGGCCTGGATTTAAATGGTAAACTTAATCTTAGGCTCTTAAAGCACTTTTTCATTTTTCTTTTATATATTAATGAGTCTTCCAAAGATTTCACATTGTTATTACATGATATGTTATGATTTGTTTTATTTTTTGTTTCAGAGGCATTTTATTTAGACAACTAAAAATAATTAGATGTTCAGAACCAGTGTACAATGAAAGAAATTAAACCAGTTACTTTATCATGTATTCCCTCTTTACAACCAAAGCAAAAAACAATAGCAACAAAGACATTCTGCTTTAAGGGAAAAGTCAGACAAATAAGCCAATATATTTTTCTTCTCCATAATGACATAAACAGCTGCAAGAACTCTTAATTGTAATAAGAGAAGTTGGATGTTATCTTGTACATATTCATTAAAAAGATGACAGGCCATTGTACTACAAGAGGATAACTCAACCTCCCTTCATCTGATACTCTTGAGATTTCACTTATGGGTAACACCATGTTAGTTGTTTCAGCAATGGAGCTAATTCATATTCCTCATTATTTATTGCTGTTTTTGCCTTAAGCAGAGAGTAACTCTGGAAGGCTGATGCTTTTCTCTGCTTGCTCGTTCTAGTCCAGTTGTATGCTGTCTGTGGCACATGCTTGATGTTCAGGCCTTAACTTGAGGAGTTGAAGAATAGATGGAATCTGAATTCTCTGAAGCAATTTCTTCTAGCTCTTCTCTTGTCTTTGGAAAACCAATCTTTGGCTTTGCCAGCTCACCAGTATCTTCTTCAGGAAGCACACATTTCCAAAGGCCATATGTTTTTCCTACCACAGTTTGCCAGTCTCAGTGTTCCATCTTCAGAACCACTGGCATAGAGTTCTCCATCAGGATCAAATCTCACACAGTGAATAGGACCAGAGTGTCCTTTGTAGGATTCTAATTCTTCTCCACTATTATCATCATACTTATAAGTTTAACATCTTCACCACCTGCAACAAGAAATTCTTTCTCAAGGTGAAGAGATTCAGAGTTAATGTTTGCAGGAGCTTGAAAGGATTTAATTGGTTCCAAACTTACTGTACTGTCAAAAGCACTGGATCAGCCATAAGTTATTACCAAAATCTCTCCCTCAGAAATATATTCCATACTACTAGCCAACATAATAAAATTTAGAGATTTCACTTCTGTCATAGTAGCATGATCCCAAAGTCTTAACAGTTTTGTCATCAGAAGAAAGAATCTGTTTATCCTCACTGTACCATAGGGCCTTTTTAATATCAGAGCTGTGATCACTAATTTCCTCAGGTTCTGCTTCGGGTTTGTTCAAGTCATATATGCAAAACAGTTTATTCTGTCCCCTGGTTAACAAATAATTACTATCCTGCATGAAATCCATAGTCTTGATAATGTGTTTATGAGCCAGGGTCATCAGTTCATCTCCTGGGATAGCATCCCACACTTTGTGAAATCTGCAGCTGCTGTGGCTGCTTTGGTGGCATCCTTATTCAGTGTTGCATTCCAGACAGCATCTTTATGACCCAAAATTGTTCCAATCCAGTCTCCTGTATCTCCCTGGCATAGCATAGGTTTGCCGTCTTTGCAAGCACTGATTTAGAAATACTCATAAGACTGGCCAGGCGCAGTGGCTCACGCCTGTAATCCCAGCACTTTGGGAGGCCAAGGCAGGCGGATCACCTGAGGTCAGAAGTTCGAGACCAGCTGGGCCAACATGGTGAAACCCCGTCTCTACTAAAAATACAAAAATTAGCCAGGAGTGATAGCGCGCGCCTGTAATCCCAGCTACTCGGGAGGCTGAGGCAGGAGAATCACTTGAACCTGGGAGGCGGAGTTTGCAGTGAGCCAAGATTGCACCACTGCACTCCAGCCTGGGCGACAGAGCAAGATTCTGTCTTGAGGGAAAAAAAAGCCCCTAAGGCATGATGCCACTGAAGGCCAAGTCAGCCACGGGCCATATGTGGCCAGAACAGGTGAGCAGCATCAGTCTCATTGCTATGGAGGTGGTGAACCCAGTGATTGGGCTGGTGGGCTGAGGGTCATCCTTGTCTTTTCTCCTCTGGTACAGCGCCCGGGGTTCCTCCAGGCTTCACCCTAACACGGGCTGAGCAGAGAAAAAGGAAAAGGTGGCACCGAGATTAGGAAGGAGCTAGGGAGGGGCTGGGGAGTCTGGGAAGGGTGAGCAACAGTTGACAATGGAGGGAGGAAAGTAGGGGATGGGGAGAACCGAAGAAACGACCCAGCCACTCTTCGCACCGTCCACACTGGTATCGGCAGGAAGTGACATGTTATGTTTTAACTTATAAGAAAAAGATTTTAGCAAAGTTCTGATTTTTCTGTGTTTTAAAAATTATAATAATGCCACCACATCCTGATTGTTAAAATATTTATACTTAAGAAGTTTCCTGGCTGGGTGTGTTGGCTCGTGCCTGTAATCCCAGCACTTTGGTAGGTCAAGGCAGGCGGATCACGAGGTCAGGAGATCGAGACCATCCTGGCTGACACAGTGAAACCCATCTCTACTAAAAATACAAAGAAATTAGCTGGGCGTAGTGGGCGCCTGTAGTCCCAGCTACTTGGGAGGCTGAGGCAGGAGAATGGCATGAGCCCGGGAGGTGGAGCTTGCAGTAAGCCAAGATAACTGTGTCTCAAAAAAAAAAAAAAAAGTTTCCTAAACTAAACTCATTTTAGGGTCATACCGTTCATGATGTTGGGAATTGAGCACCAGATATTGTCAGTTTTTTTAATCTGGAGACAGCTACAAGGAGGTGATTAAAAGAATGTGTAATTTAGTATTTTTAAGATGTTTAGAGTTTTAAAAACTTACGTTGTTGCTGTCATTGTATTTAAATAGTTATAAAGAATATAAACAATGATATAAGTAATTTTTTTTAAATTCTTCAGATATAATGAAGATCTGGAACTTGAAGATGCCATTCATACAGCCATCTTAACCCTAAAGGTTAGCTCAGTATTCAACAACTGGATTTATAATGATTTCATGATTAACTGCTTAGAAAATTGACCTTTTTTCCTCCCTCCTCAATAGGAAAGCTTTGAAGGGCAAATGACAGAGGATAACATAGAAGTTGGAATCTGCAATGAAGCTGGATTTAGGAGGCTTACTCCAACTGAAGTTAAGGATTACTTGGCTGCCATAGCATAACAATGAAGTGACTGAAAAATCCAGAATTTCAGATAATCTATCTACTTAAACATGTTTAAAGTATGTTTTGTTTTGCAGACTTTTTGCATACTTATTTCTACATGGTTTAAATCGACTGTTTTTAAAATGACACTTATAAATCCTAATAAACTGTTAAACCCACCTTCCAGCCTTTTAGGAGTTGCTAAAATTTTAACAGTTATTTCCTGCTTTTTATCACAGTTGATTTCTGAAGACTACATTGCCAAGCAGAATGATGAAATGACTTTTTCGTTGTCAGGCAATTTTGGTTAAGTCAAATCTTAATGCCCTCTTCGCTATCAGATGTTGCCTGTGTTTCCATAAAGCAAAATGCTGATTTTGGTAAAAAACATGACTGCTTCTAGAGCTGGGAGGATCTGCAGACTTTCACGGATTCATGGAACAAGAAAAGAAGCATAGGTACTTTTAGGTGCCATTAGGTATTGATCAGTGAAATCCTAGGGTGCTCTATGAGATTGTACTAGGCCTATGAAGAGTGGTAAGCCAAATAGGTCTCCATGGGAGATACATTATGTAAATAAATAAACAATGGTTTGCTGGTTCCTGTTGGTGTCTCCACAAGTAGGTAAACATGTTTAAAGGAACCCGGGTTCTTAGATTTTGTTAGACTTTTTAAACTCAAGGATGAGCATAAGTGCTTGAAATAAAATGCTAATACTTAAGTGTCAAAACTATGGCTTAAGGCTCTTGTTAATTCATTAATGTAATCTCAGTATAATAAATAGCTTCACTATAATGAAAGTTATAATTAAGTATCTGCACTCATATGAAGGCAGTGCTTAGGTTTTTTTTTTTAAATTTTTTTTAAGGCAACTTAGGATAAAATCATTAATTTGGTTTACAGAACATAAGGAGAGTTTATAAGCATAATCATTCTTACCAACGTGAAAGTATAGTGGGCAATTCCATGATTTAAATGGAGCTCAGAAGATTCTAAGATTTAGTTAAGGGCAAAAGAACCTTATTTTGGAGATTTTTCTCAGGGTCCCCAGTTCTGTTCCCTACCATCACTATAACACCCATATCTTGTTTTAGGTGGCAAAAGCATTAAGGAGATGAAAGATGGTAACTTTGGCTTCCTGTTTCAAGATGTTTATCTTGGCCTTGTCTAATAATCTCTCTTATGGGCTCTTGATATATTTTGACTTTGGCACACTAGAAAGCGGACATAGTAGCAAAAAGGTCTTTGAAGTCAAGTCTCAGCTATCTCACTTACTGGCTGAGTGACTATGTGAGGTAATTATCTCAGGGTTGGTTGGTTGGTTTGTTTTTTGAGACAATCTCTCTGTCACCCAGGGGGAGTGCAGTGGCGTGATCTTGGCTCACTGCAACCTCATCCTCCCAGGCTCAGGTGATCAATCCTTTTACCTCAGCCTCCCGAGTGGCTGGGACTACAGGCGCGTACCACCATGTTTGGTTTATTTTTGTATTTTTAGTAGAGACGGGGTTTCACCATGTTGCCCAGACTGGTCTCCAACTCCTCAGCTCAAGCGGTTCACCCGCCTTGGCCTCCCAAAGTGCTGAGATTATAGGCATGAGCCGCTCTGCCCGGCCATATCTCAGGGTTTCCTAAGGACTAAATTTGATAACACAAGTTAAAGCCTGGTGTGGTTAATAGTTACTCTGTTAACTGCCGTTGATTTTGTTTAGTCCTTCTATAATGTCCAGTATCAAAAGAGCAAAGCAATGTCAAAATTCTACAAATCAAAGAAGGGAAAATTAAAGGCATGTTAATATTTCAGAGGTAAGGAAAACTCATGTAGGTTTTTATTGTGTGCTAACAAAATTAGGCCTAAAGAATAAAGGGAGGAAAAATCAGCTGAACCAGATTTGATCCAGGTTCTGTTTTCCACCTCCTGCCCCCATTAAATGCAAAGCCCAGTTCCAGTTCAAGCTGCCTACAACACTTCTCCCTTTGTTCTGTTTATTCTTTCCACGGGCCTTAAAATTAAGTTGTTCCTTTTTGTCCCAGTTCTTAGAGTTCTTTGATGTAGCAACCCACTGCATTCCTAAACATTCCAAAACTCTTGAACCATTTCCAGCCTGTGGATTTTAGCTTAAGTATCATAATGTTTCTAATGTTCAGAGCCTCTGCCTTTTGGTTCATTTTGTATCTTCTAACCCTTAAAACATTTTAACTCCATTTGTTCTACTTCCTCCCAGTTCTACTGAACCATGAATTTAAATTTGCAAAGCAATTAATAGCAGTGAAACATGGAGATGCTTAAAATTCACATACACAGGCAATAAAGAATACTAATACAGAGCCTTATAATTATCAAGTGCTGATAACACTCAAGCATCCCTGAAGGAAAAAAAAAAAAACCCAACCTTGAGATAATTACCTTGCACAGTCTCTCAGGCATCAAGTAGGTGATAAGTGAACATTGAAGGGTTTTCATCTATTGCTCAGTTTTCTTCATAGAATGAAACTGCCAACTCTTAGTACTTACCTCACCTTTTTTTCAGGAGTCTACTCACCCATGTAGGCAAGCTCTCTGAGCCCCCCATTGCAAAGAAGAGCAAGTTGATGTTCAGCGAATTGCCCAAGAACATATAGGAGTTGAGAGTTCCCTTGGATTAGAATCCTGATTTCCTGAAAACCAGTCCTGGTGGTTCTGTATGAAAGTCACATTGCTTCACACAGTTCCTTCAATTTAGAGCTCCTCCCTCCACCCTGTTCTCAAGAAACTTATGAAACTAGCAATATCTGGCTGCCAATTATCTGATAACTTCCTAAGCATGAGCATATTTAAAAAGTTAAGTAAAATGTGAGTGCTACTCCCTGAAAGCCATCACTTTTGACTTTTTTAGGTGTTTCATGAGGTACTTGCCTCCGTATTTCAAAATAGTAGGATTATATGCCTTTTTCTTGGATTCCCGGAGTTGAGCTGCCAGACTTCCCATTGTGCAAGATGAGAATTTAGAATCCTCATATCACACTGACTTCCTTCTCCCTACCTCAATTAAATCATGTTGAAGATTTTTCTTATGACTAAGTGTACTACAATTTACATTTCCGGAACAACTTTCCTGGCAGTGATAACCGCTTTTTTTTCTTTTTTTTTTTTTTTTGAGACAGTCTCACTCTGTCACCCAGGCTGGAGTGAGGTGGCACAAATCAGTTCACTGTAGCCTTGACGTGGGGTCAAACGATCCTCCCACCCCAGCCATTGCAGTAGGTGTGAATACAGATGTCAGCCACCATGGCCAGCTAGTTTTTTTACTTTTTGTGGAGACAGGGATCTCACTACATTGTCCAGGCTGGATTTGAACTCCTGTGCTCAAGTGATTCTCCCGCCCTGGACTCACAAAGTGTTGGGATTACAAATAAGCCATGGCGGCGCCCAGCCCACTTGGTTACTTTGTTTTCTGCGTAGCTGTCACCAATCCTTGCCAGATTCCCCCAACAGAAATTTAACACCCTCTGCTTAATATTTTCCTCATCAGTCAGATATCAGGCACTCTGTATCAGTTCTCTTCCCCACACCTCAGAGAAGTTTCTCTTAGAACCCTCTGTCTTCCTGTTCCAATCCAGGCTAGGTGCTTGTTTGAAACTATCTTTATTCTCCTTGCTTTCTCTCTGAATTGGCTGGGTTTAAAAACTCTAAGAAATAAATTATCTCCACATTTTGAAAGCATTACTCCCTTCTAAATTCCAGTGTTGCTGATAGGAAGCCTAATACTATTGCGTATGTGATGCCAAGTCCTTTGTAAGTTTTCCCCTCTGCAGCTCTTGGTTTTTCTCTTATCTGCTGTGTTCTGAAACTTCACAACCATGTTCCTTTGTGTGGGTTTCTTAATAGTCATTGTGGTGAGCACTCAGTGGGCCCTTGCACTGTGAAAAACGTTTCTGTTTGCTAAATTTTCTATTAAGTTTTTGAAAAATTTTCTCTTCATTTTGTTTTTGTTTCTAAACTCCTGTTAATTGGATACTGGATCCTTTTGTTTTTGCTCCATTTTTCATCTATTTCTACTTTCTAAATTTTTCCAACTCATTGATGTTTTGAAATTTGGGATATGATTTTTACTACAGAAGAACCATTTCCTGTGCTCTGCTGTCTCCTTAAAAAAAGAAATCCTCTTGTTTCATAGCTGAAATATCTTTTATTTGAAGATGCTAGTTATAGAATACTTTTTGAGACCATTTTGTTCTGTTTTCCATTTCCTTCAAATAACAAAAACGTTGGGAAATGCTGTGTTCGTGAGGCTCACACTAGGGGATGCTGAATGTTGGTATTGCCGAGCCATTTCTCTAGGGTCTTTTGTCTACTCATTTCTTCAGAGAAAAATAGGGTTATGGGGAGATAGTGGTAGGGAGCGGTAGAGGGGTGCCTGCATTATGGGAGGGGCAGAGAAGGGGGCTGCTAGCATTGCACTATTCAGTAGGAAAACATCATGGCACCTCTCATCCTTTGTTAGGCTTTGTGTCTGGAATCCCTCTGATGCCCTGTCTTTAGCATCTTAAACTAGTCTTCTGCCTGAACAATTTACTGCCCTCCCTTCTACCTTCAAGGCACCTGAAGCTTTCTGGGGTTCTGCTTTGTGAATCAGTGGCTAAATATCCCCTTCTACAAGCAGTTTGCTCAGTTCTCCTGACACCATCTGCAAAGAGGGTGCTTGGGTTCAGGTAACCTCCCTATGGCTCACTTATCTGTAAAGCATACTTAATATCTCTACCTTTTAGGTTGTTTAAAGGAGTGAACAATGTGTAAAACACTTAGAACAATGTCTGTCACGCTGTAAGGACTGAATAAGTTATTGCTCTTGTCCTCCAAAAATGTGTTGGTATAACCGGTCTGCAGTCATCTCTTCTCTTGTTCTTTTTGCCTTTGTTTGTTCCCTTTGTCATTGCTTTACTGTTATTTGGAGAAGGAGCATTGCTTTACTGTTAAGTTTGGAGAAGGAGCAGGATACACAGGATTAATTATAACTGGAAGTCCTCTTTAATATTTTAAATTAGCTTTACTTTCTTACAGCCCTAATCTTTCTGGGTGACTCTGGACACTCTACTACAGTAATATGAATATGGCAGCCCCTCGGAAGCCATGCAATCATTTCTTCTCTTCAGAAGGACAGCACACTTTCTTTGGAGGGCCCAGGACAATGCAGTGGAAAGTGCTTTGGCTTGGAGGCAGAAGTCCCAGAGGCAGTACTTCTCAGCTGTCACCTCTGACAAGCTTCTCCAGCGTTTCTTCTGTTAAAATGAGCCCCCAAAATGCCTACGACCCGGTTGCGATCGAGTGGCCGACGCCCCCAGTGGGAGTGAGGCCCAGCACGCGAGCTCGGTCCCTCTTCCTGGAGCCAGGTGGGTGCGCGCCTTCAGGCTCACCCGGCGGCGCAAGCGGGAGAAGCCAGGTGCCCTCAATAAACATGGCCGCCACGCCAGCGTCAACCCGGCTCGGGAGGCCGCGCTGCCGCTTGGGAATCGCAGGTTTGGCGTCACCCGGCCCGGAACCACGTGATGCAGGAGGTGCCCGAGGCGGCGGGGCTCGCGCGGGTGGAGCCGCCTCGGCGTTCGAGCGGGGTGGGGGCTGCCCGGTTGAGATTTCCCGGCGGGTCCCGGCCTCTGCGTGCACGCGCCTGCGTGCTCGCGCTCGCGGTTCTGGCGCTGCCGGTGAGGAGCCGGGGAGCGAGGCGGGGAGGCTGGGAGCGGGGCGCCTCTTCTGAGGCCAGAGGGGGCTGGGCAGGGCCGGCCCGGCGGGAAGGGGGTCGGCCGCGCGCTATCAGCGCCTGGTCCCTGAGCCGCGGCGCTGGCGGTGGGGGCTTTTCGGCCCCGGCCCCTCCTGGCAGGGCCCGGCTGTGCAGGTGGCCGGGCAGGGCCGAGGGCCCCGCAGCCCACCGAGAAGGCCCCGCCGGCCTCTGGCCCGCCCACCCGGCGACCTGCGCTGGGGCCGCTTGCACGGCCGCCGCGGGTTGCAGCCTTGGAGTTTAGTTTCATCTTCGGATTTTCCTTCAGAGTCGGAGTGGGAGTGGGACGCAAGTTGGTGGTCTTCTTCGGTCTTTTAAAATAGTCTGGGTTGACGTCAAATGCAGAAATGAGGCAGTGTTGATTTTTTTTGGCGTAAGTACCCCAAGCCTCGGGGGAAATCATGAGGCAGCCGGTTGAAGGAGACCAACTCGGGAAGGAGGAAAAGGTTAGGGAGGCTGAAGTGCTCAGTTTAGGACAGACACTTGCTTTGGACAGTTTGCTAACTAGCCAGTCTGTGTGTATTTTTGTTTTCGGCATTTTTGTCGCCTTTATTAAAATTTCTCAGCAGTTAAACAGGCCGCTGATAGACATAAGGGAATTATTTATATAGCAGATTGCCCAACTCTTGCATTGTATCCTAACCTAGGACCATGCTGTGTCCCCATGGCTTTCAAGCTGAAGAAATGAAGGTCTAAAGTGTGTCAGACGTACCTAAAGAAGAGTTCAAAAGTGTAGCTGCCATCCTTTCCTTAGCTATCAGAGGAAGCAGTCACTCCAGAATGAGACATACACAAGCCCGGGTTCATAGACTCACCCTCCATAAGCTGTGTTGCTAGATTGAAGTTTTTAATCACCAGTGAAGAATTGATTGTCATAATTTTAGGAGACTACTGAAGTTTGCCTTGTTTCTTTCCCTAGGAAAGGAATAATGCTGACAGCATGTCTGCACATTCCATGCTCTGTGAACGAATCGCCATAGCCAAGGAACTGATCAAGAGAGCAGAATCACTTTCTAGATCAAGAAAAGGTGGCATAGAAGGTGGTGCAAAGCTGTGCAGCAAATTGAAGGCAGAATTAAAATTCTTGCAGAAAGTAGAAGCTGGGAAAGTAGCTATTAAAGAGTCTCATTTACAGAGCACTAACCTAACACACCTGAGAGCCATTGTGGAATCAGCAGAAAACCTGGAAGAAGTTGTTAGTGTTCTTCATGTCTTTGGTTATACAGATACCTTAGGAGAAAAGCAAACCCTTGTGGTAGATGTAGTTGCAAATGGTGGTCATACTTGGGTGAAAGCCATTGGCCGGAAGGCTGAAGCTCTTCATAACATCTGGCTGGGCAGGGGCCAATATGGTGACAAAAGCATCATTGAGCAGGCTGAAGACTTCCTCCAGGCCAGTCACCAGCAGCCAGTGCAGTATAGCAACCCTCACATCATCTTTGCATTTTACAACAGTGTCTCCAGCCCCATGGCAGAGAAGCTGAAAGAAATGGGCATATCTGTGAGAGGAGACATAGTAGCAGTCAACGCTCTGTTAGATCACCCTGAAGAGCTTCAACCAAGTGAGAGTGAATCAGATGATGAGGGCCCTGAACTTTTGCAGGTGACCAGAGTTGACCGAGAAAATATACTAGCAAGTGTTGCGTTTCCAACAGAAATTAAGGTCGATGTGTGCAAAAGAGTAAATCTGGACATTACTACTTTAATCACATATGTATCTGCCCTCAGCTATGGAGGCTGCCACTTTATTTTCAAAGAGAAAGTGCTCACAGAACAAGCAGAGCAAGAGAGGAAAGAGCAGGTTCTACCTCAGCTGGAGGCCTTTATGAAGGACAAGGAGTTGTTTGCTTGTGAATCTGCTGTCAAGGACTTTCAGTCTATTTTAGATACCTTAGGAGGACCTGGGGAGAGAGAGAGGGCCACTGTGTTAATTAAGCGAATTAATGTGGTACCAGACCAGCCTTCTGAGCGTGCCTTGAGACTAGTGGCCAGTTCAAAAATTAATAGCCGCTCATTAACAATTTTTGGGACGGGAGACACCCTAAAAGCCATCACAATGACTGCTAATAGTGGTTTTGTCAGAGCTGCAAACAACCAGGGTGTTAAATTTAGTGTGTTTATCCATCAGCCCAGAGCACTTACTGAGAGTAAAGAGGCTCTAGCCACCCCCTTACCAAAAGACTACACAACTGACAGTGAACACTAAAGATACCCTTTAAATATTTTTGTGGAAGTAAGTTATTTATACCAAAGGCTGGGTCTTCCCATCTAAACTGGTGGGAAAAAAGGTCTATAGTAAAAGTAAAACTGAGAACTCTTAAACCAGTAGAGTTTCTTTGTCTCTCATCTAAAGTATATAACCTCCCAAAGTAGAAAAAGCACAAGAGAGAAGCTTATCTATCAAACTGTCTGCATTAGTGCAATTAAGAACCGAAATACGTCTATATAAAGCTTTCAGCTGTATTGTAATACTTTGATTCGATAGGGCTACAACTCCCCTACTGCTAACCACATTTCATGGAATATGGCTACATTGCATCTTGCATTAAATATCTGGAGAAAATTCAAGCCTGTTTTTCATTGTATTGCTTTATATGGTTTAGGCTGGGAGGTAGTCGTTGGTAATCAATTTTAGATTCTAAGGTTAACCATTAATGAAAAACTTATTTGCTGTATGTCAGGTGCAGTCTGATAGGTGTTTTTACAAAAAGTACATAATACAGAAGAAATGAGAAAGTGAATTATGGTTATTTGAGTGCCATGAACCCATTGGTAGACCTTTGTGAAAAGAAAGCCAACAATCTTACTACTATAAGATAAAACCAGGACACTTAAGGTAAAATACTAATTTGAATGAATTGAAAAAGGATTATGTAAAAGATTTTAAAAATTCAATACAGAAAGCCCCCATATTATAAGTATTTGAACAATAAATACTATTTTCATGTTTCATTTGCAAGTGGCAAGTGACAACTGCATTACCTTACTTTCATGAGATGGTGACAGAATATTCCATGCCAATTCCATGACACAAGTTGTAGTTAAAAATACACTTCTATGGCTACATTGCGCTAGATACTTTATCAGTTTTCAATAAAGCAAAACTAGCAAAGTCGGTATGTATTCACCACATTTAAAAATTTGGAATTTGAGTCCTGGAGCTTAAATATTAACTCATGCTAAGTGTAGGAGCTGGTATTAAAACTTGATGTTTCTAGCCACAGTCTGATCTCTTTCTACCATGCCAAATGTCGTATTTGTTGAGAAGAGAATCTCAATTTACAGCCACAGTGTTTGTTGGGGTGGAATTTGGTTATTGGCATTCATGAACACCCTGAAATGAATGCAAAATTAAGTGTATGGGGGTGGTTCTCTGGGGAGAGATTGCTTTACTAAGTCAGAATACATTTTCTAGTAGAAAGGCTGTGATTTGCTTCCAGTTTAGTGTAGAGTGGTATATGTCTAGTGTTAGAAATGGAATTTAAGCTTTTTGAGCATCTATTAAGGTCATGTAGTACTTGATACTATTAAGTACCAAGCATTATAATAGTTTGGTGTGAAAAGATGAATGTTTGCTCTAAGGAATTCTTAAGTCTAAAGTGGAAGTAAACAACTGAAGTGCAATTAAATGTACTAAATTCTCTAGGATATGTTGAAAATACTATGGGGACAGAGTAAAGGAGTACTTGTTATGGGGCCAGGAAGTCAGAGAGGAAGTGTTGTTTGAGGGTTTGGGGTGTGAAATTTCACAAGATGTGTGAGAAAGGGTACTCAAAAGTACATGGAGGAATGGGATTGGAAAAGTACCAGAACTGTGACTATGAGGACCTGTTCAGGGACCAGGCTCAAGTGGACAGTTTATAAAACAAGATGGAGCTAGAAAAAAAAGTCAAAGTTCTCTAAAGAGTTTGGCATTAGAGAGCCATTGGTGATTTTTAAGAAAGTGTGGCTTATGATCAGGTCTCTTAAGGAAACCACAAAAATCTGTAGTGTGGATAAAAATTGAAAGAAAGTTTGGACTATAATGACCTTAGCTAGAGCAGGAATGATGGACTGTAGAGTCATGGATACATGTTGGATTTGTTTGAGGCAGAATTGACATATTAATGTACTCATTCGTTTAATAAGCATTGAGTGACAGCCATGTGTCAGACACAGTACAAAGGGCATGGCATATAAAAGACTTGTTTTAAAGGAGCAGAAAGAAGGTAGATTTCTATCCCTGCTCCCTATGAATCAATCAATACCTAAGAACTTGGGATCTTTGCCAACTAGAAAGTGGACAGGCCACAGCACTCTTTAGGAAACTGCTTTGTGAAGTGACCACAGCTGTGCCCTGCCAAAGACCATGATGTTTTTTCAAGCATTCCAGTGATTGCAACTCCTAACAATGTAATAAATAATGCAAGCAGTACATATGCTCAAGTAGTAGGGCACTGGATCCTGGAATGTAAGAAATAGCACCTTCCCTAGAGACCACACACATGATCTACACTGTCAAGGTCTATTCCAGCTGGCCAAAACATTCCTTTCATAAAGGTAAAATATTAGACAATAAAGGCCGGATGTGGTGGTTCACACCTGTAATCCCAAAACTTTGGGAGGCTGAGGGGCAGATCACCTGAGGTCAGGAGTTCAATACCAGCCTGGCTGGCATGGTGAAACCCTGTCTGTACTAAAAATACAAAAATTAGCCAGGCATGTTGGTGGGTATCTGTAACCCCAGCTACTCAGGAGGCCGAGGCAGGAGAATCACTTGAACCTGGGAGGTGGAGGTTGCAGTGAGCCGAGATCACGTCATTGCACTTCAGCCTGGGTAACAAGAGCGAGGCTACATCTCAAAAAAAAAAAGAGACAATAAAAACAATGAGGGAAGTTATAAAAGGAATGTTCAATTAAATATCAGTTAACTGGTAAGTCAAAGGAATCACAGAGCTATAGCTATAAAGCAAACAAATGTCCAAATAGTTCTAAAGTGTGAAGATACGTAATAAACTGTCGTTATGCCTGGGAATTGGAAGTGGTTGAGGAAAGTAAAAGCATGCTAAAAATCCTCATCTTACTTAGAGTCAACAGACACTTTGAAATTTTGCTATTGAAAAATAGAGCTATTTAGTTTTGAGTGTCAAACAGGAAATATAACTGATAGTATAAATTAAACCAAGCTGAATAGCTGAATAAATTCCAAACAAAAGGTGAGGATGGAGAATAAATGTAGTCCATATAGAAAAAGACAGGTCAGGCTGGGCGCTGTGGCTTACACCTGTAATCCCAGCACTTTGGGAGGCTGAGGCAGGGTGGATCCCTTGAGCCCAGGACTTCAAGACCAGCCTGGGCAACATGGCAAAACCCCGCTCTACAAAAAATACAAAAATTAGCCAGGCATGGTAGTGCACTCCTGCAGTCCCAGGTACCAGGGAGGCTGAGGCAGGAGGCTCACCTGAGCCTGGGAGGTCAAGGCTGCAGTGAGTTTTGGTTGTACCACTGTACTCCAGCCTGGGCAACAGAGTGAGACCCTGTCTCAAAAAGAAAAAGATAAAAGAATTGTGAATGAGGCATAAAAAGCAGAAAGCATAAAATAAGAGTGCTAGCTGCAAGCACAGGAAGGATATAAAACAGCTTTGGAGGGAGATATATAGATAATTGTGATATACTGGGAAATCTCATTGGAACAGATGACTGTTTCAGGAAATGTAAATTAGAATTGAAAAATAGCCTAAATAAGCAATAACCATTTAAAAAATTGTTAAAGAAGTTAAGTAATTTCTCCAAAATATGTGCAGATGCAGTTAACTTTATTAGACAAGTTTTTTCCTACTTTTAAATACCGAATAATCCCCGTGCTCTAAAAGGTAATATGGAGCATAACCCCGTAAGTGGGGTTGAAATGTAACATGGTAAGATGTGTTGTTCCTCTTACTCCCTGTCCTCTGCCCCAAGAGGAGAACTTTGGCCTGCTCTCCTGTTTGAGAACAGGGCCTGGGTATGGGACTGAAGCCCATGGGGTGTTTCTTGACTCATGTAATAACAGGCTGACTGTCTCAGGTCATCCTTGTATTGGAAATGTTTTCAGACTCATTTTACAGAACATGAGTATAACTCTGATACTGAAACCTGACAAGATTGCATAAAAAAGAAGCTGGAACAAAATTTCAGTTTAAAAAGATACATAAACATCCCAGACAAAATGGCACTGCAGACAAAATGGATTCAGGCAGAGAACATTTCACGCTGTGGGAATCTTTTTGTTGTTGTTGTTTTGTTTTTTGAGATGGAGTTTCACTCTTGTTGCCCTGGCTGGAGTGCAGTGGCACAATCTTGGCTCACTGCATCTTCCACCTCATGGGTTCAATTGATTCTCCTGCCTCAGCCTCCTGAGTAGCTGTGATTACAGGCATGCACCACCACGGCCAGCTAATTTTGTATTTTTAGTAGAGACGGGAGTTCGCCATGTTGGCCAGGCTGCTCTTGAACTCCTGACTTCAGGTGATCCACCCACCTCGGCCTCCCAAAGTGCTGGGATTACAGGTGTGAGTCACTGTGCCCGGGAATCTTGTTCCCAAGAGGAAGAAAGGCAAGGATGAGTTCCCAACCGTTATAGTAGGGATGTGGGGATTAACCTTCATGCTGGGATAGAATCAGAGGCATGAGGCCTGCTTGAGGTAAAGAGGTAACCCCAAGACCCCCACTGAGTGAACCAGAACCTTAAGGCTGTAATGCCCATGAAAGAGGATCTTGTAAACTTTGCCCAGGGACACAGCAAGGGTTTGACTCCAGTGGTTCTGGGGGCGGGTGTGGGGTGTGGGGTGGGGGTGGTGGGGCGGGGGGAAGAACTCTGAAAGAAATCAAAGCCCAGACTGTGTCCCACATAGAGTTCAAGTCATTTAACAGCATCATGGGGGAAACCCAGAGATGTGAAATTAGTATAAAAATTGGCCGCTGGCAAGTGCTATCTCTCAGACACCTGAGAACAACATACGCAACCTCATTCTGGACTTAGGGACATTTTAGTTTCCCGGCTACGTAGATGTCTATAGAAAAACTGAGCTTTGATTGGATGCGCTTACAGTGAGAAATAGTCAAAACGTAGAAGGAAACCTTCCACCACCAGCAAATCAGCAACACATAAAGAGGAGCATTAGTTCTTCAAGAACTTAAGATTATAACAAAATACATTAAAATAAAATATATGATATTATAGAATATATATGTAAAAATATATAATAGCAAAATATAAAAGAAAGTAAGTTTGGGATCTTCTAAGTGTTCCCTATCCTCTGAAAAAAAAACAAAAAACAAAAAGAAGTAGTAATTCAAAGTAGCAGAGGGAGGCTGCAACCAAACATTGCACACACAGCTCAGGTGGAGGATGTGGTGTATATGCGCAGCAAGTATGTTTCCTAATACTGAAGCCCAGAATTAGGCAGACATTAACCACTTGATTGCAGGTAATTCTGGGGCATGTGACAGGGAGAGCTTGTCCCAAAAGGGCTGCAGAGAACACCTCACCCTGTGGCAAACTTATTCACAAAAGGAAAAAGCGCAGAGATGAGCCAAGCCAAGCCTCCAGGCATTCGTCTGAAACTTGCAATCAAATACATTTCTCTATATTCCCAGGAGAGAAGGGCCAGGCATATGCTGGGGGATATAACGCCTCCACTTCCCTGCCATCATGCAAGTAAGAATGGGGAAAAAAGGCATTTCCCTCTTCACCTAAATAACAAATGATTAAAGGGGATAAAAAAAAAGGCATAGAAACTATAAGGGGCCAGGTGTGGTGGCTCACGCCTGTAATCCCAGCACTTTGGGAGGCCAAGGTGGGCAGATCACCTGAGGTCCCGAGTTCAAGACCAGCCTGGCTAACATGGTGAAACCCCGTCTACTAAAAATACAAAAATTAGCTGGGCATGGTGGCGTGCATCTGTCATCCCAGCTACTAGGGACACTAAGGCAGGAGAATTGCTTGAACGTGGGAGGTGGAGGTGACAGCTGAGATCATGCCATGGCACTCCAGCCTGGGCAACAGAGCAAGACTGTCTCAAAAAAAAAAGAAGAAGAAGAAAAGAAAAAAAAGGAAAGAGTACAAGCAAATAAAACTTCAGGAAATAGAAAAACTCACTAAAATTACAATCTCAGAAATAAAGTTTAAAATAGTAGGTGAGATAAACTAAAAGAATTCTGAAATGAATAGAATTTCCCAGGATTCAACAAATAAATTAAATGATGAAAAATATAAACAAGATGCTGAGACATGGAGAAAAAATGAGTCCACTCCATCAAAGGTTCTGGCAGACAACATGGACTGAGCACAAAGTCGGGTTCCCATCCTCACCGCCTTTGCCTGCCTGTGCCATAGAGACTGGAGACTAAAAGCCTCATGCTCCCAGTGTTGCATTTAGCTGGGGGCGGCCAGATTCCTTGCCTCTGAGACACGAGTGGAAGTGCAATAGTGCTGCCTTCTCCTTCCACCACAGGGTCCGATGTGGTCGATGGCTGTACTTGCTTCCATGTTATGGTGATGAGAGAAAGACCAAGTGCGGCATGTAGGCTTTGGTGCTGACATATGCTTCCCGCAGGACTTCTTGCTATGTGGAAAATCAATCCCAATTTATTTAAGCCACTGTAGTTGGCTTTTCCATTACATGTAGCTGAAAATATTTCTAACTGATATTAAAGTTTATTTGTTCCTAAAAGAGACAATTAGATAGCATGGTGGAGAGGGAACAAAATCATTTTGCAAACATACAGACAAAAAAATAGAATAGAATACGGACACCAGTGTACCATTCACCGAGGTTTAAACAGTCATTATTTTGCCTTACTTGCTTTCTCTAGGTTTTTCTTTTGCTGAAATTATTTTAAAATAAATTACAGACATCATGATATTTAACATATATCCCTCAGTACTTGGCTCTAAAAAGAACATTTTTCTAGACAACCATGATTCCATGAGTACATCTAATGAAATTAATAATTCTGAGCATCATCTAGTGCCCAATCTATATTCAGATGTCAGGGGATTTGTCTACCAGAATCCGGTGAAACACCAGATATTGCATTTGGGTTTAACGTTCCTTAATTCTGTTGCAATCTATGGTATTACCTTACCCTTTTATGACTGAGTTTTTTGAAGACACCAGGACAGTTGTCTTACAGAATATTCTATATTCTTGATTTCTCTGATTATTTTCCAGTGGTCAGTTTGATTTCCTGTAAACTGAAAAGGATATCTAAAGGCTGGATTCAATTCTGGTTAAACATTTTGGGCAAGAATACTTTGTGGTTGATACTGTGTTCCTCATTTTCGTTACACGAGGGGGCACATAATATCTGGTTTTTCCACTGTTAGTGATGTTAAGTATTGTTCCTTGAATAAGGTGGTAACAGCCAGAACTCTCCATTGTGAAGTTAGTTTTTGCCCTCATGACTAGTAAGTAAACTGTGAAGTCATGCTTTGGCGCCACTGTGAATGTTCAGTTACCCATTGCCCTTTTGCCTAAGATTTTAGCATGCGTTGATGATTATAACCCTAATGAAATATTCCATTCAAGTGACAAAATGGTGATTTCCCCAATTCTATCATTTCCTTTACACTTATCAGTTATCATTCTTCCATAAAGAAGAGGTTTCCCTTAGGAACTGGGGCCATTTGGCTCCCCTTCTGGAAGGGCAATATGTATCCTTGATTCTTTCTCTCCAGTTAATGATTTCAGAATGAGGGATTCATGTTATGGTCACCTCCAATAACATCAAATGAACCTTTTAGGAGGAAGATTCTATCTTGTGAGTACTATATTGGACTCATGAATTATTATATTTTCAAATATGCCCACATCAATTACCTTACTTTTTTAAACTTATTATTTTGAGATAATTATAGATTCGTGTGAAGTTGTAAGAAATAATACAGAGAGAACCCATGTACCTTTTACGCAGTTTTCCCTAGTGGGAGCATTTTGAAAAACTGTAGTACAATATCACAAGGATATTGATGTTGATGATGTCAAGATGCCGAGTATTTCCGTTACTGTAGGATCTCTCATGTTGCCCTTTTATTTATCATTCTTTTTGATGCTTTGACTGTCCAAACTTTGGCCAGTAGAAACGCGTTCAAGATTCCTGTGTCTTTTTCACATAATCCCATGCTGTTTGATTTCATGCTTTCTGGCAGTACAAGGTGTCTCAGAGTTGCCCGTGCTTTCTGCCTGAGACCTGGAATCCACTATTTCTTCAAGGAGCCTTTCCTAGTTCGTGGCATTTCCAAAGAAAAGTCCAAGGGCTAGGGGTACTCAGTGCCACTCAGTTGTCATTGATCCTGGGCTCTTGCAATGCACAAAATGGAAATGTTTATATATTTCAAATTAATTAAAATATCTTCAACTGATGGGGAAGATCAAAATTAACATTATATAACATTCCCAGATTTTTACTTAACATTAATTTCAAACTTTTGTCTCTTGCTCTGCAAATCTTTTTTCCTAACATACTTATTTGCTTTATGCTATGCTATACATAAAAAAGTTTCAAAATATGATTATTACGGCTTACAATAAAGTCACTGAATCAATATGAATATTTCTTTGCAGTTCTTCTGTCCTTTTAGCCCAGATATAAGGTTAAAGTACTGTTTTAAAGTCATATGATTTGTATTATTTTATGAGGCTATGTTACTAATTTGATATATAGTGAGCTTCATTTGTTCTAGTTTATTTTCAATTTTAGAGTTTTCTTTTTTGACTTAATTTTATTCTTTAAAATATAAGGATATAAAATTTGTGGCTCAAAAGCAAAAACTATATAAAAATTGCCATCACAAATGTATTGTTTCTATATGTCCCTCTCTTTTTACCTCTTTAGTCTCCCCTCCACTCCCCTTCCCTCCCTTCTTTCCTTCCTCTCTTTCTTCCTTTCTCCCTCTTTCCTTTTTTCTTTTCTTTCTCACATAAAGCACATACATACAAATAGTTTTTTTTTCCCATTCCTTTTCTTCATAAGAGGTAGCAATTTGTCTTCTTTTGTTTTCATTTAAAAATATAAGCCTGAGGTTACTCCTCCTGATAGTGGTCCTCATAAAGCCTATGAAAGGGGCATAGTACTGTGTGGGTCGGCCACAGGGTAGGCCACTATCCCCGTCCTGATGGATGTTTGCATTGTTTTCAATCTTTTGCTTTTCCAAATAAAGCCAGTAGGATAGCTTGTGCATAGTTTGTGGTTTTGTTTTGTTGTTGTTTGTCCTTGTGGAAGTGCATCTACACTAGTAAGAATTTGTTGTCAAAGGGTGTCTTGGTAGCCAGGTATTATCCAATGTCTCTGATTGGGAATTTTAACAGTTTGCATTCTCAACAGTAATGTCTGAGTGTGACTGTTTTTCCATAGCTTCATCAGTAGAGTGTATTGTCTCACTATGACATTATTTAATTAGTTAATTATTTGCATTTTCCCTTTTAAGAATGAGCTTGAGAAACTTTTTCTGTGTTTAAGGGATATTTGCATTTTTATTTTTTTCTGTGAACTTTTCATTTATTCTTAGGGCTGCCTTTTTGATTATGTTGCTCATTTATTTTTCTTTTCTTTTTTTTTTTTTTTTTTCTGAGATGAGATGGAGTTTTGCTCTTGTCGCCCAGGGTGGATTGCAATGGCGTGATCTTGGCACACTGCAACCTCTGCCTCCCAGGTTCAAGTGATTCTCCTGCCTGAGCCTCCCGAGTAGCTGGGATTACAGGTGCTGACCACCACTCCCAGCTAATTTTTGTATTTTAAGTAGAGACAGCGTTTCACCATGATGGCCAGTCTAGTCTTGAACTGCTGACCTCAGGTGATCTGCCTGCCTCAGCCTCCCAAAGTGCTGGGATTACAGGCGTGAGCCACCGCGTCCTGCCTATGTTGTTCATTTCTTTTATATATTCTCATTTTCTGGTTCATTTAATCTATCTTACTGAGAAAGTATAGTAACACCTCCTTGAATATTCAATAGTTTCTGTTTTGTGCAAATTGCTCTTTATTTATTTGGTATATAAAAAATGTGTTAACTTCTAATTGTGAATTACAGCTTTTATCATTAGAAAGTATCTATCTTTGTCATCCTTAATACTCTTTTTATTTTGTCTGATATCAAGATCAGGACCTCCCGGTGAATATTATATTAATTTGCCTAGTATACCTTTTTCCATTCTTTTTATATGTTTTTTACTTTTTAGCCCTTGAATTATTATATATATTTTTTATTTTTTCATAAGTTATTGGGGTAGAGGTGGTATTTGGTTACATGAGTAAGTTCTTTAGTGGTGATTTGTGAGATTTTGGTGCACCCATCACCCATGTATACACTGCACCATATTTGTAGTCTTTTATCCCTCACCGTCTCCCACTCTTCCCAAGTCCCCAAAGTCCATTGTATCATTCTTAATGCCTTTGCGTCCTCATAGCTCAGCTCCCACATATCAGTGAGAATATACGATGTTTGGTTTTCCATTCCTGAGTTACATTACTTAGAATAATAGTCTCTAGGCTGGGCGCAGTGGCCACACTTGTAATCCCAGCACTTTGGGAGGCTGAGGTGGGCGGATCACCTGAGGTCGGGAGTTCAAGACCAGGCTGACCAACATGGAGAAACCCCATCTCTACCAAAAATACAAAATAAGCTGGACATGGTGGTGCATGCCTGTAATCCCAGCTACTTAGGAGGCTGAGGCAGGAGAATGGCTAGAACCCAGGAGGCAGAGGTTGTGGTGAGCTGAGATTGCACCATGGCTCTCTAGCCTGGGCAACAAGAGTGAAACTCTGTGTCAAAAAAAAAAAAAAAAAAAAAGAATAGTCTCTAATCTCATCCAAGTTGCTACAAATGTTAATTTATTCCTTTTTTATGGCTGCATAGTATTGCATTGTGTATATATATATATATATGTGTATATATATATATATGTGTGTATATATATATATATACCACAGTTTCTTTATCCACTTGTTGATTGATGGGCATTTGGGTTGGTTCCATGATTTTGCAATTGGGAATTGTGCTGCTATAAACATGCACGTGCATGTGCAAGTATCTTTTTTGAATAATGACTTATTTTCCTCTGGGTAGATACCTAGTAGTGGGATTGCTGGATCAAATGGTAGTTCTACTTTTAGTTCTTTAAAGAATCTCCACACTGTTTTCCATAGTATCTGTACTAGTTTACATTCCTACTAGCAGTGTAGAAGTGTTCCCTGATCACCACATCCATGCCAATATCTACTGTTTTTTAATTTTTTTATTATGCCCATTCTTGCAGGAATAAAGTGGTATACATTGTGGTTTTGATTTGCATTTCCCTGATCATTAGCAATGTTGAGCATTTTTTCATGTGTTTGTTGGCCATTTGTATATCTTCTTTTGGAAATTGTCCTATTCATGTTCTTAGCCCACTTTTTGATGGGATTTTTTGTTTTTTTTCTTACTGATTTGTTTGAGTTTGTTGTAGATTCCTGATATTAGTTCTTTATCAGATGTATAGATTCTGAAGATTTTCTCCCACTCTGTGGCTTGTCTGTTTACTCTGCTGACTGTTCCCTTTGCTGTGCAAAAGCTCTTTAGTTTAATTAGGTTCTAGCTATTTATCCTTGTTTTTATTGCATTTGCTTTTGGCTTCTTGGTCATGAAATCCTTGCCTAAGCCAATGTCTAGAAAGGGTTTTCCAATGTTATTTTCTAGAAATTTTATAGTTTCAGGTCTTAGGTTTAAGTCCTTAATCCATCTTGAGTTGATTTTTGTATAAGGTGAGAGATGAGGATCCAGTTTCGTTCTCATACATGTGGGTACCTGATTATGCCGGCACCATTTGTTGAAAAGGATGTCCTTTCCCCACTTCATATTTCTGTTTTGCTTTGTCAGAGATCAGTTGGCTGTAAGTATTTGGGTTTATTTCTGGGTTCTCTATTCTGTTCCATTGGCCTATGTGCCTATTTTTATACCAGTACCCTGGTGTTTTGGTGACTATGGCCTTATAGTATAGTTTGAAATCCCATAGTGTGATGTCTCCAGATTTGTTCTTTTTGCTTAATCTTGCTTTGGCTATGCAGGCTGTTTTTCGGTTCTATATGAATTTTAGAATTGTTTTTTCTAATTCTGTTTGAAAGGATAGTGGTATTCTGATGGAGATTGGATTGAATTTGTAGATTGCTTTTGGCAGTATGGTCATTTTCACAATATTGATTCTACCCATCTATGAGCAATGGGATGTGTTTGTATTTGTTTGTGTCATCTATGATTTCTTTCAGCAGTGTTTTGTAGTTTTCCTTGTAGAGGTCTTTTGACTTCTTGGTTAGGTATATTCCTAAGTATTTTATTTTTTTTTACAGCTATTGTAAAAGCGGTTGAGTTCTTGATTTGATTCTCTGCTTGGTCGCTGTTGGTGTTTGGAAGAGCTACTGATTTGTGTACATTAATCTTGTATCCAGAAACTTTGCTGAATTCTTTTATCAGTTCTAGGAGCTTTCTGGAGGAGTCCTTAGGGTTTTCAAGGGAAGTGATCATATCGTCAGCAAACAGTGACATTTGACTTCCTCTTTATCAGCTTGGATTCCCTTTATTTCTTTATCTTGTCTGATTGCTCTGGGTAGGACTTCCAGTACTGTGTTGAAGAGGAGTGGTGAAGTGGGCATCCTTGTCTTGTTCTATTTCTCAAAGGGAATGCTTTCAACATTTCCCCATTCAGTATTATGTTGGTTGTGGGTTAGTCATAGACGGCTTTTATTACATTAAAGTATGTCCCTTGTATGCCGATTTTGCTGATAGTTTTAATCATAAATGAATGTCGGATTTTGGCAAATGCTTTTTCTGCATCTACTAAGATGATCATGTGATTTTTGTTTTTAATCCTTTGTATGTGGTGTATCACATTTATTGACTTGTGTATGTTAAACCATCCCTTTATCCCTGGTATGAAACCCACTTGATCATGGTAGATTATCTTTTTGACATATTGGTGGATTCAGTTAGATAGTATTTTGTTAAGGATTTTAGCATCTAAGCATCTATGTTCATCAAGGATATTGGTCTGTAGTTTTCTTTTTTGGTTATGTCCTTTCCTGTTTTTGGTATTAGGCTGATGCTGGCTTCACAGAATGAATTAGGGTATGTTTCTTCTTTCTCTATCTTGTGGAATAGTGTCAAAAGGATTGGTACCAATTCTTCTTTGAATATCTGGTAGAATTCTGCTGTGAATCTGTCTGGTCCTGGACTTTTTTTTGTTGATAATTTTTAAATTACCACTTTAATCTCACTGCTTATTGGTCTGTTCAGGGTATCTAATTCTTCCTGATTTAAGCTACGGTATTTTTCCGGGAATTTACCCATCTCTTCTAGATTTTCTAGTTTATGTGCATAAAGGTGTTCATAGTAGCCTTGAATGATCTTTTGTATTTCAGTTGTAATATCTTCTGTTTCATTTCTTAGTGAGGTTATTTGGATTTTCTCTCTTCTTTTCTTAGTTAATCTTGCTAATGGTTTGTCAGTTTTATTTATCTTTTCAAAGAACCAGCTTTTTGCTTCATTTATCTTTTGTATTTGTTTGTTTGTTTGTTTGAATTTCAGTTAGTTGAGGTCTGATCTTGGTTCTTTCCTTTCTTCTGCCGGGTTTGGGTTTGGTTTGTTGTTGTTTCTCTAGTTCCTTGAGGTATTACCTTAGGATGTCAGTTTGTACTCTTTCAGTCTTTTTGGTGTAGGTGTTTAGGGCTATTAACTTGCCTCTGAGCACCACCTTTGCTGTATCCCAGAGGCTTTGGTAGGTTGTGTCATTATTGTCGTGCAGTTCAAAGAATTTTTACATTTCTATCTTGATTTTGTTTTTGACCCAGTGCTTATTCAGGAGCAGGTTATTTGATTTCCATGTATTTGCATGGGTTTGGAGGTTCCTTTTGGGGTTGATTTCCAGTTTTATTCCACTGTGGTTTGAGAGAGTGCTTGATATAATTTCAATTTTCTTAATTTATTGAGGCTCATTTCATGGCCTATCATATGGTCTATCTTGGAGAAAGTTGCATGTGCTGTTGAATAGAATGTGTATTCTGTGGTAGTTGGATGAAATGTTCTGTATATACATGTTAAGTCCATTTGTTCCAAGGTATAGTTTAAATCCATTGTTTGTTTTTTGACTTTCTGTCTTCATGACCTGTCCAGTGCTGTCAGTGGAACATTGAAGTCTCCCACTATTATTTTGTTTCTATCTCATTTCTTAAGACCATTAGTAATTGTTTTATAAATTTGGGAGCTCCAGCGTTAGGTGCATATATGTTTAGGATTGTGATATTTTCCTGATGGAGAAGGTCTTTTACCATTATATGTTGTCCCTCTTTGTCTCTTTTAACTGCTGTTGCTTTAAAGTTTGTTTTATGTGATATAAGAATAGCTACCCCTGTTCACTTTTGGTGTCCATTTGCATGAAATGCCTTTCCCCATGCCTTTACTTTATGTGAGTCCTTATGTGTTAGATGAGTCTCCTGAAGGCAGCAGATGGTTGGTGAGTTCTTATCCATTCTGCTGTTTTGTATCTTTTAAGTAGAGCATTTAGGCCATTTACATTCAATGTTAGTACTGAAATGTGAGGTATTGTTGCTTTCATCATGCCCTTTTTGCCTGTGTACTTTGGTTTTTGTATGTTGTTTGTACTTTTTAACTTGTATTTTTGTTTTATAGGTCCTGTGTAATTTATGCTTTAAAGAGGTTCTGTTTGGATGTGCTGCCAGGATTTGTTTCAAGATTTAGAGCTCCTTTTAGCAGTTCTTGTAGTGGTGGCATGGTAATGGCAAATTCTCTCAGCATTTGTTTGTTTGACAATGACTGTATCTTTCCTTCATATATGATGCTTTAGTTTTGCTGGATACAAAATTCTTGGTTGATAATTGTTTTGTTTGAGGAGGCTGAAGATAAGGCCCCCAATCCCTTCTAGATTGTAGGGTTTCTTCTGAGAAATCTGCTGTTAATCTGGTAGGTTTTCCTTTATAGGTTACCTGGTGCTTCTGTCTCACAGCTCTTAAGATTCTTTCCTTCGTCTTAACTTTGAATAACCTGATGACAATGTTCCTCGGTGAAGATCTTTTTGTGATGAATTTCCCAGGTGTTCTTGCTCTTATTTGGCTGTCTAGATCTCTCACAATGCAGGGGAAGTTTTCCTCAATTCTTCCCCCAAATATGTTTTCCATGCTTTTAGAATTCTCTTCTTTCTCAGGTACACCGATTATTCTTAAGTTTGGTTGTTTAACATAGTCCCAGACTTCTTGGAGGCTTTGTTCATATTTTCTTATTCTTTTTTCTTTGTCTTTGTTGGATTGTGATATTGTATTTCTTTATTCTACTTGTTCAATTATATTGCTGAGACTTTCCAGAGCATTTCACATTTCTAAAAGTGTGGCCAGAGTTTCCTGAGTCTTTGATTGTTTTTTCTTTAAGCTACCTATTCCCATGAATATTTCTTCCTCTACTTTTTGTATCATTTTTTGGATTCCTTGCATTGGGTTTCACCTTTCTCTGGTCCCTCCCTGAATAGCTTAATAACTAACCTCCTGAATTCTTTCTCAGGTAAATCAGGGATTTCTTCTTGGTCTGGATCCATTGCTGGTGAACTACGGTGATTTTTTTGGGGGTATTGAAGAGCCTTGTTTTGTCATATTACCTGGGTGGTTTTCTGGTTCCTTCTCACTTGGGTTTCCTCTGTCAGAGGGAAGGTCTAGGGCTAAAGGCTGTTATTCAAATTATTTTGTTTCACGGGGTGTTCCCTTGATGTAGTACTCACCTCCTTTTCTTATGGATGTGGCTTACTGTGAGCGAAACTGCAGTGATTGTTGTCTCTCTTCTGGGTCTAGCCACCCAGTGAGTCTGCCTGGCTCCAGACTGGCACTGGGGGTTGTCTGCACAGAGTCCTGTGATGAGAACCATCTATCAGTCTCTCACCCGTGGATACCAGCACCTGTTCTGGTGGAGTTGGCAAAGAGTGCAATTGACTCCTTGAGGGTCCTTAGCTTTGGTGGTTTAGTGCTCTATTTTTGTGCTGGTTGGCCTTCTGCCAGGAGGTGGTGCTTTCCAGAAAGCGTTAGCTGTATGTAGTATTGTGGAGAGGGACCAGCGGTGGGTGTGGCCCTAGATCTCCCAAGATTATATGCCCTTTGTCTTCTGCTACCAGGGTGGGTAGGGAAGAACCATCAGGTGGGGGTGGGGCTAGGGGTGTCTGAGCTCAGACTCTCCTTGGGCCTGTCTTGCTGCAGCTGCTGTGGAGCTGTGTACCTAGGAGGATTATGGCTGCCTCTGCTGAGTCATGCAGGTTGTCAGGGAAGTGGGGGAAAGCCAGCAATGGCAGGCCTTTGCCGGCTCCCATGGAAACTGAAGGGCCAGTCTCACTCCCACCGTGCACCCCCCAACATCCTGAGTCCATGCACCCCCCTAACATCCTGAGTCCATTTCCAGGTGAAGGCAAGACTGGCTTGAAAATTTGCCCGAGGCTATCTGCCTCCCAGCTGTGAGAGAAAAGGACTTTAGTTCTTCCTGGCCTGTGAATTCTACATGCCCAATTTGTGCCCTCCCACTGAGTTCTGGCCAGGAGGCTTCTCCCCCATTCAAACTGTTACAAAGTTCGGGTAGAGAATTCCTTCTCCCTGTGGAGGTTTACCCCCCTGTTCCTCTGGCCAACCTCCCGATGGATCGCTGTGGTGCCAGGCAGGAATGGGCTGCCTGGGGACCCAGAGAGCTCCCAGGGCCTTTCTGCTGCTTCCTCTACCCCTGCACTTTGCTCAGCTCTCTAACCTGACTCAGCTCCAGGTAAAGTCAGAAACTTCTCCTGCAAACAGATCTTCAGCTTCTCCAGTGAGGATATGTATTTGGGAGAGGAGGGTCACCCTTTCCCACTTCCACAGTTGGGGCACTCACAGTATTTGGGGTGTCTCCCCCGGCTGCAGGAGCAGCCTACTTCCTTCAGAGGGTCTGTGGGTCCTCTTGGGATTGCTGGTTTTTACTTGCAGTTGATCTGGAGCTAAAATTCACAGCGCAAGCCTCCGCATGCTGCTCTGTCCAGAGCTGCAATCTAGTCCTTGGAGTTATTATATTTTAAATATGTCTCTTGTTTTATCGCACAGGTTTGAGTTTTGCTATGTGATCAAATTTGAAAATCATGATATTTAATTGGTCAGTTAAGTCCATATATGGCTTCAGGTTTCATTTTGAATGAAATCCACTGCAATTCACCTCTTGGTGCCTCAGCATCTTATTCAAAATTAAGGCAGTTGTGGTTGAGTGCTGGAGATTTCTCAAGAGTAAGGGGAGAGAGGGATCATAGTGGTGATGTTCGGAGATGCAGGGTGAGAGATTGTGGTGAAAACTGGAGGGGCTTAGTAGGAAAGATTTCAGGGAGTAGGTGGTCATCTCCCCAGGGAGCCACACGATTGACTGACATGGGGCTGGTGTCTCCTGGGAAAGGCAATAATCTTCATTCATTTTAGTAACCTGTATTATGAGTTCCCTTTAGGTATGGGAGTGTGGAGGTAGCAGAGAGTAAGAAGTATAGCAGGATCAGGTAGACAGTGAGTTCAGGAAGAAAAATAATAAATGTGCGTTTTCTGCTTTTGGAGAGGCAGTCTGTGAGTATCACTGGGGGGAGATTTTAGTGTCCAGAGTGAAGCCATGTCTGGCACAGGGAGCAAAGTCATCTCCAACGCTGAGGTCTTGAGTTGGGGCAGTGTCCTCCAGGAGGTGAGACTGAGATGTCTCAATGGGTAGGCACCTGAGTTGGTGCGGGCCTCAGCATTTGTCATAACTGGTTGAAACAATGATCTACTACTGGAGGGTTTGGGTGTCCAGTTGTAAACCAATGAAAGCACCCAAACTGATAGTAATAAGACCAACAATCAAAGAAATGGTGTGCAGCTGCACCTGACAGGGTTTTGTTTTGGGTGGACATTTAGGTTCAAATGGGTTTCATATAAGATGAGCAGCTGCCAGGCCTGTGGGACAATATATGGTTAATGAGTCCCAGGAGAGTCTATGTCCTTGATCTGACCTACAGACCTTAAGGGATGGGGACAAGATAAAAAAATTGTTAAAAAAAAGTAGGTTAAGGCCAGGGGCAAACTAGAGAACTTTAGTTTATTTGTGGTATTGAAGTTTGAAAAGGAGTTGTTTAAACCATCATGATGTCTCTTATTGAGACCAGTCATTTGGGACCTGTCATGGACATGAAAGTTCTATTGAATGTTCCTCAGGAGCCCAGCATGATGTGTTCTAAGAAGTGAATTGTGTGCCTTGGTTACTGTTAGTAACAGCCATGACTCTGAAGGGAATAAGGCATGGCTAGCACGGCCTTGCATTGTGGCCTCAACTCTAAGTGGAGAAGTATGATTCTAATTTATGTTTTGGGTGAGTGCGAAGTAAGAGATTCCCAGAGATTTTCTTTTTCTTTTTTTTTTTTTTATCCTTGAGGGGCCAATTTTTCAGTAATGGCCTAATAGTTTATAATAAACATGAAGACAGGACCAGTTGTTGACCAGGGTATCCAGTGCTAAGATGACCACCTGGAGTTTTGGCCACGTGCGTTGTATTTGGGCCCCATCCTTTATTAGGGACATCCTGGCTAAGGAATGGAAAGCAGCACATTCCACTAGGCTCCACCATGCACAGGGGCTGGCAGTGCCATTCACATAGTCTATGAACTCCCTTTACTGGTCACTCAGTTAATCCACAGGGCTTCCTAGTAGTCAAGGGGTTTAGGGGAGGGATGTCATCCTCCAGCACCCTGGCGTCTGGCAAGGGGCTTAGAACAGGGGAAGCTATACCCTCCTGTGGGTAGAATATACCAGAGGACCCAGGTTTGTTCCCATCTGTCTTAGGGAGCCTCAGTAGCTGTGTTGAGCTTGTGGGGTCTGTTTCCATGGCCCAAAGCATAATGGGCAGCTGGGTATAGAGGGTCACAGGCTCAGGGTCTGGGAGAGCCTCTATTTCTGGGACAGCCCAGTAAGTGGGGGCCAGTCATCTATTGTATTAATGCTGTATAGCATGAGGCCAACAGGGGCAATATCTCGTATCAGAAATCCTGGGGCAACTGATAGCTATCCTAAATATCCAGAGATTGCAGGAGGCATTTGAAAAGGTTGAGAAGACTCTACAGTAAAGGCTTTTTTTTTTTTTAAGAAGTCACTTACAGGAGTGTCTGTAGACTTTAATTTAGAAGTAAAATTTATAAATGAGGAATATGTTGCCACCAAAACCCAAAAGTACTAAGAAATATTGGTCTCGAATGTCATCAATGTATGTATTAAGTGAGTCTCCTTGGCTGAGAATGTCCTGGATGTACTCTCATACCAGTGCTCCTGGAGAAGGTGGATGTCGTTAAGATTAATTAAAGATTGCATGTGATGACACAGCTGCAGAGGTCTGAAAAGGTGTACTGTGTTCTTTTAGAGGAGGAGGCGAACTGCAGTGAAGACGCTATTGAAACAGCACGTTAGCCAAATCCACAAGAGCAAAATATTTACCAGTTGTTGATTGAACGGAATCAGCAATTTTAATAATATTAGGTATTGGATATAGGGGCCCTAATGAAAGGGCTGTTAAATGGGGAAGTGGGAATAATCACGCCTTTATTAATAGGTTTTTTAGAATTGGTTTTAATCCATTTCAACTTACTTTGGGCCATATTAACTATATTAACTGGGGGTACAAGGGGTTCCATTTTATTAAGTCAATTTGTAAGTGCCAAAGACTTACTTTAATTTTAATTTGTTATTTATTGTGTCAGAGCATCTCTGCCTAATATAGAATATCTTACAGCAATGGATATATAACTATGGGAAATTTAGGCCATGCTACAAATGAATATGCAAGGCATATTCATTTACAAAATATTATATTCAGTTACCTGCTCAAGATTACATGGGCAGAGTGTTTAAGTTTAGTGGAATTCCCCAGGTATAAATATAATTTGAGCCCCAATATTAAGTCCATGCATTTTTGTTAGTGCATTTTAACAAATTGTTAAAGTTAAATTAGAACTGACCTTGTAGAAGCACAAAGCCAGTACGTGTCCTTTTTAATCTTTTTGTTATGTAAATTCTTTGATATATAAATTGCTATATGCATTATGAACTTCTAACTATATCAAAAGATGCAAATATATCATATACACCATTTATCAACATATATTTATGTTAAAATATTATATATAACTTTTATTTAATTACCTTTTTCCCCCTCTGTATCTAGGGGTTTGTTTATAAATCAGTAAGTGATCTAGGGCTAGCATGTTTGCTAGACCTGGCAGCTGCTAAGTATTTAAAGTTTAAAGTTCATCTCTTTTTTTTTTTTTCTTGGACTTGTAATAGCATAAAGCAACAGTCTCTCTCTCTCTCTCTCTCTCTCTCTCTCTCTCTCTCTCTCTCCCTCCCTCTCCCTCTTCCTCTTTTCTTTCTTTTTTATTTTAGGCTTTAGTTGCTTGAAGGCATTCTTAGTCTCTGCCTCTGGTTGATAAGAGGAAAAGAGGGAGGAGGGAAGGGCACAGTGTCTCTAGGCAGCCAGCTCTCTACAACTTCCGTGATTGCAAGATCATCGGTCCCCTTTTTCCTTCCTTTTTTTGTTTTTTTTTTCTTTTAAGTATAATCTTTAGAACGGCTTGTATTTCTTGGTGGCTAAAATAAAATTTTTTCTTCCTTCATCTCTCTGGATGTTTACCTGACATGCTCCTGGTGGTAGGAGTAGCCTCCTGGTGTTCTGTCCTTACAGAATGTTACCCGAAAAAATTGGAGGGTGACCTCTGTGTCTGCTGGCCTTGCAGGCAGCGGCTTCCCTTTCCATGGTGACCCACCGGAGCTCTGGAGGTGGTGGGGAGCGAGGAGCGACAGCAGCAGGAACCGAACAGGGCGGCGCCTGCCTGGCAGCGTCACTCTTGCGGGGCCTGTGGGACGCAGGTGAAGTTACTCCCATTAGGGTTAGGGTTAGGCCATATGATCCTTTCACCCTGGCTCCGCTTCACGAGCACAGTGAAGCCCAGTGTGTCGCATCACCCTCTCTGACTGTGACTAAGGAGAAATCGCTGCTTCCCAAGAGCCTGCTGGCGGGTTCTCGGGAAGTAGCGCGCAGCCGTGCCCTTTGCCATGGACAGGCCCGCCCACCACCCAGGCCCCAGGTCACGCAACAGCGCACCCAGCTCCAGGGACAACGCATCCTCCAATGGAGGCCGGCGACAGAGGGTCCCCACAGTCCCAGGAGGGGGTCTGATTCTGCAAAGGGAACACATCCTCCTACCACTGGGACCTGCCCTCCGCGCCGCAGGCAAGGAGCCGGCTACAGCCGCTACAATTCCGGAGAGTCCCGGAGGCGACTCGGACGACAGCAGGACCTAGTAGCGCGCAGCGACGAGCAGCGAGATCCAGCGCCTGTAAGCAGCGCGCGGCCCCAGACCTGCTGGGCCAGCTGATACAGCAAGGTAGCAAGCCCTCTGCGGGGGACAGACACCGGGATGGTGTCCAAGCCGCGACTGCAATCCTGCAGACTAGGCTAATTGTTTGGAATGAAACTTTATCAGTTTAGCCCGGCAATTACTCTCCTCAACAGCTGAGAGGCCAGGATAAAAGAGCATCAGCATGGGATCTACCTGCTTGGGGCCCTTTGGGGCGGCGTCACACTCAGGGATTAGATTTCAGGCACTGCTTCAGTGACACAACCGCAGTGTGAAAGTTTAAGCGTTTTTGGTACTTACAGATCCTGGAGGGAGCGCGGGCGCGCGCGCGCGCACACACACACACACACACACACACACACACACACACACACCACACACCAAGGAGTACAGGCAGAGAGAGAGAGAGAGAGAGAGAGAGAGAGAGAGAGAAGGGACCCGTAGACCAATACCTTTATTGGGTTCAGAGTGTTATCCAAACAGGTTTAATTGTTGAATTTAAAGCAAGCAGGCACTGGTTCCAGGAGGTCCCCCTGACTGAGAGGCGGTCACGTTAAGTTTGCAGGCAAATGTCTGAATGGTTCCTTGAAATGAAGCAGTATCTCTGGCCACCAACTGGAGCCATTCCAGTGGGGAATAGTATTAGAAACGGTGTCAAGGCTGACTGAGCCCTGCTTCTGGTATGAGAAAGTTAAAACATATTTTAAGATGGATGCCAAGGCAACATAAAATTATAAGCTCTCACCACATGTTTATACCCAGTTCTGGCATTAAAAAATGCTTCATTTTTTTCAAAAAGAGTTATAAAAAACTTTTGCCATGTGTTCTGTTTTCTTAGTTTTTCTGTTCTGTTTTTTGCTTTTGATAATTGGAAATGTTTGAACTTTTGTATTAGTACTGACGTTTTTATAATACCCATTCTTCCTTCTTTCCTTTAGATAATATTGACTGGGTCTCTACTGTAAGCAAGAAGAATATAATTTGTTTTGCAAACTCCTCTTTCCTTCCTTTCTCTGCCATTCAATTTTAATGATTAGAATAATGCATATTCTCTTTCTTTACTTGCACTCTGTGCACCTAAATATATTTAAGCTTCTGCTTTTTTTTTTTGGTAGCTTGAAATGATGTCATTTGTTTCCCAACTTTTGTAAGTAAATCATTGAGCTAATTATGCTTTTCCCTCTCTTTCTTTTTTTAGGTTGTGCTTTTTTCTGACTTTGTCAGAGAACATGTTTCTATATCATCCTTTGATTCTTATCTTACCTTTGGTTTAGTCTTAGATCTTCAGTTAAATATATTAAACACTCACTATTAATCTTGTTTCACCAGTTTTCCCAGGTGTCAGGTTTCTTGAAAAAAGCTCATGGGTCAGCATCCCCTGAGTTCCAGCATGTTCAAAACTGTTTCTCCATAGCTTGGATATGTGAAGGAATCTTGCTTGGTTATAGAAGCCTCACTTCACACTTTCCTTGCTTTCTTGTAAATGTTCCTCCATTTTGTTCTCTTTGACTCATTTTACTTTTTAAAAAATTGTGCTATTTTAAAATACCAGTCATAAAGCCAGCTAGCTATTACAGAGATATGTGTACTTTATCACAAATTTAATTTAATTTCTTATTATTATATATATATTTTTTTGAGACAGGGTCTCACTCCGTGGCCCAGGCTGTAGTTCATTGGTGCTGGTTCCAGGAGGGCTCACTGCAGCCTATAACTCCCAGACTCAAGTGAAACCCCCACCTCAGCCTCCTGAGTAGCTAGGACTACAGGCATGTGCCACCACACCCAGCTAATTTTTTGTATTTGTAGTAGAGAAGGGGTTTCACCATGTTGCCCAGGCTGGTCTCTAATTCCTGGGCTCAAGTGATCTGCCTGCCTTGGACTCCCAAAGTGCTGGGATTACAGGCATGAGCCACCGTGTCTGGCTCACAAATTTTATATAAAATGACTTCCTATTACCTTTAGATGAGAAGGAAAAAACACATAGCCTGTGGTTCCCTCAAAACTCTAACATGTAACTTTTAGTGGGGAAAATAAGGTACTTTTGCTAGTTATCCACAAGGGGGAAGACTGATTCCATTTCTTCTGGAAGGTATCCATTGGGCCATCATTACTGATCATTTATTTTTATTTTTATAGATTTAGAGAGTACATGTGCAGTTGTGTTACATGGATATATTGTGTAGTGGTGAAGTCTGGGCTTTAGTGTTCTATAAATTACAATAATTTGTTAAGATATCTTTTGCGGTCTATTTTTCATACATGTGCTGTCTCTTTACCATATGTAGATTCAGAACTTTTTTTTTTCCTCAGGAAAGTTTTCTTGATTATAGTTTTACAATTAGTCCTAGTCTATTATTTGGTTTTTCTTCTTCAGGTTCTCTAATGATACTTGTGTTCGATTGTGCTTGTATCCTGTTCTTTCTGCTTCCATTTTCTTGGTTTTTATTATTTCTATCTGTTATGTCTCTTACTGTATTTTTTGTCTTCCTGTTCTCCCTTGGCTACCTAGTAATGCAGTTTTTGTTTCTAAGATTTGTCTTTTTCTCAAGTTCTTAATTATGTCAGTTTTTATTTTTATTTTTATTATTTTTTTAAGACAGAGTCTCGCACTGTCACCTGGGCTAGAGTGCAATGGCACGATCTTGGCTCACTGCAACCTCCACCTCCTGGGTTCAAGTGATTCTCCTGCCTCAGCCTCCCAAGTAGCTGGGATTACAGGCACCTGCCACCACACCTGGCTAATTTTTTGTATTTTTAATAGAGATGGGGTTTCACCATGTTGGCCAGGCTGGTCTCGACTCCTGACCTCAGGTGATCCACCCGCCTCAGCCTCTCAAAGTGCTAGGATTACAGGCGTGAGCCACTGTGCCCGCCTTTTTTGTTTTTTTGAGACGAGTGCAATGGCTCCATTTCAGCTCACTGCAACCTCAACCTCCCGTGTTCAAATGATTCTCCTGCCTCAGCCTCACGAGTAGCTGAGATTAGAGGTGTGCGTCACCACACCTGGCTAATTTTTGTATTTTTGGTAGAGACGGGGTTTATCTATGTTGGCCAGGCTAGTCTCAAACTCCTGACCTCAAGTGATCCTCCCACCTTGGCTTCCCAAAGTGCTGGGATTACAGGCATGAACCACCATGCTCGGCTTGTCAGTTCTTATTTCACTGTTTGATCATCTGTTTTCTGAGTTGTGATTTTTGTATTTGTGGTATTATTTAATATCTTCAATTGCTTATTTAATTATTCCTAATAAGACCCCCTCCCAGATATAACCAGTATTCTGACCTCTAGTACCCTAGATAAGTCTTATCTATTTTGAGCTTCCCATAAATGGAGAATACATTATGTATTCTTTTGTTTCTGATTATTTTCCTCAATATTTTATCTGGAAGATTCATTAATATCATTGCATGCAGTAGTAGTTCATAATCTTTCATTTTTCTGTAGTACTCTATTGTATGACTACAAACTCTAATTCAAGTATTGATAGAAATTTGAGTTGTAGTCAATCTTTGGCTATTATGAATAAAGTTTTTATGAGTATCATTTTACATCTCTGTTATTTTACATGTCTTTTGTGGAACATATGCACTCATTCCTAGAGGTGGAATTGTTGATCATGGGGTAGATGCATGTTTAGTTTTATAAAATACTCTGAAACATTTTTCTAAAGCATTGTACATATTGACACTATTTTGAATTTGAAGTGTTATCTCATTGTAATTTTTAATTTGTAATTCTCTGCTGACTAATGATATTGAGTATCTTTCCTGTTTATTTTGGATTTTAATATCCTTTTTAGTGAAGTTCAAATGTTTTACTTATCATTTAACTGGGTTGTCTGTGTCTCCTTATTAATTTGTAGAAATTCTGTATATATGCTAGATATAAGTCGTTTGTAAGAGATATATATATATAGTATATATTGTATATGTAGTATATATTTTATATATATATACATATATTGCAAGTATCTTCTCTCCATTCTGTAGTTTTCTTTTTCACTGTCTTGTATCTTTTCATGAGCAAGTGTTCTGTTAATGATGTCCAATTCTTTTACTTTTTTTAATTTAAATTTTAATTTTTTTAAGACAGGGTCTCACTTCATCCCCTAGGCTGGAGTGCAGTGGTGCAATCATGACTCAATGCAGCCTCATAGTCTTCCTGGCTTAAGCAGTCCTTCCACCTGAGCCTCCTGAGTAGCTGGTGATGGCAGCAGTGGCCTGCCTGAAGCAGCCACTGCCAAGAATCTAGCTGCAGTGGGGGAGGTGTGGCTGGGCTGCATGCTCCACAGAGCCAGCGGAAGCCAAGAACGCACCCTCCTGGGTACAGCTGCAGCCGCCCAGCCGTGGCTGCGGACCCGGGCCTCCCTGTGCTCTTGGGGGTTGGGAGCAGGCAGGAGCCCTGCCATCCTGGACACAGCTGCAGCCATTCAGCCACAGTTACAGACCTGGGCCTCCCTGTGCTCTGGGGGGCCCAGGAAGGCCTCCCTGCCCCCACAGACTCAGAGGCATCTGCTCCCACTGCCTGGCTTCTCCCCACTCCTGGCACCTGCTCCGATCTCGGAGTGAGGTTGGGGCCAAGACCGGGTGCTGTCACACATGGCAAGGTGTGTGCACACTTGGGGCAGCACTGACACATGCCAGCCGTCTGGTACCTTGGCCCCCTGTGGACTTTGGGTGCTGATGAGCATGGGAGGGAGACTGAGGGGGTGTGAGGGCAACTCAGCGCTGGCCTGCAGGTGCCCCTCAGCATGAACAGCCTAGGCGCTATGAATGGCAGCAGGAGGCAGACAGGCTCCTGGGTGGAAATGGGCAAGACCTCGGTGAAACCCCACCTTCAAACTGCAGAGTGTCTGAAGCCTGGGGCCAGGCTGCCGGTCCCATGGACCGAAGTGGGAACTTGTGGTGCTTTTTCTGGGCCCACCCATGGCCACCCATGGACAAATTGGATGCATTTCCTCCCCTCTAAGGCCTAAAATGGCCCCAGACTCAGCCAGACTCGAGGGGACAATGACCTGCCAGCTGTGGAGAGGAGCTGCCCACTCCAGGGTCTCCTCTCTGCTGAGAGCTGGGAAGACAACACAACAATCAGCTGTGGAGAGGAGCTACCTACTCCATGGTCTCATCTCTGCTGAGAGCTGAACACTCACTGGGACACCCTGCCTGCAGAGAAGAGCTACCCATTGCAGGTCTCCTCTGAGCTGTTTTATCACTCAATAAAGCTCCTCTTTGCCTTGCTCACCTTCCACTTGTCTGTGTACCTCATTCTTCCTGGATACAGGATAAGAACTCAAGTCCTGCTGAATGGTGGGGCTAAAAAAGCTGTAACACAAACAGGGCTGAAATGCCCCTGACTCGCCACTTTGCAGGCGACAAGGAGAGAAGACAAAATGATAGAAGAGCTGCAGCCCTTTGGGGAGCACAGACCTAGGAGATCCCCAAGCCAGGGCTGTGACACCCTCTTTCAGGCTCTGTGGTTCCTGGCATCTCCAAGCTTCCAGGTGCCACCATGTTTCCCAGTGCCAGCCACGGAAGCTGCTTGTGGTACACCTGGTCCAGCCACAGCCTAACAGGGAGCTGGCACCTGTGCCAGTGCCTGGAGCTGCCCACCCCACTGCAGCTGGTATGCCTGTCTGTGCACAGTGGCTGGACTGAGTGCTCGCTCACACACCCTTTGCTGCTCTGTGCCTGGCTTGCTTTTGGCAGGCATGGGATCCAGGCTGGTAGTTATAGCTGAGTACAGCCTGCCAGGCCGAGTGGGCAGAATGAGCCCAGCAAGTCCAAGCAAAACTCAGGCAAAGGTGCCACTGGCTACAGAGATTTCTGGATGGCAAAGCAATACCTCAAAAGTCCCATGACACTAGGACTACAGGCAGGCCACCACACTCAGCTAATTTTTAGCTGAATTTTTAGTCTCCCTGTGTTGCCCAGGCTGGTCTCAAACTCCTAGGCTCAAATGATCTTCCTGCCTCAGCCTCCCAAAGTGCTGGGATTACAGGTATGAGCCACCATGCTTGGCCTGTTTTACTTTCTTAATAGTAGTTCTGTAATAACCTGATAGGTTCTTCCTGCCTGCTGCACAAACAACGTCAATCCACTGAGACCATGACATTGCAGTAAAGAAAGGGTTTAATTAACCCTTGGCTGGCCATGCCACATGGGAGACAGTTATTACTCAAATTAATCTCTCCAGAAATTTGTAGACTAGGGTTTTCCAAGGAGAATTTGTTGGGCAAGGGTATCCAGAAGGGGACATCCTGATTAGTTGAGGATGCAATCATAGGGGTGTGGAAAATGATCCTTGTGTGCTGAGGCTGTTTCTGAGTGGGGGCTACTAGAGGAGTCCAGGTCCAATGTCCAGGTCCAAGTGGAATCATCTGGTTGTCAGAAATGCAAAAGCCTTAAAAGACATCTCAAAAGGTCAATCTTAGGTTCTACAAGAGTGATGCTATCTGCAGGAGTAATTGGGGAAGTTGCAAATCTTGGGACCTCCAGAATAATGACTAGTAAGTATTTAACTATGCCTACATCTAGCAGAATTCAGACCCCTTTCATCCTCCTAACTTGGTGGCCTTTCATTAGTTTTACAAAGAAAGTTTAGTTTTTGGGAAGGGCTGTTATTATTTAAACTGTAAACTAAATTTCTCCCATAGTAAGCTTGGTCTATACCCGTGAATGAATGAAGACAGCCAGCCTGTGAGGCTAGAAGCAAGATGAACTCAGCCATATTGGATTTCTTTTATTGTCATAGTTTTGCAAAGGCAGTTTCAGTTTTGGTGTCATGTTTGAGAAATAGTTGCCTCTTCTAAGCTCATGAAGATATTGTCCTATATTTCTTATAGAAACTTGATTTTCTCAGCTTTCCTAAAGTAGGGGGCCAAGGTTTCTTGTTTTTGTTTTCCATGTACCTTTTCCCACTGAATTGCAGTGGAGTTCCCTCTCTCCCCATTAGGGTGTGGGAGACTTGTGGGTCTGTTTCTGGACTCCTCTTCCTATTGGATTGGTCTGCTCCATATTCTAGTACCAGTACTGCACTGTCTTAATTTCTGTAGTTTTCTAATAGGCTTTATATCTCATGGTTTAAAATATATGAGCTTTGTTCTACTTCCTTACGTCCTTGGACATTCTAGGCTCTCTGCATTTCCGTATGAATTTTAGAAACAGCTTGTCTGCTTTGAGGGAGCCTAGCCAATGGGGGAAAAAGAGAAGAATCGGCTTGTTAGTTTCTACCCCCCCACCCCGCCCAACCCCCAACACAACAACAGAAAACCAAGGGAGTTTTAGTGGGATTACATTGAATTGCATTGAATCTATAGACCAATTCTGGGAGAACTGACATCTTAACAACATTGAGTTTTCCAGTCAAGGAACAGACACATCCTGTTTACTTAAGTATTTCAAACATTTTCTTATTAATGTTTTGCAGTTTTTTGTATAAAAGTCTTACACATTTCTCATTAGATTTATTTATAAGTGATTTATGTTTTGATGTTATGGCAAATGGTAATTTATATTTTCTACTTGTTTGTTGCCTTTATATAGAAATACCACCAACTTTTGTATAGTGCCCTTGATAAATTCTTTTACTAATAGTCTGTTTCTAGGTTTATTTGAATCTTACTAGCTTTTCTCATTTGTTTTGTTAATGTGATTAATCACATTCACTTTTAAATGTTAAACTAGCCTTTTATTCCTGGAATAAACTACCCTTGTTCGAGATGTATTACTTTTTTAAATATGTGCTTGCATTTTATTTACTTAAGTTTTCTCATGTGTTCATGAAATATATTAGCTTGTGGTTTCCTTTTTTAAAATAATGCACTCATAGGTTTAGAAATAAAAATTCCGATGATCTCATAAAATGTGTTGAAATGTATTTCTTTTTATTCTCTCTGTCTTTAAGAGTTTGGATAAGATTGGTTTTAGTTTTTTCATAAATGTGAAGGAGAATTCACTAATAAAGCCATCTCACAGTTTTCTTTGTGGGAAGTTTTTTTTTTTTTTGTAAATTAAAAACAACTATTATTATTACAAATTCAATATCATTCACATCTTTCATTTCATCCTGTGCCAGTGATGGTATATTGGAATTTTGAGGATTTTTTTTCTCCATGTAATCTAATGTTTTGACACAAAATTTTTTAAATTTATGGGCATGAAGTTTTTCATAATGTCTTTTTATTATCTTTTTAATATTTCTAAGGTCTATGTGATTTCTCCTTGTCTATGCCTGATACTGATAAATTGAATTTTCTCATTTTTCTTCCCTTGATTAGTCTACCTAGGGACTTATTAATTTTAGTAAATTTATCTAAGAAGCAACTTTGACTACATTGACTTCTTATGTTATACCTTATTGATTTCTGCTATTATATTTATTATTTACTTCTCTTATCCTTGGGTTTAATTAACTGTTCTTTTCCTCGTTTATTGAGATGGAGGCTTAACTTAGTGATTTTCAATCTTTTCCTTTCACCTAATATATGCATTTGAAGCTATTAATATTCCCCAAAGCACCTTTTGGTGTATACAACAAGTTTGGTTTATTGTCTTTTCTTTATCTTTCAGCTCAAAATAGTTTCTATTTTTTCATTGTGATTTCTTCTTTAACTCATGGGTAATTTGAAATGTGTTGCTTTTCTAGCTTCTATTTATCTTTCTCTTACTGAGCACTCAATTCCATAGTGGCGACAGAACATGCAATATATGATCTAAATAATTTGAGATTTGTCAACTTGTTATATGAGCCTAGGATATGCCTCTGTCTTGTGGTCTATGGTAAATGTCTTATGTGCAATTTATATATGGATATATAGATACACAGGTGTGTTGAAAGTTTCCCAATTTCCATGTGTGATGATTAGCTATGTGTTAACTTGACTGGGCCACATGATGCCCAGATAGTTGGTTAAACACTATTTCTGGGTATATCTGTGAGGGTGTTTCTGGGTGAGATTCACATTTGAAGGGGTAGACTGAGGAAAGAAGATTGCTGTCTCTATTTTGAGTGGGCCTCACCCAATTTGTCAAAGGCCTGAATAGAATAAAAGGCTAAGTAAGAAAGAGTTCTTTCTCTGCTTGTCTTCAGTCTGGGACACTGGTCTTCTCCTGCCTTTGACTCAGACTCAAGACTGGAACTGATACCATCAGCTCTTCTGGGTCTGAACTTCTCAGCCTCCAGTGTTGCATGAGTATTCTTTATAATAAATCCCTTTTTTTCTCTGCACACACACACACACACACACACACACACACACACCCTATTTGCTCTGTTACTCCCTGACTAATATATCTTTCATATTTAAAAAAATGTTATTCAACTAAGTCCTAGTCAGCTAACTCCCAAATATGGATCTTCTAGATCACTATTTCTATTGGTTATTTGTTCTCTTAATTATCTATAACATTTTCCTTTTTTATGTGCCTCATAATTTTTTTTGCAGACATTGTAGATTATAAGTTTGGGAGGTTCTTCCTCTAAAGATTTGTTAAATTATTTTCTGGTGGACAACTCATTTACTTGTGGATTACTTGATCCTGTCAAAGTCTGGTTTTCTGGGTAGCATTACTTTCAGCTTTGCTGTTAGTGCTACAGCACAGCCCTTATACTAAGGTGTAGTCTTTATGTTATAGGATCTTTGGGGTGTTGCTTTTCTGACTGGAAACCTGTGGCCAGTGGTGCCTTTGCTTGAGTTTACTCGATCCTGCGGGGCTTGCTCTGTCCACTCAGCCTGGCAGGTGGTGCTCAGCTCACACTACCAGCCTGGATCCCATGACTGCCAAGGGAGACTGTGTGGAGCAGCAAGGGCTGTGTGAGTGAGCCTGGTGTCCAGCCACTGTGCAGTCAGACATGCTGGCTGCTGCAGCGGGGAGGGCAGCTCCAGGTGCTGGCCCTCTGCAAGGCTGCGGCTGGACCAGGTGCACCACAGGCAGCTTCTACAGCTGGCACCAGGGAACATGGGTATGCCTGGAAGCTTGGAGACACCAGGAACCACAGAGCTCTGAAGAGGAAGTCACAGACCTGGCTCAGACGGTTCCCAGGTCTGGGCTCCCTGAAGGGCTGCAGCTCTTCTCTCCTTCTCTTTGCCTGCAATGTGGTGATCTAGGGGCATGTTTCAGCCCTGTTTGTCTTATAGCTCTTTCAGCCCCACTACTCGACAGGTCCCAAGTTCTTCTCCTGTGACCAGGAAGAATGAGGTACACAGAAAAGTGGAGGGTGAGCAAGATAAAGAGGAACTTTATTGAGCAATAGGGTAGTTCCTTTCCACAACCAGAGTGTCCTGACAAGTGTTTAGCTCTTAGCAGAGAGGAGACCCTGAAGTGGGAAGCTCCTCTCTGCAGGCAGGTGATCCCATTGTCTGCCTAGCTCTCAGCAGTGTGGCGGCCCTGGAGTGGGTTGCTTCTCTCTGCAGCTGGTTGTCCTGATGTCTGCTCTGCTCTGGCTGATCTCAGGGCTTTTATGGGCCTCAGAGGGGAGGAAGTGTGTGCCGATTGGTCCATGGGTGGCCATGGGTAAGCCTGGAGAAGGCACCACAAGTTCCCACTCTGGTCTGCAGGACTGGCAGCCTGGTCCTCAGCCTTCAGACCCTCCCTGGCCTGAAGGTGGGGCCTCACCAGGAACCTGCCCACTTTGTTGCTCAATGAAGCTCCTCCTCTTTTCAGGGTAGAATTATTGATTGAGTTATATATATATAAGTTATAAGTTATATGATATATATTATATATAATATATATATATATATATATAAAACTCAATAATTCTATCCTTAAGGAGTGGGGAGTGCAGGAGGGGGACTGGTGGGCAGAGGGCTGTGGTTCCTAAATCTCCAGTTCAAGAAAAAGGCAAAGAGCCCTTGAGTCTTCTACAGTATTTCATGGTGGATGAAAAAGAAAGATTTCTCAGAATTACCTCAGAACATGAAGACAATGATAATAGCAACAATAGTAGTAATCATAGCAGTATCAATGGTAAAAATGTCCTCTCTGGGTCTACTTTAATCATTTATAAAACAATGAGAATAAACTAAATAATCCTTAACTTCAACTTAGCTCTGAAGATCCATTGTTTCTCATTTTTCTTTTCTTTTTCTCAAAAAGAGGAGCATAGAGGTGGTTTAGTGATCTTATGTTAATCCCTTAGTATTCACCAGTCATTTGTGAACATGTCCAGTGTGAAAGATGTCGTTCTTGATGCCTGGAAGACAGAGGTGAATGAAGTTATCTTGTTTCTGGTTCTCATGGAGCTTTATATGTATCGCAATAATTATATTCTTCAGGACTGGGATGAGTGTGACTAATTATTCATAACATGTAATTTATAAATTCTAGGCTGAATGAATTGCTATCGTTTTGGTCATGAGGTCAAGATACTTAAAAATCAATTTGATATGTGAACATATTTTCCTAACTTTGGTGCAATTAAGAATGCTAGAAATAAAAAGGACTTTGGAGATCATTTTTATTCAACCTATCTGATGTTACAGGTAAGGACAGAGTTCTCTTTTTCAGTCTGGGTATTTTCACCAAGCATGGGGTCTCTGAGCTTCATTGGTGTTGCACGTATTAGCAGCATATTCCCTTTGATGGCTAATTAAATATGTAGGTATTTACCATGATTTGTTTATCCCTTGACTCATCTATCAACACTGGGACTGTTTCTGGGTCTTGGCTATTGTGAGTAAGTTCTCTATGAAACTGTTTAAAAAAAAATTAGTTCTAGGGAAATGAAGGAGTAATAGAACCAGAGTTCAGGCTTGGTAATTACCAGCTCTTCCCACTGGGAGGCAGCACATGTAAAAGTCAGAGCTTGGCCTCTGGAGTCAGGCCCTAATTTGATTGTTAGTTTTGCCACGATCTGTGTGATCCGGGGCAAGCGACTTAACTTCACCAAGCTTTAGTTTTCTTATCTGTAAAATAATAATAGTATCTTTGCTTTAGACCTGTTATGAGGATTAAAATGAAATAAGATATACTGTACTGCATTTAGAGGAGAATTTGGCATAAAATAAAGACTTAGTAGCTGTCAGGCCTCTGAGCCCAAGCCAAGCCATTGCATCCCCTGTGACCTGCATGTATACGCCCAGATGGCCTAAAGTAACTAAAGAATCACAAAAGAAGTGAATATGCCCTGCCCCACCTTAACTGATGACATTCCACCACAAAAGAAGTGTAAATGGCTGGTCCTTGCCTTAACTGATGACATTACCTTGTGAAAGTCCTTTTCCTGGCTCATCCTGGCTCAAAAAGCACCCCCACTGAGCACCTTGCGACCCCCACTCCTGCCCACTGAGCACCTTGCGACCCCCACTCCTGCCCGCCAGAGAACAAACCCTCTTTGACTGTAATTTTCCTTTACCTTCCCAGAATCCTATAAAATGGCCCCACCATTATCTCCCTTCACTGACCCTCTTTTCGGACTCAGCCCGCCTGCACCCAGGTGATTAAAAGCTTTATTGCTCACACAAAGTCTGTTTGGTGGTCTCTTCACACGGACGCGCACGAAATTTGGTACCGTGACTCGGATTGGGGGACCTCCCTTGGGAGATCAATCCCCTGTCCTCCTGCTCTTTGCTCCGTGAGAAAGATCCACCTATGACCTCAGGTCCTCAGACCGACCAGCCCAAGAAACATCTCACCAATTTCAAATCCGGTAAGCGGCCTCTTTTTACTCTCTTCTCCAACCTCCCTCACTATCCCTCAACCTCTTTCTCCTTTCAATCTTGGCGCCACACTTCAGTCTCTCCCTTCTCTTAATTTCAATTCCTTTCATTTTCTGGTAGAGACAAAAGAGACATGTTTTATCCATGAACCCAAAACTCCGGCGCCGGTCACGGACTGGGAAGGCAGCCTTCCCTTGGTGTTTAATCATTGCAGGGATGCCTCTCTGATTATACACTCATGTTTCAAGGGTGTCAGACCACACAGGGACGCCTGCCTTGGTCCTTCACCCTTAGTGGCAAGTCCCGCTTTCCTGGGGCAGGGGCAAGTACCCCTCAACCCCTTCTCCTTCACCCTTAGCGGCAAGTCCCACTTTCCTGGGACAGGGGCAAGTACCTCTCAACCCCTTCTCCTTCAGCCTTAGCGGCAAGTCCCGCTTTTCTATGGGGCAAGAACCCCCAGTCCCTTATTTCCACACCCCAACCTCTTATCTCTGCACCCAATCCCTTATTTCCGTGCCCCAACCTCATATCTCTGCGCCCCAATCCCTTATTTCCGTGCCCTGACCTCTTATCTCTGCGCCCCAACCCCTTTTCCCACTTTTCTGGCAGGTAAGAACCCCTGAACCCCTTCCCTCCGTTTCTCTACTCTCTTTTCTCTAGGCTTCCTTCCTTCACTATGGGCAACCTTCCACCCTCCATTCCTCCTTCTACTCCCTTGGCCTGTGTTCTCAAAAACTTAAAACCTCTTCAACTCACACCTGACCTAAAACCTAAATGCCTTATTTTCTTCTGCAATGCCGCTTGACCCCAATACAAACTCGACAGTAGTTCCAAATAGCCAGAAAATGGCACTTTGAATTTTTCCATCCTGCAAGATCTAAATAATTATTGTCATAAAATAGGCAAACGGTCTGAGGTGCCTGATGTCCAGGCATTCTTTTACACATCAGTCCCGTCCTAGTCTCTGTGCCCAGTGCAACTCGTCCCAAATCTTCCTTCTTTCCCTCCCGCCTGTCCCCTCAGTACCAACCCCAAGCGTCGCTGAGTCTTTATAATCTTCCTTTTCTACAGACCCATCTGACCTCTCCCTTCCTCCCCAGCCTGCTCCTCGCCAGGCCGAGCTAGGTCCCAATTCTTCCTCAGCCTCCGCTCCTTCACCCTATAATCTTTTTATCACCTCCCCTCCTCACACCTGGTCCGACTTACAGTTTCGTTCCGTGACTCGCCCTCCCCCACCTGCCCAGCAATTTACTCTTAAAAAGGTGGCTGGAGCCAAAGGCATAGTCAAGGTTATTGCTCCTTTTTCTTTATCCCAAATCAGATAGCGTTTAGGCTCTTTTTCATCAAATATAAAAACCCAGCCCAGTTCATGGCTCGTTCGGCAGCAACCCTGAGACGCTTTACAGCCCTAGACCCTAAAAGGTCAAAAGGCCATCTTATTCTCAATATACATTTTATTACCCAATCTGCTCCCGACATTAAATAAAACTCCAAAAATTAAGTTCCGGCCCTCAAACCCCACAACAGGATTTAATTAACCTCGCCTTCAAGGTGTACAGTAATAGAAAAAAGTTGCAATTCCTTGCCTCCACTGTGAGACAAACCCCAGCCGCATCTCTAGCACACAAGAACTTCCAAACGCCTGAACCTCAGCGGCCAGGCATTCCTCCAGAACCTCCTCCCCCAGGAACTTGTTACAAGTGCCAGAAATCTGACCACCAGGCCAAGGAATGCCTGCGGCCCAGGATTCCTCCTAAGCCATGTCCCATCTGTGCGGGACCCCACTGGAAATCGGACTGTTCAACTCACCTGGCAGCCACTCCCAGAGCCCCTGGAACTCTGGCCCAAGGCTCTCTGACTGACTCCTTCTCCGCTTAGCGGCTGAAGACTGACGCTGCCCGATCACCTTGGAAGCCCCATAGACCATCATGGACGCCGAGCTTTGGGTAACTCTCACAGTGGAAGGTAAGTCAGTCCCCTTCTTAATCAATACAGAGGCTACCCACTCCACATTACCTTCTTTTCAAGGGCCTGTTTCCCTTGCCTCCATAACTGTTGTGGGTATTGACGGCCAGGCTTCTAAACCTCTTAAAACTCCCCAACTCTGGTGCCAACGTAGACAATACTCTTTTAAGCACTCCTTTTTAGTTATCCCCACCTGCCCAGTTCCCTTATTAGGCTGAGACACTTTAACTAAATTATCTGCTTCCCTGACTATTCCTGGACTACAGCTATATCTCATTGCCGCCCTTCTTCCCAATCCAAAGCCTCCTTTGCGTCCTCCTCTTGTATCCCCCCAACCTTAACCCACAAGTATAAGATACCTCTACTCCCTCCTTGGCGACTGATCATGAACCCCTTACCATCTCATTAAAACCTAATCACCCTTACCCCACTCAACGCCAGTATCCCATCCCGCAGCACACTTTAAAAAGATTAAAGCCTGTTATCACTCGCCTGCTACAGCATGGCCTTTTAAAACCTATAAATTCTCCTTACAATTCCCCCATTTTACCTGTCCTAAAACCAGACAAACCTTACAAGTTAGTTCAGGATCTGCGCCTTATCAACCAAATTGTTTTGCCTATCCACCCCATGGTGCCCAACCCATATACTCTCCTATCCTCAATATCTGTCTCTACAACCCATTATTCTGTTCTAGATCTCAAACATGTTTCTTTACTATTCCTTTGCACCCTTAATCCCAGCCTCTCTTCGCTTTCACTTGGACTGACCCTGACACCCATCAAGCTCAGCAAATTACCTGGGCTGTACTGCCGCAGAGCTTCACAGACAGCCCCCATTACTTCAATCAAGCCCAAATTTCTTCCTCATCTGTTACCTATCTCGGCATAATTCTCATAAAAACACACGTGCTCTCCCTGCCAATCATGTTCGACTGATCTCTCAAACCCAAGCACCTTCTACAAAACAACAACTCCTTTCCTTCCTAGGCATGGTTAGTGTGGTCAGAATTCTTACACAAGAGCCAGGACCACACCCTGTAGCCTTTCTGTCCAAACAACTTGACCTTACTGTTTTAGCCTAGCCCTCATGTCTGCGTGCAGCAGCTGCCGCTGCTTTAATACTTTTAGAGGCCCTCAAAATCACAAACTATTCTCAACTCACTCTCTACAGTTCTCATAACTTCCAAAATCTATTTTCTTCCTCATACCTGACGCATATACTTTCTGCTTCCTGGCTCCTTCAGCTATACTCACTCTTTGTTGAGTCTCCCACAATTACCGTTGTTCCTGGCCCAGACCTCAATCCGGCCTCCCACATTATTCCTGATACCGCACCTGACCCCCATGACTGTATCTCTCTGATCCACCTGACATTCACCCCATTTCCCCACATTTCCTTCTTTCCTGTTCCTCACCCTGATCACGCTTGATTTATTGATGGCGGTTCCACCAGGCCTAATCGCCACACACCAGCAAAGGCAGGTTATGCTATAGTACAAGCCACTAGCCCGCCTCTTAGAACCTCTCATTTCCTTTCCATCGTGGAAATCTATCCTCAAGGAAATAACTTCTCAGTGTTCCACCTGCTATTCTACTACTCCTCAGGGATTATTCAGGCCCCCCTCCCTTCCCTACACATCAAGCTCGAGGATTTGCCCCACCCAGGACTGGCAAATTAGCTTCACTCAACATGCCCTGAGTCAGATAACTAAAATACCTCTTAGTCTAGGTAGATACTTCCACTGGATAGGTAGAGGCCTTTCCTACAGGGTCTGAGAAGGCCACTGCAGTCATTTCTTCTGTTCTGTCAGACATAATTCCTCAGTTTAGCCTTCCCACCTCAATATAGTCTGATAACAGATGAGCCTTTATTAGTCAAATCAGCCAAGCAGTTTTTCAGGCTCTTAGTATTCAGTGAAACCTTTATATCCCTTATGGTCCTCCGTCTTCAAGAAAAGTAGAATGGACTAAAGGTCTTTTAAAAACACACCTCATCAAGCTCAGCCACCAACTTAAAAAGGACTGGACAATACTTTTACCACTTTCCCTTCTCAGAATTCAGGCCTGTCTTCGGAATGCTACAGGGTACAGCCCATTTGAGCTCCTGTATAGACGCTCCTTTTTATTAGGCCCCAGTCTCATTCCAGACACCAGACCAACTTAGACTGTGCCCCAAAAAACTTGTCATCCCTACTATCTTCTGTCTAGTCATACTCCTATTCACCGTTCTCAACTACTCATACATGCCCTGCTGTTGTTTACACTGCCGGTTTACACTGTTTTTCCAAGCCATCACAGCTGATATCTCCTGGTGCTATCCCCAAACTGCCACTCTTAACTCTTGAAGTAAATAAATAATCTTTGCTGGCAGGACTATGCTGAATCTCCTTAGGCACTCTCTAATCAGATATCCTGAGTCGTCCCAATTCTTAGACCTTTTATACCTGTTTTTCTCCTTCTGTTATTCCATTTAGTTTCTCAATTCATCCAAAACCGTATCTAGGCCATCACCAATCATTCTATACGACAAATGTTTCTTCTAACATCCCCACAATATCACCCCTTACCACAAGACCTCCCTTCAGCTTAATCTCTCCCACTCTAGGTTTCCACGCCGCCCCTAATCCCGCTTGAAGCAGCCCTGAGAAACATCGTCCATTCTCTCTCCATACCACCCCCCAAAAATTTTCGCCGCCCCAACACTTCAACACTATTTTATTTTTCTTATTAAGAAGGCAGGAATGTCAGGCCTCTGAGCCCAAGCCAAGCCATTGCATCCCCTGTGACCTGCACTTATACGCCCAGATGGCCTGAAGTAACTAAAGAATCACAAAAGAAATGAATATGCCCTGCCCCACCTTAACTGATGACATTCCACCACAAAAGAAGTGTAAATGGCTGGTCCTTGCCTTAACTGATGACATTACCTTGTGAAAGTCCTTTTCCTGGCTCATCCTGGCTCAAAAAGCACCCCCACTGAGCACCTTGAGACCCCCACTCCTGCCCACTGAGCACCTTGCGACCCCCACTCCTGCCCGCCAGAGAACAAACCCTCTTTGATTGTAATTTTCCTTTACCTTCCCCAAATCCTATAAAATGGCCCCACCCTTATCTCCCTTCACTGACTCTCTTTTCGGACTCAGCCCACCTGCACCCAGGTGATTAAAAGCTTTATTGCTCACACAAAGCCTGTTTGGTTGTCTCTTCACAAGGACGGGCATGAAAGTAGCCTTGTTATTTTACTCCCAGTACCTTTTTTTTTTTTTTTTTTTTTGAGACGGAGTCTCTCTCTGTCGCTCAGGCTGGAGTGCAGTGTTGTGATCTCGGCTCACTGCAAGCTCCGCCTCCCAGGTTCACGCCATTCTCCTGCCTCAGCCTCCCGAGTAGATGGGACTACAGGCGCCCGCCACTACGCCTGGCTAATTTTTTTTTTTTTGTATTTTTAGTAGACACGGGCTTTCACCGTGTTAGCCAGGATGGTCTGATTCTGCTGAACTCATGATCCACTCGCCTCGGCCTCCCAAAGTGCTGGGATTACAGGCGTGAGCCACCGCGCCCGGCCATTACTCCCAGTACCTTTTAAATGTAATTATTTTAATTTTCATGCTAATTACTTATTTTTTGAATAATGTGTACATTTGCATTATATGTACTATATATGTCCCACACACACATGCTTCTTCCTTGTCTATAATTTTGCATCTCAACTACTTTTCATTTTGAGAATTCCAAATTTTTTCTGCTTTTTTGCTTGAATCCTAAGAAAAATTGCACCTCTTTCCTGGTAATAATTCTGGCAATAATTCAGGCATGACAATTAGAGAACCTAGTGAGGCTTGACGGTGGCACCCCGTGACCAAGCACCTCCCCAGAACAGGAGACCTAACAATTTGTCACGGGGGCTATTTTCAGTTTCTATGAAGAACACATTGGCCAGGCTACCTTACCTGTATGTCTGTGTATTAAGAAGTGGGGGAGGGCAGATGGAGTTGGGGAAGATGGGACTTTTGTGGGCAGGTAGATTGGATGTGGGGGAAGTTTCAGTGCTGATGGTAAACAGTTCAAAGACAACTCAGATGTTCCAATCAACCTTGGTCCCCAGTTCAAGACTGCTCATCTGTGCATATGCTGCTTGTCATTTGTTCAACGAATTCTGAGTTTGAACTCTGCCTAATTGTGCATGAACCCTCAGGGTAGACAGTGGTGGAAAAGATGACTCAGCCTCTCCTTGGTCACCCGCTGTAAATGTCACCCAGAGAAAGCGTGGGAGACTATGTGGTGTTTATTTCTTAAATATTGACTTTAGTTTTGACTCTAGTTAAAGTTCTTGTCTTTGTTAACTCTCTTTCCTTCTAACCTTATTAACTACCTTAAATCTTTTTTTGAATCAAAGTGGCGATGCAAGTAAAATAAGCCCTTATTAAATAGTCTGTGTGATTTTAATATCCATCAATTACTAAAGACATGTATGACAAAAAGAGTGAATCATACAATGTTGCTAGTGGAGCACTTTTGACTGTGATGCATGGTTTTATTTTCTATAATGACAAAAGGAAATGAAAATATTTGGCAAATAAGGAGAATTGAAGGGGGAACATTCATCTCACAATATTTATATTCTCTGTGCTATTTTCAGACTTCATGTCTTTGTCATTGGTTCTAGTTTGCTCCATTATTAATACCACCATCTGTAAGATTCTAGCTCTCTTGGCATTTCTTCTGTTCAAGAGTCTTGTGATCTCAGTCTATGAAATAAAAACAAATAGGGGATGTTTGAGTTGGGACCAGAAAGTAAATTCATTTCTGCTTATTTAAAGGGGTGCCTTGTGCATTCTCTGCTGCACCTCTTTCTCTTTCTATTTTACAATGTGTACTGATCTAAGGGAACACATTATTCTCTTCCTACATGATTTCTGGAATACAGAACATTGGTTCAAAAGAAAAGATGTGACAGTAGGGCATGATTACAACTCTAAAGAAAACTTTGCAGGAAGGAAATAAAATGGGAAATGCTAATAGAGCCTATTCATTTCTGAGAAATGAGTTAGAATACATTTTGGCTGCAGGAGAAGAGTTGTTTATTGTTCCACATTTATCAAAAGTGACAGGATGGAAGCTGTATTAGGCCATTCTTGCACTGCTATAAACATCTGAGACTGGGTAATTTATTAAAAAAGGAGGCTTAATTGGCTCATGATTCTGCAGGCTTTAGAGGAAGCATGGTGCTGGCATCTGCTTGCCTTCTGGGGAGGACTCTGGAAGCTTACAATCATGGCAGAAAGGGAAGGGGGAGCAGGCACGTTACATGGTGAAAGCAGGAGCAAGACAGAGGGGAATGGGGGGTGATGGATCCTTTTTTTTTTTTATTTGAGACAGAGTCTCACTCGGTTGCCCAGGCTGGAGTGCACTGGTGCAATCTTGCCTCACTGCAACCTCTGCCTCCTGGGTTCAAGCAATTCTCCTGCCTCAGCCTCTGGAGTAGCTGGGATTACAGCTGCCTGCCACCATGCCTGGCTAATTTTTTTGTATTTGTTTTTAGTTGAGACGGGGTTTCACCATGTTGGCCAGGCTGGTCTTGAACTCCTGACCTCAGGTGATCCACCTGCCTCAGCCTCCCAAAGTGCTGGGATTACAGGTGTGAGCCACCATGTTTGGCCCCGGTGCCACACACTTTTAAACGACCAGATCTGGCAAGAACTCACTCACTCTTGCAAAGACAGCATCAAGCCATGAGGGATCCGCCCCCACAACCCAATCACCTCCCACTAGGACCCACCTCCATCATTGGGAATTACAGTTCAACATGGGATTTGGGCAGGGACAAATATCCAAACTATATAAGGAGCCAAGCAGAGTGGTGGACTGTAAAATGTGCATGAATGAAAAGGAAAAACAGACAAAATAGGGAAATCCAAATGAACAAAATTTGCACTGGAAAGTTAACCAACAGCCTCTACATAAAGTCAAGAAGCAGAGCATGCTTACTGGCCATGGAATCCTCACATGGGTTGCTGGTTTCTCAGCAGGGTGCTGGACTCTAAGTGCCAGTCATCCAGTCAGTAACACTGCTAGACCCTGATTGCTGAGTTGGCTCTTGAATGGTCTCTTCAATGGAGAAGGTAAATGGTCTTCCTCTAGTTACTTCATTTGCAGTTAGCTCTATAACCAAGGGCAATCCTCCATTAAGTGTTGGCTAGTTCCTTGACTAGGTGGAATAGTTATTTCTTCTGTAAGTATTGGACTTGGACTTGTGTTTCTCAGGTGGCAAAGTTGGAGATAGCTCTGGAAAACAAGACCTACGGCAAATGAAATGCGGCTCTATATAAGATTGCTTTCATCTTTCTGTTGAGTTTGCCCCATTTTTAAATCAAGGCAATTAATAATAAAAAGGGGATAAAGACTCAAGTTATCTTAGGAAAAATTTATTTCCACATAAAAATCATGCCTAGATCACAGTGATTCAGTTTATGTAAGCTCTCCCATTCCCTTCTATGAGAATTGCTGTTGGCCTCCAAATGTTAATACACAAATGATCAGATAATCAGGCCTGGAATTTACCAGATTCACATATCTTAAGGCATCTGATACATTAAATCCAGACACTATCTTTCCATAAAACCAGCATTTGTATTTGAATGTGTCCTAGGAAGGAAAATGATCCTTTCTATGTCTGGAGATCAACAGAAATACATAATAGTCAACCCAACACAGATAAATTCCTAAAACTTTTACTTTTCCATGCTCAAATATGTTCAGACAGTGGTTTAGATGACTGAAGAGTTCTATGCTTAGCCAGAAATGGGTCTGCGGCAAACCAGCAATGGAAAATAAACACTTTTCATTAAGGAAGACACAAAATCATACTGAACACATTTTCTTAAGTTAAAAAGTATAGAACAACAAGTTATCCACTTCAGAATCAACATAGCAAAATACAAGCCAATAAAGAGAGAAAAGGATTGCAATTACCTTGCCATTTTATTAATTCCATCCAAATCACAGCTTTTAGGCCTGAAAGGTTCAAAATATCCCTCAGTGTCTTGTCAAGTTATCTTAAGCATGAGGGATAGAAAGGAACCAAGGCACCAGCTGCCTGCTAAGTCAGTTGGTCAAATTTAAAGAGACTCAGTCCTTTGGTATTAGTATTCTCCACCCATCATGATATGTTGTTGCAAACATGAATAGATCTTGTAAGTGAAAGTTAGAGTCCTCCAGTTCGATCACCACAGAAAAATCTCGATGTTTCAGTTCATTCCCACGGGGAAGATCTTGGGTGAAGTGGGGGCTGGAGGGGTGACTGGCAAGATAGCAATGACAGAGAAGGTCAGGAGATGGGATGGGCTGGAGGATCAGGGTGACCTCTCAGGGGGCTTCTGCTGGAGGCCCTGGGCCAAGGAATTCCACTCTGATGGCACAAGCTGAGCTTTCTTAAAGTCAGCAGGAGCTGGCTGTGAAATAGACCTGACTGCATTCTGGCACAGGGAAGTTCTCTTTCTCCTTCTTTATTCAGACCAGTGATAAGTGGGGCATAATTTAAAGATAGCTGGAACTCATTTTAAACTATATATTTTTTCTTTCTTTTTTTTTTGAGATGGGGTCTTGCTCTGTTGCCTAGGCTGGAGTGCAGTGGCACGATCATAGCTCAGTGCAGCCTTGAACTCCCAGCTCAAGTGACCCTCTGCCTCAGCCTCCTGAGTAGCTGGGAATACAGATGTGTGCCACTACCACACCTGGCTAAATTTTTAATTTTTTGTAGAGAAGGGGTCTCATTGTGTTGCTCAGGCTGGTCTTGAACTCCTGGGCTCAAGCAATTCTCCTGCCTTGGCCTCCTGCTGGGATCTCCTGCTGGGATTATAAGCATGAGCCGCTGCACTCAGTTTTTTTTTCTTTAAAAACTGATTCAGAGATGCCCAGGCAAGATGGCCGAATAGCAACAGCTCTGGTCTGCAGCTCCCAGCTAGACCAACGCAGAAGGTGGGTGATTTCTGCATTTCCAACTGAGGTACTTGGCTCATCTCATTGGGACTAGTTAGACAGTGGGTGCAGTGCACGGAAGGCAAGCTGAAGAAGCGGGGGGTGTCACCTCACTTGGGAAGCACAAGGGGTCAGGCAACTCCCTACCTAGCCAAGGGAAGCCATGAGGGACCTTGCCATGAGGGACAGTGCTATCTGGCTCAGATACTATGCTTTTCCCATGTTCTTCACAACCCACAGACCAGGAGATTCCCTTGGGTGCCTACACCACAGGGGCCCTGGGTTTCAAGCACAAAATGGGGTGGCTGTTTGGGCAAACACTGAGCTAGCTGCAGGAGTTTTTTTTCATACCCTGGTGGCACCTGGAACGTTAGTGAGACAGAACCATTCACTCCCCTGGAAAGGGGGCTGAAGCCAGGGAGCCAAGTGGTCTTGCTCAGCAGATCCCACCCCCACAGAGCCCAGCAAGCTAAGATCCACTGGCTTAAAATTCTTGCTGCCAGCACAGCAGTCTGAAGTCTACCTGGGACACTCCAGCTTGGTGTGGGGAGGGCATCCACCATGACTGAGGCTTGAGTAGGCAGTTTTCCCCTCACAGTGTAAACAAAGCCACCAGGAAGTTCAGACTGGGTGTAGCCCACTGCAGCTAGCAAAGCCACTGTAGCCAGACTGCCTGTCTAGATTCCTCCTCTCTGGGCAGGGCATCTCTTAAAGAAAGGTAGCAGCCCTAGTCAGGGGCTTATAGATAAAACTCCCGTCTCCCTGGGAGAGAGCACCTGGGGGAAGGGGTGGCTGTGGGTGCAACATCAGCAGACTTAAATGTTCCTGCCTGCCAGCTCTGAAGAGAACAGCAGATCTCCCAGCACAGTGCTCGAGCTCTGCTAGGGACAGACTGCCTGCTCAAGTGGGTCCCTGACCCTCATGCCTCCTGATGGGGAGACACCTCCCAGCAGGGGTCAACAGACACCTCATACAGCAGAGCTCCAGCTGGCATGTGGCAGGTGCCCCTCTGGGACGAAGCTTCCAGAGGAAGGAGCAGGCAGCAATTTTTGCTGTTCTGCAGCCTTCACTGGTGATACCCAGGCAAATAGGGTCTGGAGTGAATCCCCAGCAAACTCCAGCAGACTGGCAGAAGAGGGGCCTGACTGTTAGAATGAAAACTAACAAACAAAAAGCAATAGCATCAACATCAACAAAAAGGAAGACCACGCAAAAACTCCATCCGAAGGTCACCAACACCAAAGACCAAAGGTAGATAAATCCATGAAGATGAGGAAAAACCAGCATAAAAAGGCTGAAAATTCGAAAAACCAGAATGTCTCTTCTCCTCCAAAGGATCACAACTCCTTGCCAGCAAGGGAACAAAACTGGACAGATAATGAGTTTGACGAATTGACAGAAGTAGGCTTCAGAAGCTGGGTAATAACAAACTCCTCTGAGCTAAAGGAGCATGTTCTAACCCAATGCCAGGAAGCTAAAAACCTTGATAAAAGTTTAGAGGAATTGGTACCCAGAATAACCAGTTTAGAGAACAACATAAATGACCTGATGGAGGTGAAAAACACAGCACGAGAACTTCATGAAGCATACACAAGTATCAATAGCCGAATTGATCAAGTGGAAGAAAAGACATCAGGGATTGAAGATCAACTTAATGAAATAAAACATGAAGACAAGATTAGAGAAAAAAGAATAAAAAGGAATGAAGAAAGCCTCCAAGAAACATGGGACTATGTGAAAAGACCAAACCTACGTTTGATTGGTATACCTGAAAGTGACAGGAAGAATGGAACCAAGTTGGAGAACACACTTCAGGATATTATCCAGGAGAGCTTCCCCAACCTAGCAGGGCAGGCCAATATTCAAATTCAGGAAATATAGAGTAGACCACAAAGATACTCCTCGATAAGAGCAACCCTAAGACACATAATCATCAGATTCACCAAGGTTGAAATGAAGGAAAAAATATTAAGGGCAGCCAGAGAGAAAGGTCGGGTTACCCACAAAGGGAAGCCCATCAGACTAACAGCTGATCTCTCTGCAGAAACCCTACAAGCCAGAAGAGAGTGGGGGCCAATATTCAACGTTCTTTTTTTTTTTTTTTTGAGACAGAATTTCACTCTTGTCACCCAGGCTGGAGTGCAATGGCATGATCTTGGCTCACTGCAACCTCCTCCTCCCGGGTTCAAATGATTCTCCTACCTCAGCCTCCCGAGTAGCTGGGATTACAGGCACATGCCACCATGCTCAACTAATTTTCGTATTTTTAGTAGACACGGGGTTTCACCATGTTGGCCAGGATGGTCTCAATCTCTGGACCTCATGATCTGCCCACCTCGGCCTCCCAAAGTGTTGGGATTATAGGCATAAGCCACTGGCCCGGCCTCAACATTCTTAAAGAAAATAATTTTCAACCGGGAATTTCATATACAGCCAAACTAAGCTTCATAAGTGAAGGAGAAATAAAATCCTCTACAGACAAGCAAATGCTGATGGATTTTGTCACCACCGGGCCTACCTTACAAGAGCTCCTGAAGGAAGCACTAAATATGGAAAGGAAAAACCAGTACCAGCCACTGCAAAAACAAACCAAAATGTAAAGACCATTGACACTGTGAAGAAACAGCATCAATTAATGGACAAAATAACCAGCTAGCATCATAATGACAGGATCAAATTCACACATAACAATATTAACCTTAAATGTAAATGGGCTAAATGTCCCAATTAAAAGGCACTGACTGGCAAATTGGATAAAGAGTCAAGACCCATCAGTGTGCTCTATTCAGACAACCCATCTCATGTGCAAAGACACACATAGGCTCAAAATAAAGGGATGGAGGAAGATTTACCAAGCAAATGGAAAGCAAAAAAAAAAAAAAAAAAAAAAAAAAAGCAGGGGTTGTAATCCTAGTCTCTGATAAAACAGACTTTAAACCAACAAAGATCAAAAGAGACAAAGAAGGCCATTACATAATGGTAAAGGGATCAATGCTACAAGAAGAGCTGGCTATCCTAAATATATATGCACCCAATTTAGGAGCACCCAGATTCATAAAGCAACTTCTTAGAGATCTACAAAGAGACTTAGACTCCCACACAATAATAATGGGAGAGTTTAACACCCCACTGTCAATATTAGACAGATCAATGAGACAAAAAATTAGCAAGGATATTCAGGACGTGAACTCAGCTCTGGACTAAGCGGACCTAAAAGACATCTACAAAACTCTCCACCCCAAATCAACAGAATATACATTCTTCTCAGTACCACATAGCACTTATTCTAAAATTGACCACATAATTGGAAGTAAAACATTCCTCTGCAAATGCAAAAGAACGGAAATCATAACAAACAGTCTCTCAGACCACAGTGCAATGAAATTAGAACTCAGGATTAAGAAACTCACTCAAAACCGCACAACTACATGGAAACTGAACAACCTCCTCCTAAATGTCTATTGGGTAAATAACGAAATTAAGGCAGAAATAAATAAATCTTTTGAAACCAATGAGAACAAAGACACAATGTACCAGAATCTCTGGGACACAGCTAAAGCAGTGTTTAGAGGGAAACTTATAGCACTAAATGTCCACAGGACAAAGCAGGAAAGATAAAAAATCGACACCCTAACATCACAATTGAAAGGACAAGAGAAACAAGAGCAAACAAATTCAAAAGCTAGCAGAAGACAAAAAATAAGATCAGAGCAGAAATGGAGGAGATAGAAACAGGAAAAACCCTTCAAAAAATTAATGAATCCAGGAGCTGGTTTATGAAAAGATCAACAGAATAGACTGCTAGCAAGACTAATAAAGAAGAAAAGAGAGAAGAACCAATAGATGCAATAAAAAATGATAAAGGGGATATCACCAACGATCCCACAGAAATACAAACCACCATCAGAGAATACTATAACACCTCTACACAAACAAACTAGAAAATCTAGAAGAAAGGGATAAATTTCTGGACACATACACCCTCCCAAGACTAAACCAGTAATAAGTTGAATCCCTGAATAGACCAATAACAAGTTCTGAAATTGAGGCAGTAATTAATAGCTTTCCAACCAAAAAAGCCCAGGACCAGGCAGATTCACAGCTGAATTCTATCAGAGGTACAAAGAGGAGCTGGTACCATTCCTTCTGAAGCTCTTCCAAACAATAGAAAAAGAGAAACTCCTCCCTAACTCATTTTATGAGGCCAGCATCATCCTGATTCCAAAACCTGGCAGAGACACAATGAAAAAAGAAAATTTCAGGCCAGTATCCCTGATGAACACCGATGTGAAAATCTTCAATAAAATACTAGCAAACCGAATCCAGCAGCACATTAAAAAGCTTATCCACCACGATCAAGTGGGCTTCGTCCCTGGGATGCAAGGCTGGTTCAACATATGCAAATCAATAAACATAATTCATCACATAAACAGAACCAATGACAAAGACCAAATGATTATCTCAATAGATGCAGAGAAGGCTTTCGATAAAATTCAACACCACTTCATGCTAAAAACACACAAGAAACTAGGTATTCGTGGAACATATCTTAAAATAATAACTATTTGTGACAAACCCACAGCCAATATCATACTGAGTGGGCAAAAACTGGAAGCATTCCCTTTGAAAACTGGCACAAGACAAGGATGCCCTCTGTCACCACTCCTATTCAACATAGTATTGGAAGTTCTGGCCAGGGCAGTCAGGCAAGAGAAAGAAACAAAGTGTATTCAAATAGGAAGGGAGGAAGTCAAATTATCTCTTTTTGCAAATGACATGATTGTATATTTAAAAAACCCCATCGTCTCAGCCCCAAAACTTCTTAAACTGATAAGCAACTTCAGCAAAGTCTCAGGATAGAAAATCAGTGTGCAAAAATCACAAGCATTCCTATACACCAATAATCGACAAACAGAGAGCCAAATCACAAGCAAACTCCCATTCACAATTGCTACAAAGAGAATAAAATAATTAGGAATACAATTTACAAGGAGAGCTACAAACTGCTGCTCAAGGAAATAAGAGAGGACACAAACAAATGAAAACACATTCCATGCTTATGGATAGGAACAATCAATATCATGAAAATGGCCATACTGCCCAAAGTAATTTATAGATTCAATACTATTCCTATCAAGCTACCATTGACTTTCTTCACAGAATTAGAAAAAAACGACTTTAAATTTCATATGGAACCAAAAAGAGCCCGTATAGCCAAGACAATCCTAAACAAAAAGAACAAAGCTGGAGGCATCATGCTACCTGGCTTCAAACTATACCACAAGGCTACAATAATCAAAACAGCCTGGCACTGGTACCAAAATAGATATATAGACCAATGGAACAGAACAGAGGCCTCAGAGATAACACCACACATCTACAACCATCTGATCTTTGACAAACCTGACAAAAACAGCAATGGGGAAAGGATTCCCTATTTAATAAATGGTGTTGGGAAAACTGGCTAGCCATATGCAGGAAACTGAAACTGTACCCCTTCCTTACACCTTATACATAAAATAAGATGGATTAAAGATTTAAACATAAGACCTAAAACCATAAAAACCCTAGAAGAAATCCTAGGCAATACTATTCAGGACATAGGCATGGGCAAAGACTTCATGATCTAAAACATCAAAAGCAATTGCAACAGAAGCCAAAACTGACAAATGAGATCTAATTAAACTAAAGAGCTTCTGCACAGCAAAAGAAACTATCATCAGAGTGAATAGGCAACCTACAAAATGGGAGAGAATTTTCACAATCTATCCATCTGACAAAGGGCTAATATCCAGAATCTACAAGGAACTTAAACACATTTACAAGAAAAAAACAACCCCATCAGACAGTGGGTGAAGGATATAAACAGACACTTTTCAAAAGAAGACATTTATGCAGCCAACAAACATATGAAAAAAAGTTCATCATCACTGGCCATTAGAGAAATGCGAATCAAAACCACAATGAGATACCATCTCACACCAGTTAGAATGGTGATCATTAAAAATTCAGGAAACAACAGATGCTGGAGAGCATGTGGAGAAATAGGAATGCTTTTACACTGTTGGTGGGAGTGTAAATTAGTTCAACCATTGGGGAAGACAGTGTGGTGATTCCTCAAGGATCTAGAACTAGAGATACCATTTGACCCAGCAATCCCATTACTGGGTATATACCCAAAGGATTATAAATCATGCTACTATAAATGCACATGCACACGTATGTTTATTGTAGCACTATTCACAATAGCAAAGACTTGGAACCAACCCAAATGCCCATCAATGTTAGACTGGATAAAGGAAATGTGGCACATATACACCATGTAATACTATGCAGCCATGAAAAAGAATGAGTTCATGTCCCTTGTAGGGACATGGATGAAGCTGGAAACCATCATTCTCAGCAAACTAACACAGGAACAGAAAACCAAACACTGCATGTTCTTACTCATAAGTGGGAGGTGAACAATGAGGACACATGGGAACAGGGAGGGGAACACCACACACGGGGGCCTTTCAGGGGGTGGGAGGCAAAGGGAGGGAAAGCGTTAGGAGAAATACCTAATGTGGATGATGGGTTGATGGGTGCAGCAAACCACCATGGCACATGTACACCTATGTAACCTGCACATTCTGCACATGTATCCCAGATCTTAAAGTATAATAATAATAATAATAATATAATATAATAATAATAACAGAAACAAAACTGATTCTGAGCGTTTATAAAATCTATACAACATTGAAAACTGGACATGGACCCTTTTGATTTTTAATCTTTGTTAACAGCCATCAGACCACAGTTTCAATTTAGCTAAAGTTTTGGAAGTTAAAAAAAATTATTTGTAAATGACACCGACAAAATTAATCTCATTCAAAATAAAAACCACTGCTGTGATTCTGCAGGCTTTCCAGTGTTTCCCTGGAGTGGGTGCTTGGGAGGAACTGGCAGGCAGAGGGGGACAGAATTGTCATAACTGTCCATTTAGCTCTACTTCCTGCTAAGTTTCCTACTTTTGCCTTCTGCATATTTTAAACATGAATAAGAGGTGTTGGATATGAGCAGTCTGCACAGGTCATCTCAGGAAGCTGCAGTCTAGATCTATGGCCCAAAGGCCTGAAGCCAGGCCCAGAAATGAGAATCACATGTGATACCAAAATAGGTTCAGGATAGACTATTGATAAACTTATGGTCAGACCAGGGACTGAGAGCTGATTGTTGAATAGAAGCATCTGATTTTATGTGTGTATTGCAAAGGAATATTTGTTATGCAATTTAATATTGATTGCCATAAATTATTATAAGAAACAGCATTATTAACACATACCCCAATAATTTAAAATTACATGTGATTCTAAAATGCTCATCTAGAGTTCACTGCACTGTTGATGCAGGAAAATAGGTTTGCAAAGCAAATTAATAATTTGAAGAGAAAGAAAACTAACATTTAGAATGTGCTGGGTATGGTGCCAGATCCATTTCTGTCGTTTATCTAATTTAATTCTGACAAAAGCTCTGTGAAGTGCTATTCTTATTCTTTTTTTTGTTTTCTTTCTACAGATTAGGAAAGGATGCTCATAAGGTAAATAACTTGCCCAAGTTAGTAGTGAGTGGAACCTGAAGCCCAGGTCTTCTAAGTCTAAAGCCCAAGACTAATATTTTTAAGAATGAATGGTAACAACCTGTTTTCAAACACCTGAGAAACTGCTTTAACAGTGGTCTCTACCTGACAACACAGGAAGTGTTCATTATAATATTTTAAAATATGGTTCATTTAAACCTAAAATGTGTGGCAGCCAAAAGTGGACTAGTTTGTAAAAGCATTGTATTTTAAAAGAACTCTACCATAAAATCATTTACTCTGAAAATTTCAGCTTCACTAAAGAGTTCACCGTGACTAAGTAGTTTAACAAATTCAAATTCGAGTTTAGGAGTAACTCAGTTCAAGGGCAGGGCTGGCACCATTAAAGATCCGGAATGTAGGAGACAGGGATTGCTCCAGGGGTTGGTAATTCATACTGCTTTTTATTCATAATGCCTGTGACTTAAGTCAGCCCAGGCAATCATTAATCATCCACTTTTCCCTCTACCTTTCTTTAGCGGGGCGTGGGGGAACCACCTTCAAATTTATCCTGTCTGGGAGGATGTGGCCAGAAGGCAGAAGTGTGAGAGAGAAATTGTGTCTTCTGAGCTCTCCATTCTCATCTCTTTCTGAAATTGGGTGTTTCTTTCTTTTCTCTTCTTTTCTTTTCCTTTCTTTTCTTTTCTTTTCTTTTTTTTTTTTGAGACGGAATCTCGCTCTGTCGCCCAGGCTGGAGTGCAGTGGCGCGATCTCGGCTCCCGGCAACCTCTGCTCCCGGGTTCAAGCAATTCTCCTGTCCCAGCCTCCCGGAAATTGGGTTATTTCTTTCCTCGTTAATGATTTCTCCAGCCGCAGTACCATTTCTGAGGGCGTCCAGTGATCTCGACCGTCCCCAGCACTTCTCACCTGCAGCAGCTGTGCCGCCCTCCTGAGAACACTGCGTGTCGCCCCGTGTACCCCTCTCTCACTGCAGCCAGAGGGCCCCTTCCTGGGTCCTGGTTAGATCACATAGCATCCGTAGCCGAGTGGCCCCACGGCCCGGGCTCCAGGCACGCTGCACTTCAAGAAGCACAGTCCAAGGGGCAAAAATTATGACTCCAAAAATTACGGAGGGGAATTCCATTCATCAACCCAGTCAGCCTTTCGAGTATCTATTACTTTCCCCATTCTTTCTCGCGCGCACGCGCACACACCGCAGAGTCTTTGCTGCTCCAAGCGCCACCTCCTCCTCCTCTCTCCCAGTTTTTTCCAAGCGGCTCTCACTTCCATCACCGCATCCTACTTTCTCTCTTAGTCTACGTATTTTACTCTATCCTCCACGTGCTTTTCCTCTTCTTCATGCCGACCCTCAGGAACTGGTCTTGCAGGTGGGGACGTTGGATAAGGGCTTAGAATGAGGAGCAGAGGCTGATTTTCTTAGGCAGGCAAGGGTCGGGCTGCCTCGGAACATTCCCAGAGTAATGAGTTTTATTAACAATGGCCTGCAGGCAAAGCCCTCGGCCTTCCCTAGCTCAGCTCCCCGGCTCCGGGGGCTGTTCCAGGCGGCGCGCTGGGTTGAGGTGGAGTGCGCCTCCCGCACGCAGGTCTCACTGTGCAGCTCCACTCGCCCTACCTCCGCGCAGGGCCAAGCCTTTTCTAGCATAAATTGCATTGCGTGGCATTTCTCCTCTAGTTTGGTTTGTGCGGGAAAATCTGTGCTTTGAAATGCAATGATCAAACTCAGCCTATTTCCAATATCCAGAGTGTCAGTGCCTCAAAATAATAGCCAACGCGTAAGTCTTTATTCAATTTATTTTTTCTGATTGGAAAAGCTTAAAAATGAAAGCTCCACAGAAACATGTAAGATAGGACCATGAAAGGTCTCCCATTCAAGGGATTTTTTGGTCCACTTTTTGGTTATACAGTCCTGGAGATATTTTCAGTACATACACTATATTATTACTATAAAAGAGGGAAATACTATAGATACCACTTGGAAATTTGCTTCTTTACTCAGTTACAATGCTTCTATCTTGGACATTAATAATGTCAGTTCCAAAAACCAGTCTTCAAGCATCCCAGGGCAAAGGGCCAGTTTCTTCACATGATTATTTTTTTTTTTGTGTGATGGCGTCTCACTCTGTTGCCCAGGCTGGAGTGCAGTGGTGCGATCTTGGCTCACTGCAACCTCCACCTCCTGGGTTCAAGCGATTCTCCTGCCTCAGCCTCCTGAGTAGTTGGAACTACAAGCGCATGCCACCATGCTTGGCTAATTTTTGTATTTTTAGTAGAGATGGGGTTTCACCATGTTAGTCAGGCTGTTCTTGACCTCCTGACCTTGTGATCCACCCGCCTCGACCTCTCAAAGTGCTGGGATTACAGGCATGAGCCACTACGCCTGGCCTCATATGAATTTTTTTTTTTTTAGGAATGTATCCTTTTTTTTAAAATTAGATTTTTGCATTATGTAAATAGTTTTTGAAGGAATTCACTATTATGTGGTGCTAACTGAAGACATAAGTATCTGCCTTTAATCTCTAAGATAGAGAATGCAAAAATGAGGCAAGAGTCTTTCCGAAAAATAAATCACACAACCCTTAGAACCATTGGGTAGACATTTCTGAAAGTTTTATTATTATTATTTTGGCCTTGAGATTTAAAAATATTATTAAGGATTTAGAAATATTGTGGTCCAGTCTCAAAGTAATTATGTAATATTAACAAATGGACATTTTTGTGATCATTAAGTATCTTTTACTTCATTAGATAGGAAGCTAAAACCCCAGACTGTTTTGTCACATACATTAAAAGAAGTCCATGAGAATTTCAAATTAAGTGAAGAATTCTCATTCAACTGAAATAATTTTTGGTTTCCATCTTCAAATTTTTGAACCTTTCTTTGTTGTCTATTCAAGTCTAATTTTCTGTCACTTGGCCTGTGAGATCGTCACTGACCATACTAACTCTGTCAGCGAAAACTCCTCGTTGTGGAGATTTATTGAAGACATCTTTAAATAAACAAAAGGAAAGTCAAAAAGGCATGAAGACGGGCATTGTGAAGTGGCTCACCAATTAGCCATCTGGGTTAGATATTCGGGAAATGTGAGCTAGGGAATTTAGTTTATGAGCACCTTATTTTTCCTTCGAAAGATTCTTGTTGACATCCCCAAGCCCTAATGAGCATCTGATCCCTCTACAAGGTCTGAATCGTTCAGGGGTTTGTCTTACCCCATAGACACAACAGCAGCCTTTTAAACCCATGGCTGGAGATGTCCGTGCGATGACTGGCCTCGGGTGCTCTATCGAAAGGGTTCATATTTCTCCTCGCTCTAATCCCAGCCTGCACCTGGGAAAATACACACAACCTCTCCGCCGGCGCTCCCTGCCAGCAGCTTTCTTATCACAATATTTTAGTTAGGAGTCTGAGGACTGGGGCACAGCAGCCATAGATCTTCACCGGCAAATGAACTGGAGACCCTCACTGTGTCCCACCGTCCTCAGGTCCCACCTGAGGGAGACTCTGGAGTCCCTGAGCAGAAACAGGAGCTGGGGTGAGGCTTTCTGAGTGAGTCTTTTCAAGAGTTCAGCAGCCACTGTTCTGTCTTCATTGTCCCTAATACCATGGCTCTGCCTCAGCACACTGGACATGCTGTCACTTGATCCCTTCAAGTCTCCATGGCTTTGGGAAAGGAAACAAGCAAACGTTCTCTAAATGCACCTTTCCTTTATCCAGTCCTCCTTTCTGTCCATCAGTGTCTCTGGGATCAGAGGACTTTGTTACTCTGTGTGTCCTTCTCTTGCTTTGGAGTGTCTTCCATAAGCTTGTTGACCAGAGTCCTGCCCACTACCCGGTGCCTCTGTGCACTCCCCTAGAATTGGTTCATTTGTCAGCGAGAGACAGAGAAGCCACAGCCACCACAGAGGTGACCAGTTCAAATGGTGCCCTTTAGTAGGCACGATCTGATGGGATCCTTGCAGCAATTGTGAGGGAGTCTGTATCATCGTGCTGTGTTCAGGGGAGGAGGCCAAGGCCCTGAGTGAGTGACAGCCCCACAGAGACAGCACCCATGATCGTGAGTGCTGAGACTAACTCTCCTTAATCACCTGCATTCACACCGTCTGCTGCAAGTGTAGCTCTGATGGGAACATTGATATTACAAAGAATTTTTAATTAAAAAACATACATACACCTCAGAAATAACGAAACCGTATGTGTGTCTTAAAATCACGAAATTCACCAAGACTGGAAGACTTCACCAGGTGACACTTCCCATTACTTGAGCTGTGTATCTAGACAGGGGTTTGTTTTTCTAGGAATTAGCTAGATTTTTCTCCCACCACAGATAACCTCTGGGAGGATATCTTTTTTAAAGTCTCTTAATTGTAGGTTTTTACTACTATGACAATTTCCAAATTCCTGTTGTATTTAAAAGTATTGTAATAGATATCCCTGTTTTTCAAAATGAAAATTTGAAACATGTGCTCCAAAATTGCCATTGCTTTACTTATTTTAGTCAGGACTTCATGGTTAACAGGCATGAATATGTTAAAATATATAATTATGTTTATTCTTCCAATTATAAAAGTAATATAACAAGACATTTGGAAACTTTAGAGAAGTAGAAAGAATTCTAAACTAGCCCATAATTCTATTCCCATTGTTAACATTTCACTACTTTCTTTTAGTCTTCTTGTGTCTTTTTTCATGTGGTGTGTAATAATACATATATATGTAAAATATGTATTTTATGTAATATATTAAATATATAATTTCTTATCTATAATTTCATATGTATATATATGTACTTTGAACATCTGTAATAGTAACTGCATTAACAATAAAAGTATTGAAATATGATTATGAAATGTGAGATAATAAGGATAATTGGTTTCTAAAATGATTAAAACAATGGCGCTTGTCTTCAAGTTAAATAATTACACTGATGGACTGAAATGGCTATATTTAGTATGTGATAGAAAACAATATTGCTCAGTATAGAACTATAAATATATGTGTACTGAAACATAAGGTGGAATATAAATAGTATCTATTTACAAAGGGCCGTGTTCCAAAAAGTTTGTAGATTGTTCTCAGAGATCAGAATTGGGAGCCAGAGAATCCCTCCTCTGGCAGTGGGGTGGCTGCTTCCACACCCAAGCCCTCGCTGAGTCTCTGCTGAGAAAAATGGGAGAGGGTTTTCTCCGAGGCCTTTTCTCTGTCCCGTTTGCCTTCCTCCCTCCCTTCGCTGTCCTGAAAGCAGCACTGAAGTGGAGGGTTGGGGAAGGGGAGGAAGCCCTCTCTTCTCCTTTCCTTGTCTTCTCTCTTTCTTCCTCTCCTGTCTTCTACCGGCTTTGCCTGGGGAAGATTGGAGTCCCTGGTTCCAGGATCTGGTGATTGGGGCTCAAGAAGAGCAAGGATGGTGGTGGGTGATGTTGAGCTTGAGTCTGTAGATAGGTTAGCAGGGGTGAAAGATGGGGTAGAAAGCCTCTGTGGGTTCCAGAGGGGAAGGAAGCTTTTTCATGTCTGCAAGCAGCTACTGATAAGGGGCATATGTGAATTGTGCACGTATAGGCTATGGGATTGCTTGCGTTGTGCAATGATAACACACTCTAGTGACACTATGAAGGGAGGAAGGTCACTAACAAGTAATGAGCACTCAGTAATGTACTCGACCCTGCACAGAGCACTTTACTAAATCTCATTTTACTCTTACTCCAGTTGAAGTAGCTGCAATTATCCTCATTTTACATAAATCAGTTCACTAAAATTTGCATAGCTAGTAAATAGAAAAGCAGGGAATGAATGAAGGACTCACAGCATGCTTCACAATACTAGAACCCAAGCTTGGGAAATTGAAATGTGGGCTCTGGCTCTTTCCTCTCAAAGTTGCCTGGGCTCTTGGGACCCTGTTTGTTCCAGTCATGTTTATCAGCAGAGCTAAATGAATTTCAGGGTAAACTTTTCAACTCTTTTATCACTGATACACTTCTGCCTGGAGCTTCATGCAACTGAGTATAAGCAGAGTGTCCTAGGCTCACAGCCAGACAGACTTTATAGAAGTCCAGAAAAAGCAGGGTTTACAAATGAAACACAGGGAGTGGGACAATAAAACAGTTTACATCTGGTATCTCTTCAAAATTATGGGTAAAGGAAGATGAAAAATTATGTCATGGTCAGCGTGGTTGAATGAGATGTGGCTGGCTCTCTCTCTCTCTCTCTCTCTCTCTCTCTCTCTCTCTCTCTCTCTCTCTCCGTTTTAAGACACAGAGTCTTGCTGTGTTGCCCAGGCTGGCCACAAACTCCTGTGCTCAAGCAATTCTCCCATCTCAGCTTCCAAAGTTGCTGGGATGCTGGGACTATAGGTGTGCGCCACTACACTTGGCCCAATCTCTTTTTTTAGACAAAAACAAAAAGTACAAAAAGAACAAAAAGTACCACTAGGTTTTTCAGCTGTGGGCTGCATTATGGTAAATGCTCTCAGATGTGGGCTTTATAAAATTATATTGATGCAAAGGTGAGCAGAGATTTTACTAATATCTATTTTCTTTTTGTCAGGATCCTTCATGGTCCTTTTATTATGATCCTTTATAATCCTTTTATTGTGATTCTTCATACTGTTCCAGTTCCATGGTATAGTTTACACAGAATTAAATTTGAATGGGCCAAAATTATATAGTTTAGCATATTTAGCCCCCATTGTGGTAAGCAATTGACCAAATCTGCTAACGTGAACTTTGGTGGCACACTGGTGTGACACAGCAAAACTAGCAGCAGGTGTTCAGTCTCATTAATTTTCATGTGTAGCTAATCAATGAACAATTATGGAAAACATTTTCTTTTCTTTCTTTATTATTGTTTTTTCCAGATAGGGTCTCTGTTGTCCAGGCTAGAGTGCAGTGGCACAATCACAGCTCACTGCAGCCTCCATCTCTTGAGGCAATCATCCCACCACAGCCTCCCGAGTAGATGGGACCACAGATGTTCACCACCCTATCCAGCTAATTTTGTTTTTCATTTTTTTTTTGTAGAGACAAGGTCTCACTGTGTTGTCCAGGCTGGTCTAGAAGTCCTGGGTTCAAGTGATCCTGTTGCCTCTGCCACCCAAGGTGCTGGGATTGCAGGTGTGAGCCACTGTGCCCAGCTGATAACATTTTCAGAAATAATATTCATCAGTGAGATATGACACACAGTAGTTTAATGGGCTGCATCTTGAATGGCTGTACCTAATGTCATCATGAAACAGCCTTGACTGTTAGAGGCAAACCTTCAGGTCAGCCAAAAAGAAAGGCAATTATTGTTTGTTCCCCGCTATCCCCATATCCCATATTCTGTAGATTCTCCTTTTTGGTTGTACTTTGAACCAGTGTAATGAAAGGGCAGAGCTTAAAGTTTTCTCATGTAACTCAAAATTGCATGGGAATTTTGAGGAAATTTTGTACCAAGTGAACAATCCAAATGAACCACTTTGATGAAAAATTCTAGTCTTGTTAGCAGAGATTAAAATCAGTAGGTCCATCCAGTTCTAGGAGGTGATTAAAAACTCCTAAACTCTACAAAGTTCAGGAAATTAACACATTCAAGAAGTTAAAAGCAAATTGGGATTTTCACAAATCTGGAAGAAAGTGACTCAAGTCATATATATTGACTCAGAAAACTCTAACATTGGTTCTATCTCAGTGAGAACGCCTCCAACCCATATATTATTTTCTTCTAAGAGAGTCTGATATGCATTATTTTCCTTCAGATTTAACCTCCTTATTACTAGATGCTTACTGTCATATTTGAGCAGATGATATCAAGAAATTAAGTTTATCCAGATTAATTTGCTTTTATTGAAGGCCTAGGTGGTCAATGCTTAAGTGGTTACCAAGCATCAGAAAAAATATGTATACTAGGATAGCTGGAGAAAAAAGTTAAACAAAACAGATTATCCTGTGGGTAGAAGGAAGGTAGGGGACAGGTGATGATATGGCTGAGCAGTAACAATTACTGAGCTATGCAGGGAGATGTTCATTCCCAAAGTTGAATTGAGACAGACATGGAAAATGTGGAAATAGGCCAGCATAGTGGCTCATGCCTGTAATCCCAGCACTAATGTGGGTGGATCACTTGAACTCAGGAGTTTGAGACCAGCTTGGGCAACATGGCAAAACCCTGTCTCTACAAAAAATACAAAAATAGCCAGGTGTGGTTGCATGCACCTTGGTCCCAGCTACTTAGAAGGCTGAGGTGGGAGGATTGCTTGAGCCCTGGAGGCAGAGGTTGCAGTGAGCTGAGGTCGTACCACTGCACTTTAGCCTGGGTGACAGAGCGAGACCCTGTCTCAGAAAAATATAATAATAATAAAAAGAAAATATGGACATAATCTAAATCAGGTACAGATAGCCAATAACTCTTTAAAAAACTTTAAAAATTTAAAAATATTAATTGACAAATAAAGATTAAGTATATTCAAGGTGTACAATGTGACGATTATATCTACTTATACATTGTGTAATGATTACCTCAATTAAATTAATCAATACATCCATTACCACCCATGCTGTACATTAGATCTCTAGGACTTGTTCATTTTGTATTTAACCAAGACTTCCCCATTTCCCCACCCCTGTAGTCCCTGACAACCACTGTTCTCTTCTTTTCTTCTATGAGTTTGACACTTTAGGCTCCACATATAAGTGAGATCACACAGTGTTTATCTTCCTATTTCTGGATTTTATTTTGCTTAGCATAATGTCTTCCAGGTTCATTTATATCGTCACAAATGGCAGGATTCCCTTATTTTTTCTGGCTAAATATTATTATATTGCGTATATACACACTACATTTTCTTTATCCTTTCATCTACTGAGTGATACTTAGGTTGTTGCTGTATTTTGGCTCTTGTGAATAATGCTGCAATGAATGCGGGGGTGCAGGTATATTGATTTTATTTGCTTTGGATATATACCCAGACATGGGATTGATAGGTCCTCAATTTTTTGAGGAACCTTTGTTTTCCATAATGGCTGCACCAATTTACTTTACCACTGACACTGTACAAGGGTTCCATTTTCTCCACACACTTGCCAACACTTGTCATTGTTTGTCTTTTTCATAACAGCCACCTTAACAGGTGTGAGGTAGTATCTCACTGTGGTTTGATTTGCATTTCCCTGGTGATTAATGATGTTGAGCACCTTTTCATATACTTGTTGGCCATTTGTATGTCTTCTTTGGAAAAATGTCTACTCAGGTCCTTTGCTTCTTTTAAATATGTTAATTATGACTATTTTTGATTAATAATATTGAGTAATCAATACTTTTTATTTAAAAATAATACTGAATAATTAATGCATATTTTTTATTTAAAAATAATACTGAGGTTTTTGTGTGTTGTGTGAGTTTCTGACATATTTTGAATATCAACTCCTTATCAGATACATAATTTGCAGACATTTTCTCGCCTTCCATAGGTTGCCTTTTTACTGTTTATTGTTTCTTTTTTTTGTGCAAAAATTTTCTGCTTTGATGCAATCCTGTTTGTCTATTTTTGCTTTTTTTGCCTGTGTTTTTGGGGTCACATCCAAAAAAACCATTGCCCAGGTCAATGTCAAGAAGCTTTTTCCTTAGATTCTCTTCTGATAGTTTTATAGTTTCAGATGTTACATCTAAGTCTGTAATTGATTTGGGCCTATTTTTGTATATGGTGTGAGATAAGGGTTCAATTTCATTTTTCTGCATTTGGATATACAATTTTTCTAGTCATTTGTTAAAGAGACTTTCCTTTCTCCATTGTGCATTCTACTCTTCGTTTTATTTCTGGGCTTTCTATTCTTTTCTATTGGTCTATGTGTCTATTTTTATGCCAGTACTATACTCTTTTAATTACTATAGTTTTGCAATGTAGTTTGAAACGAGGGCATGTGATACTTCCAGCTCTGTTCTTTCTCAAAATTACTTTAGCTATTCTGGGCCTTTTGTGATTCCATATAAATTTTTCTATTTCTGTAAAAAATGCCATTGGAATTTTGATAGGGTTTGCATTTCTGTAGATTGCTTTGAGTAGTATAGATATTTTAACCATATTGATTCTTCCAGTCCATGAACACAGACAATCTTTCCATTTATTTGTGTTTTCTTTAATATCTTTCATCAATTTTTTACAGTTTTCAGTGAATAGATCTTTTCCCTCCTGGGTTAAATTTATTCCCAAGTATTTTATTCTTTCTGATGCTTTTGTAAGTGAGTCACTTTTAACATTTCTTTTTTGGGTAGTTGGTTATAGTGTATTGAAATACAACTGACTTCCATTTGTTGATTTTTCAATCTTGCAACTTTACTGAATTTGTTTATCAGTTTTAACTTTTTTGGGGGGTAGAATTTTAGGGTTTTCTTTATATAAAATCATGTCTTCTGCAAGCAGACAATTTAACTTCTTTCTTCTCAATTTAGATGCCTTCTTTTTTCTTGCCAAATAGCTCTGGATAGGACTTCCAGTACTATGTTGACTAGAAGTGGCAAGAGTGGGCATCCTTTTATTGTTTCTGATCTTAAAGGAAAAGCTTTCAGTTTTTCATTGTTGAGTATGATGTTAGCTGTGGGCTTGTATTTTGGCCTTTATTATGTTGAGGTACATTCCTTCTATACCTAATTCGTTAAGAGTTTTTTTTTTTTTATCATGAACAAACATTGAATTTTGTCAAATGTTTTCTCTGCATTTATTGAGATGATCACATGATCTTTATCCTTTATTCTGTTAATGTGGTGTATCACACATGTTGATTTACATATATTGAACTATTCTTGCATCTCATGAACAAATCCCACTTGATCATGCTGTGTGATCCGTTAATATGCTGTTGAATTTTGCTTCCCAGTGTTTTGTTAAGGATTTTTGCATCTACGTTCATTAAGGATATGGGCATGTAACTTTCTTTTCTGGTAGCACCCTCATCTGGCTTTGATATGATGGTAATTTGGTATGAGGCTAAAATGAGTTTGAAAGCGTTCTCTCTTTTTAAAGTTTTAGGAAGAGTTTGAGAAAGATTGGTGTGAATTATTCTTTAAATGCTTGGTTAGAATTCATCTGTGAAGGTGTGTGGTCCTGAAGGTTTTTTTTGTTTGTATTTGTCAAGAGGTTTTTGATTACTGATTCAGTTTCCTTAATCAGTATTGGTTTGTTCAGGTTTTCTATTTCTTCTTGGTTAGTCTTGGTAGCTTGTATATTTCTAGGACTTTATCTAGTCCTAAATTATTCAATTTGTTCATAGTAGCCTCTTATGATCCTCTCTGTATTTCTGTGGTATCAATTGTAATGTTCTCTCTTTCATTTATAATTGTATTTGAGTCCACTCTCTTCTTTTATTGGTTAGTCTAGCTACAGGTTTGTCACTTCTGTTGATTTTTTTAAAACAACTTTTAGTTATGTTGATTTTTTCTATTGTCCTTCTAGTCTCTATTTCATTTATTTCTGCTCTAATTTTTATTACTCCTTCCTTTTGCCGACTGTGGACTTAGTTCTTTTTCTAGTTCCTTGAAGTATGAAGTTAGGTGGTTTATTTGAGGTCTTCCCTTTTTCTTAATGTAGGTCATTGTCAGCCAAAAATTCCTTATCAAGTGCCTACACTATGTTTAATGTTATATCAAAGACTCCACTATAATACAGTATAAGATATCCTTAGTAAATCTAAATGATAATTTGTTTCATGGTGTTAGAAAGAAAAAAATCTGACATCTTTACTGAGTTTCAATTCTGAGGCATGCAGATTTTGTTATTGGCTGGAAACCTGAAGTGGGTGAATGAAGTTCTAAAATAGTAAGACCTTGAGAAAAGCCTGGGGAACTGCACTGAAAAATCAGACAAAGATGGTTTGTTCCTGATGCAAATAGAGGAGGCAGGTTGGGCCAAGGGGGCAGTTGTCACAGATGATGGCTGGGTGTAGGTCTCAATTCTGTAAATCTGTAAATTCAATCTCCTTCACGTTGTAGGACATAAGCAAAACTCACAAGAAAATGATGACGGACGGGAATCATCATGTAGTAGTCTTTAGGAAAAACTGTGACTACCAAGCTGAGCAGAATGTTTTTGTCAGCTAATCATATAGTATCAGGAGATGAAGACACTCAGGAAGCACAGGTATCCTTAGAAGTTGCCTAGAGCCTGGCACATGGGCACATGACCAAACTCTTCTAATGGTTCATACTGCTCCCCTGAGAAGCACAGGAGACCACTGACAAATCTTGATTTGCCTTTTGTACATTTCATATCACCTAGTTCACATAGTCTTTAGTTCAGATGGCCTGTCTGAAGATTAGAGTGTTCTGTTGTTTGGTCATTTCTTTCTTTCTTTTTCTTTTTTTGAAAGGGAGTCTCTCTCTGTCACCCAGGATGGAGTGCAGTGGCGCGGTCTTGGCTCACTGCAAGCTCTGCCTCCTGGGTTCACGCCATTCTCCTGCCTCAGCCTCCCAAGTAGCTGGGAATACAGGCACCTGCCACCATGCCTGGCTAATTTTTTGTATTTTTAGTAGAGATGGGGTTTCACCGCGTTAGCCAGGACGGTCTCAATCTCCTGACTTCACGATCCACCCAACTCAGCCTCCCAAAGTGCTGGGATCACAGGCGTGAGCCACCATGCCTGGCCTATTTCTGCTTGGGAAGTATCACTTCTTTTGAAGGGCAGATGACATGTTTCAACAGATCTGCATTGTTTTTATGAGTTTAGTTCTCAGATCAGGGGCTGAGACTGCCTAATTTCCAATGCTGGTTGCTGAGGATAAGGAGCATTGTCCTGGAAAAGTATATTCCTTTGTTCCACAGAGGAGAAAGTTGAGGCTTGCAGAATTTACCTGCTCTAAGGACAGAGTGAGAATTGAATGCAGGGATCAGGTCTGGTGACACACACCATTGTCTTGGCCCCAATGACATGATTGCTCTGTTGATCTGAGAAGGCCAGAGTGAAGGGCAGTGGGGTTGCCTCCTATTTGCTTTGTAGGAAGAGCTTTCTGCTGGGAAAAATTGGCAAGCTCTGGTGATAATGCTAAGAAAGCTCCAATAAGCTAGTTTTTCTCTAGAGACTTAGCAGAGAAAGAAGGTGACTTGAGCTCCTTATTGACAGGTATGCAAGCCAAACGTGGCTGATTCATACTCTACTAGGTAGGGGGCTGCAGCAGCTCATCCAAGAGAGCTCTAGGATGTTTCTGATGCTAGGGGGCCTCAGATGCTTCCAAAGGAGTGGGAAGAAACTAGCATTAACCAGGGTATAATGAAGAACAGTTGCTTGAGAAGAAAGTATTTAATATGCTCTATTCTTTTTTAGAACAGACCCACAATCCCATATCTCAAATCTTTGCAGCCAGATGTAGTTTGGATTTCAGAATATTTTGAATTTCAGGAAAAGGCATATAACATGTGTTATATACTCCCAATGGTATTTGGGGCAGCATCTTCTAAAAATATAAATATTTCAGCAGTGAAACACAAATAGTTGCATCAGGTGAGATATGTAAATAATATGAATAGTCTCTCATCAGTCCAGTTCAGGTTTTGCAGCCACATGAATTTGTTTTAATGTAGCTGTGAGGGCTTTGTGAGCCTCAGAATTTCAGATAAGAGGACTGTGGACCAGTGTTACTTTTTATGTGGTATTTTAATCTGGACATATTTCTGATCAGTAAAGAGCTGAACAATTAATATTTTCAAACATTTGCATGAAAAAAGCCCCCAAACTTTGTGATTCTAGCCTGTTTATCTCATTCCCACTCTATAACTGGTTCCCAAACTCTTCTGTGCATCAAATCGTCTGGAGAGTTGGCTAACTGTGTGTATTTCTGGGCTTCCTACCCAGGAATCTACCTTTAAAGAACAGAGTGGATGACTCTGATGCAGGTTGAACTGGACCCCATAAAGGGGCACCACTGCCATTTGTTGCTCTGAGGTGCAACCTACAGACCTGCAGACCCTGGAGCAAAAGTTCATCTTGCAGAGGTGAGTCCATGTGTGTGGCAGTAGATATCCTTTGCATATACTGAACCCCATTTACACCCTTGCCTTAAAAGATGCCTGGAGGAGCTTGTCCTGGGGCGTGCTGGGAAGGTTAGCTAGGCAGGGACCCAAGAACCAGGAGCATAAGGTGACAGCACAGATGCAGAAAGAGGAGAAAAGAGAGTTAACAGTAGATTCTTGCTATGTGCCGGATGCTTTTCAGAGGCCCAGTCATTGAATAATCACAACAGGGGTACAACTGGGTGGGGTGTGAGGGTGAGGTTATTCCATTTTTTTCTGGAGAAACAAGATCAGAGAGATGAAGTCACATTGTATGGAGGTGAGATTCTATTATTTTTGGATCCATCACTCTACCCTTGCTTCCATCCTTCCTCTCTTCCCTTCCAACTGCAATCACAGACATTTGTGCTAATTATCCTGCTCAGTTCATTCACATCGTTGGTCTATGCCAGGCCCTTTTCTTGTTTTGTTTTATTTAATTAATTATTTTTCTCTTCTTTTACCCCAACCTCACTTGCATTTTCCTTCCTTCCATATCAACTGCGCTTCATGTATCTTTGTGAACTCTACTGTGTCTCTGCAAAAGTTGACACTGTAAGACTGTAAACACATATGAAGTATCGAAACATTTTAGAAATACTGTTATTGAAGATTTTTGGGTGGTTGTTCTCTTCCAAAGAAAAATAATTTCTTGAGAAATTAATTTATTATAATTATTAGGATGGGAGGTTTGGATTAACCTTTAAGAGGGTATCAGACTTAGCAAAATGAATTCTCAAAAAAATCTCTGGCTACAGCTGTCTTTAGGACTGAGGGGATAAGGAGGCACCCAGCTCGTGGAGCGAGAGGCACGGCTTGTTTTAACCCACACTGACCGCACAGGGGAGCTTTAAGCCTTTTCTGTACAGCCCAGTCGCCCCTCTCATATTAATGGCGCTGCGGCAAGGACAACAGTCACGTTTTAGCCAAATGTACGCCCCTTTTCCGACAAGACCACCAAATCTAGTCATCTGAGGTGGCACTAAAAATTTGTGACAGTTTAAATTTAAGTAGAAGAACATTGCAAGATTCTCTTGTATGGCTTGTGTGGAACAGGTCGTTTTTGCAGCTAAAGAAAGGATTAGATTTGCAAATAAGCCCCAGGCTGCATTTGCTCTATTTTATTTTATTAAGAAAATTTAAAAAATTATTATTTTAAAAAAGAGATGGGCTCTCGCTATGTTGACCAAGCTGGTCTTGAGCTCCTGGTCTCAAGAGGTCTTCCTGCCTCGGCTTCTCAAAGTGTTTGGGATTACAGGCGTGAGCCACCGCTTCTGGTCAGATCTTATAATATCACTAAATATAATTTGTCCCCAAGTTTGGAAGAGAAAGGAGGCTATTTCATAGGAGTCTTTGAGTTTATTAAAAAACTGTTATATTATTGAAAATTTCAAATATATGTAGAAAAAACAGTACAGTGGACCCGATGTATCATTACTTATTCATACATACCATACACAATTACAACCAAGAATGTCTGGGAAGTATTTTGTCAACTCTACCCTCTTCAATGTTATTTTGAACTAAATCTCAGACATCACATCGGAATACTTTGATATGTGCCTCTCAAAGATAAGATGACCACAATATTATTGTCACACTCACATAATTAATTCCTTAGCATCGACTATCCAGTGTTCCCAGATTTCTGATTATCAGGTAAATTTTTTTTTAAAATTTCATTTTCTTTCTTTCTCATCTGCTTTGTGATGGTAAGGTAAATTTTTCAATAGTTTGTTTTAATCATAATCCAAATATAGCCTAAACATTGTGATTTATTGACATTTCTCCTATGTCTCTCATGATTCATGTGTTATTGTTGTTGAAGAAGCTGAATCTTTTGTCCTGGAGAATTTCTCACAATTTTGATTTTGTTGTTCACATGTGGTGGTTGTTTTACATGTTTTCCTGTCTCTTATAAATTGGGTGTTTATAGTTAGAGGCTTGGATAGATGCCATCTCTCTCTCTCTCTTTCTCTCTCTCATCTATCATCTATTGTTTATAATCTATCTCTCTATTTAACCTATACTTGTTTCTCTTTTTATCATGTTGTCAGCCATTATGATCATTCATACTGAACAGTTGTGAAGTGGTGATATTCTAATTCTTTTTATTAACTGGAACACTTCTATAAAGAGACTTTGTTTTATCAACTACTTGGCTGTCTTAGGTTCAGATATTATAGGAGAGACAGGATAAATGTTTGAGACTTTCCCTGTATTTACTAGTTTTCTCAACAATATGCTGATTACCTAGCGATATGGTTTGGTTGTGTCCCTACTCAAATCTCATTTTGAATTGTAGCTCCCATAATTCCCATGTGTTGTGAGAGGGACTGGGTGGGAGATAATTGAATCATGGGGGTGGTTTCCCCCATACCGTTCTTGTAGTAGTGAATAAGTCTCACGAGCTCTGATGGTTTTATAAGGGGAAATCCCTTTTGCTTGGTTCTCATTCTTCTCCTGCCTGCTGCCATGTAAGATGTGACTTGCTCCTCCTTGCCTTTTGCTATGATTGTGAGGCCTCCCCAGCCATGTGGAACTGTGAGTTAATTAAACTTCTTTTTCTTTATAAATTACCCAGTCTCAGGTATGTCTTTATCAGCAGCGTGAGAACAGACTAATATACCTAGCATCTGCCAAAGGTGACCAATAATGTTTTTGTTGTGGTATCATTATGAATTCATGGATTTAAGCATATTTGTGTTTCAACCCTTTGCAGTTACTGTGCTATCTTTGCCCAATGGGGGTTTACTCAGATCGACTTTTGGGTACTTTGGTCATGATCCCGGTACTCACCAAGAGCTTTGTTGCAGTTTGGTATGGCAAGATATGTCAGGCTCATCTTGGACTTTTTTTTGGCCCAGCCCTGGAATCAGTCATTTCTTCTGGTTCCCTTGGAGAGAAATGATATTGCAAGGCCATAAACTGGGTATATCCCAGACATTTTATAAAGAGAGGCTACTTTCCAGCTCCTGAGGATGAGGAGGAGAAAGGTACCAGGCACTATCAACCAGCTTATAGATCTGCTGGGAAGATCAAGCAGCAGTGTGCCCTGTGCACTGAAATTGTTCTACACTTTGTTTCTTTGTTCAGCCCAGCTGGTGCTGCTGAGACGGTACCTTCACAAGGGCTTAAGGACTGCCACCCATCAGCTCTCCCAGAATGCTGGTTGCTTGACGTGGTGGAAAGATCAGGGGCATTGGGCCCACTCACACCTAAGTCTACTTTGTAGCTGGCCACTTACTAGCCCTGTGCCATGGCCAAGTTATTCAAGTTTCCCAAGCCTCCATCTTTTAATCTGTAAAATGGAATTAATAACAGCTACCTCAGACATTTTTTAGGCAATTAACATAGATGATCTTTTCTAGCTTAATGAATTTAACCTGTAAAAAACCCAGCACAGTACTTGCACACAGTACGTATATTAGGCAGTTAATACAAATGATCACCGTATACTCCAAGATAGCAAATTGGGGATGATCATTTAACCCTAATTAGTAATTAGCTAATCTATTCCCAGTTGAATCAAACATCATGCCAGCATGAAAATGAACAATGAGGAAGATGTGTGGAAAAGGAAGCCAGTGAGCTCTTTGCTGGCCTGATGTTATCTATTAGATTAAGGTCTAAAACTTTTTCTGTCTTTAGATAAATTTTCTAGGGTAAGTCCCTTTCCACTTCCCATTTCCCAACAAATTAATGGCATACATAATAATCCTTCAACTTATAAATTCAGATCAGGGGTCTACTTTATAAGCATTAAATTAAAAAGGCCATGCCCAGATAGAAGGGCACCAGAAATCACCAGGTCTCCTAGAGTCTCTGATGTGATGCTGCCTTTGTTTCTGTTTGGTTATCTGGGAAGTACCTTGTTCAACCCTCTGGCTTTACCTCTCGAGCATGGCCCAGTGACAGTGACTCCTTGCTTTCCAAAGTCCTGTCCTTTGACCCTGTTCCTTGTATGCGTAAAAGTCTCCACAAGTAAGACTAAACTTGTTGCCCATGTTACTCTCTCTATATAGAGTCAAGTCTGCCTTCAGCACTTTTACGCCTTTTTGGGTGGGGTGAGGGGACAAATACTACAAAGAAAGAAATGAATCCAAGTAGATGTATTCCTGTGTGTCATATCATTAATATACAGATAATACATTCTGAGGCTCACTCTGATAGAATGAGTTCCTTCAGCTGCTGGGTCCCTGTAGTGCTGTGTACACACATTTAGGCACACTTACCCTGTTTCACTGTGTTCTTTAGTTGACTAAATGATGAGAGCTACTTTCTTCTCTTTTTTAAAATATCAAGTGCCTAGGGTGGTGGATGTTACATAAAAGTTTAAAGATACATCTTTAATGGTGGGTCACTGAAGTCTGTTAAGATCTTTCAAAAATAGTTTTTTCATTATAAGTAACGTTCAAATTATACAAAATTTAGAAAATAGTGACAAGAAAAAAGATGAATGATAATCTCATCATCCATACAACTCCTCTGAATGTTTTGCTCTTTTTAAAATACATAATGAAATTTTAAAAGCATAGTTTACACACTTTCTATATTGTATTTTTTAACCTAACATGATGTCATAAGTATTTATTATGTCATTACAAAGTTATTATATTCATATTTGAATAATTGCACTATTTTCACTATTTTGGATATTTAGATTGTTTTTTGTTTTTCTCATGTAATAATAGCACTATAATAAATATGTGAGTATAATTTTAATCAGTTTTGAATTATTTCTCTATGAAAGAGTTATGTGGGATTGCTACATAAGAGGATGTGCATAATCTTTTAGATTTTTATGAATATTGTCTAACTACTCAAAAATTTTATATCATCTTATAATCTATCACATATATGTTTGAATGTGTTACATCACACCCTGATAAGCTGTTGGTGTTTTTTTGATGCTTTTCATAATAACAATAAAAAATGGAATTGTGTTTGATTATTGTTAAGGGTAAGCATTTTTTTCATATTTTTGGTTACAGTTGTGTTTCTTCAGGTTAAAGGATAATGGATCTTGACTAGATCTTAGCAATCATCTGCTCCAGTGTCCTTCAGATGTTTCTCATATACAGTTAGCATTTTTCAAATGCAATCTTATACACCCCAATCTCTAAAACAGATACAAATACAAGTGCTCTTGATGGAATGGGAGTGGAAGGTCCCATAAACCCCACTACTCAACTGTCCCTCAACCCCTGAGACTGCTCTAAGGAATACTAGGGCTCCAGGAAATAGAGTTTGAAAACCACCCATTTGCCTCTGCCATGGTCTTACTCTTGGCAGATTTTCCTGCAGAATCCCTGCACAGGTAATTTAGTGATGTGTAGAGCCACAGTCTGTGTGTGATCTCCGGAGGAGCAAAGTGAGGGCCGCCAAGAAGTACCGACTACAAAATCTCTTTGGGGTATAGACAAGGAGTGGTGTGCATATGTGTGTGGGTGGCAGTGCTGGGAATATTTCTGTTGGGGAGATGTAATCTCTCTCTAATAAATAGCCTTTCACATTTTTAAATAGTACACTTAATGCTCCGAACTAAACATCTTTCTTACAAAGAGGAACAATAAGGGGCGAAATGACTCATATTACAAAAGGACCATAGGGTCTCTATAAGTGGCATCTTTTCAGGAGCTTGTTTGCAGATCATTAAACACTTAATAGAGGGAGAAAGAAATAATCTATGTGTTCCAGGCCACTGGTGATTAAGTAGCAATCAGATATAAAACAAAGCAGATCTGAAGTTATACTGATTTGTGTCTCATGTTGAAATTCTGCATTTTACCAGCCAGGGAGCAAAAGTGTGATACCATGCAATTCACTATCCAAGTACTTGTCAATTAAAAGTTGTCTCTCCAATTCATACACACCTGCTGGTGTTGCCTATGCAGTACATTTTCAATGTGCATATTGGCATAATGGAGGTCTTGTTAAAAATGTTGATTCTTATTAAAAATCTCAGAGGTAGGACTGGGGTGTCTTCATTTCTAAAAAACTCTCAGGCGGTGCCAGTGGTGTTGGTTTCTGGACCACATTTTGGGTGGTGAGGGTCTAGGGATGATTTCAACAGCTTTGGTAACGGATTCAAAATTTCCTCCATCTTTTTACTCTTAGAACACTTGCTCACTTGAATTCACTCACTTGAATTAAATGCACACTAACTCATCAATAAACTAACAAAATAGACACAATCCCAGGAAGTTTTTCTGCTCCTTACAGTCATCTCATGCTCTCCTCCCAATTTCACTTTTTACTTGTTATCGCTTCATCTTCTGGGGTTCAATACAAGCATATTCATGGAGCTAAAGAGCCACTTAGTAAGCAGATACAGAACACAGTGTATGGTGCTAGGATTTCCCAACCTCTGCACTATTGACATTTTGGACTAGATAATTTTTTGTTGTGAAGACTGGCCTGTCCATTGTAGGATGTTTAGTAGCATCCCTGACCTCTACCCAGTAAATACCAATGTCATCCCCATCCCAGCCCCACCTGATACCTGTTCATGACAATCAAAAATGTCTCCAGATATTGCCAGATGTGTCCTGGGAGGATGGGACATTTCCTCTGGCTGAGAACCACTGCTCCAGACTGTGCATGGTCTGGGGACCAAACAGAAGAAATTTTTGAGTGAAGAAAGGAAGAAAGCAACATATTTTTTTTGTTGTTGTTAGTTCTCAACATTAACAAAGTCAGGGACTGGGCACTGGAATCTTTGCTTCAGTCCAACATTTCCACTTCTGTGATTGTAGAAGAAAGAGGAGAAGCAGCATAAGGACCACGGAGCTCCTCCATCTTTGTTGCCACCTTCCCACTCATGTATGGGTGCACCTCATGTGTGTAGCCCAAATCACTTGGCAGACCCTAGTTGCAAGGGAGTTTAAGAACATGGTGGTATCTTAGTCTGTTTTGCTGTAAAAGAATAACTGAGGTTGGCTAATTTATAAAGAAAATAGGTTTATTTAGCTCATGGTTCTGTAGGCTGTACAGGAAGCATGGCACTGGCATCTGCTCAACTTTTGGTGAGGGCTTTTGTGCTGTATCAAAACATGGTGGAGAAGGTCAAAGGGGAAGCAGACATGGGAGAAGAGAGACCATACCTGAGGGGGCATCCTGGCTTGATAACAACCCACTTTTGTGGGAACTAATCATTCCCTCAAGAACCAATCCAGTCCTGTGAAAGAAAGAACTCCCTACCATGAAAATGGCACCAAGCCATTCATGAGGGATCTGCCCCAGGACCCAAACACCTCCCACTAGGCCCCACCCCACAACACAGCCACATTGAGAATCAAGTTTCAGCATGATTTTGTGGGGACAAACAAACCATATCCAAACCATAGCAGGTGGTCAGCTTTTCACTTCTGTGTGAGGGAAGACCTGTGAGAAGAGTCTGGGATGGATGTTGAGTGAGCCAGTCCATGGGTCCACCCTCTCCCATGCTTCAGAGTTCCCAGTAGTGGCTTAGCCTGGAGAAGTTGCCTTTGGCTAAGCAAAAAGGCCCAGTGCTCCAACAAAGCTTTAGAATGATCATTTTCTTCTTTTCTAAAAAATAATTATACTTCAGTAAGGTTCGAATTAATAGAGAAATACACAAGGCCTAAGCTAGAAACTTTTACCAGGCACATCTTATGGACAATTATTGAATATTACAAAATGGGCAGGCAGTCTATCAATAGAATGTTCTATCTCATGAAAGAGCAACAATATGTGGTTGCTAATGCTTATATAATGTATGTGCCCGGGACTGTCTTAATGTCTTTTTCTACATTAACTTATTTACATCTCACAACAAATATCAAAATAATACTTTTCACAGATGAGAAAACTGAGACCCAGAGACTTTAAGTGTCTTGCCCAACGTCACCTAATTAGAAAACGGCAGGCCTGGGATTCCAATCCATGCAAATTTGATTGCAAAGTCTGTTTTTCATAACCATGCTACAACTAACTGTAAATAAATAGCTAACTATTTGATTAGATGCCATCTTATAATCTATTCTGTGGCCCTAAGAGACAGGGTTAATATGAAAAAAAAGTGCAAGAGTCTGTCAAGTTCAAGGTCTTTGCAGCTTTTGAAAAGACATTTAAATATTGTGTGAAGGAAAGGAATGAAAAAGCCCGGTTAAGTGATGTAACAGGGTAAGTGAGGGTAGCAGATTTTCACTGAGATTTTCATTCATTTATGGGAAACTGTATTTTACAGGACATAGGTTCTCTGTGATATCAGCCCCTTCATTATGCTATGAAGTCTCTGTTATAGTCTGTCCATTTGGTTGAAGTGGCCCATTTGTGTCACTGACAAGAATTCAGTTTGTATCAGGCCTGCTACTTTCAGCTGTTAAGAACTTCTAGCTGTTAAGAAGGTATCCCCTAAATTTTGGAGAGTGACATATTGTATTTTAGCTGGTTAGCATCTTTTACCCGGAAAAATATTTAGATTAACATTAAAAACTGTAAGAGAATCAAAACATAATGTTAATATTTTTGTAATAAGGCATCTGAATATGTTTATAAGATTTCATCTATTAGAATATTAGTCAACCTTATCAATAAATTGAAAATGTGTAATTGAGTAATTGATTTACACTTGAAATTTCTAAGTTGAAATAGCTTTGTTTGCAAATAATATTAGATCATTTTAGATAACTTAAAGTTCTTATTTATAAGCTTAATTTATTAAATGTACAGTGTAATTTTTAAATATTTAGGAAAAGTTTGTTCAATTAGACTATTGTAGTATTTAGAAGGAAATCAATTATTTGAAATTTATAAATGTTGTTTTATATATTTGAAGTTTTAAAATTAATTTTGTAAGTAGGATCAACTATGAATCAAAGCTCCTTCAAAGTGATTGTTAAAACTTTTTAGACTAACATGTATAGTTACATATAGAGATTGAATTTAAAAGCTTACGGAAGAAATAAATGTTTTGAGTTTTTAACTTTCAGAAGGCTGAGATGAGATGAATTTGTAATTTTAATAAGTTGAATATCAATTTTTAAATACCAAAGTAAACCCCTGAATAATCCTTTCTCTATCCAGGCACTCTCCTTGAAGACATAAACAAAAACACCTCCCCAGCCCACCTACACCTGCAAAGCCTCAAATGCAAAGTCATCAAAGAAATAGCAAAAAGCTTCTCAGGGCCACCAATAGGAAGGCAGACAAATTTAGGAAAGAACAGAGACAACCCATGTCCATTCTCTAAATTAGGACTCTAAGCTTTACAGTGTTAAGAGAAAAACAATCAAATGGAATATTTTGATCAGTAGTAGATTTCAACACTTTTGCACTTCATACATTGCTCTCTTTCTTTAGAAACATTTGGAAGAGTTTTACCATGCAAAGATCAAAACAGCAAAGCAACTCTTCATAGCAATTATGAAGTCAATGTATTTCACAATAGACCCTTTAGTGTGGGTTGTAAATGCTTCTCAGCATATTTCCTAATTTACTTATGCAAAGGAGGGCCCTCAACTTTGAAACTTCAGTCTTGAGGGCTAAATCAAGGTAGTGATCATGAAAAATTCAGAACAAAACTTTGTACATTTACATTAGAATGTAATTGCTATTTTATTATAATTGATTCATATCTATTTTGTAGATTCTGGAAACTTCTAACTGCACAATTTTTTTTTAATTAGCAAAATAAACAAATGCATTCAATGGAAAAACTATACAATATAATGAAAATATTGATATGAGTGTTTCTTCAGTTATAAACATTAATGTAGTTGCAGAATTATATATACCATCATATGCCAATTTTGTTCTTGAAATGGTGAAAAATCATACTTTACTTACATGTGCATTTTGGTTTTGTTTTTCTTTTTTTTTTAAATTGAGATGGAGTCTCTTTCTGTCGCCCAGGCTGGAGTGCAGTGGCGCAATCTTGACTCACTGCAAACTCGGTCTCCCAGGTTCAAGTGATTCTCCACCCTCAGCCTCCTGAGTAGCTGGGACTGCAGGCATGGTGGCGCCTGGCTAATTTTTGTATTTCTAGTAGAGACAGGGTTTCATCATGTTGGCCAGGCTGGTCTTAAACCCCTGACCTGAAGTGATCCGCCCACCTTGGCCTCCCAAAATGCTGGGATTATAGGGGTGAGCCACTGTGCTCCGCCTGGTTTCTTTTCTAGAATCGTGGCTGGCTCTTGGTCCTGCCCTAATGAGGGGTGGGGGCAGCTTGTGCATCTCGTGAGCAATACTGCTTCGCTACTGGCCCCCTCTGGCATTCAAAATCTTCATCACTAAAGGGAGGGCTGAAGGATGACCTTGGAAGAATGTGCTGGTACTCACAGGATACTGTTCAGGAGTTTATTATTCAGAATTAGTCTTGTTTGTGGTGAAAACAGTAGAAAAATAGCAATGACTCCATTCATGGCTATTTGAGCAGTCCCTATTAGGGCACTTAGGTGGTTTTGCTTCCTAGAGCAAAACTCCCTAACCCTGGATTAAGTACCAAACCTTCGTTTTCTATTTGTAAGTTGAGAGATGCGTCTCTTCCTCACAGGATTGTGTGAGAGGATTCCATGATAGGGAACTGGGCACAGTATCTGACCCATGGCACAGCACTCAGTACGTGGCAATGAAGAGCCATCAGTGCTCATTAATAACCCCAAACCACATCCTGGCTTAGCAACACCGTGAGCTGATCCAAGCCTCCTGTTAGCAAATTCAAGGCTCTTCATTCTAGAAGTCATCTCCCACTTAGTGCTGTCACACCTCCCCCAACTTCTCTTTAGATGTGATGCCCAGTATCTTAGGGCTCCTTCCTTCCCTTGCTCCTCCTGCCTCCAACAAAATCTGTTTTTAAGAGATTATCTAATAACCTCTTGGTCTAAGTCATTATTTCTTTTTATCTTATTTTTCCAGGGTTGTTGAGGTATAATTGACAAATAAAAGTTGTGTATATTTAAGGTACACAGCCTGATGCTTTGATATACTTATACATTGTGGAATATCACTTTAATCAAGTTAATTAACATATCTGTTGCCTCATGTAGTTGCGTGTGTGTATGTGTGTGTGAGTGTGAACACCAAAGACCATCTTAGCAAATTTCAAGGATTCATACAGATTTGGAAACTCTAGTCACCATGTTATAAGTAAGATCTTAGAATTTATTCATCTTACGAAACCGAAACCTTGTACTCCTTGACTAACATGTCCCTTTAAAAGGGTCACATGGCTTTAGACCAAAAAAGTAGAGCTTAAATTCTATATTTCAGGCTATAGGAAGAGGGTAGCAGAGGCATCTAAGGGTTGAAACACTTGTTTGAACTCTGGAAATTATACCTTTCATATTCACCTTCTCCATGTACTTGTAAAACTGGTCTCACTAGGCTGAGTGGTTTCTGGCACCCTCTTTCCCCTAAAATCTGTTTCAGAGGTTAGAGTGACCTCTTAAGGAATGAGTTACTCAGGAATTTCAAATCTGTCAGAAGATATAATTGAAAAATTTTTGGGCATGAGTGGGGTGTGGAGTACTTACCAAATAAGATCCTAGTTTTAAATTTGAGCACACAGACTTTAAAACTTTAGAAAGTAAAAATGTGCTTGACTTTGTGGGTGTGTGGTGTGAACATGTGTGGATAAGCGTGTGTGACTGTGTGTGTGAGTGGTAAGTATCAGTGTTTAGGGTCTGTGGTTGCATGTACATGTGTGTACAAACGTGTGTGTGGTGAGTATGAGTGTGTGTGATGTGTGGTGTGTGTGGTATATATATGTGTGTGACTGTGTGTGTTGTGTGTATGTAGTATGTATGACTACATGTATGGTGTGCATATGTGATGTGTGTGGCTGCATGTGTGTGTGTGTGGCAGGTTTTGACCTCTGCTGAAACAGCAGTTCAGGTGATGGAAGCTTCCTGTTCAACCACAAAACAGATTGTTTTCCTCCAAATTATCCGGACATCGTGGAGCGCCGAGCCAGGATCACTATCTCTGCCGTGGAGAGGGAGTTTATTCCAAATAAACATTGTAAGGTTGACAGATTCCTAAGATGAACTTTAGCTTGAGTTTCTATTTACTATAAGTTCCTAAGAAAACTTTGAGAGTATAATTTGTGCTCAAATGCTTCAGTCAGAGTGAATTGTAGGATGGAGGGGATAACTTGAGTGTTTAATCTGTGCAAATGCTGTTTCATATTTTTTTTAAGACTATTTTTTGAGAAGTGGCTCTGGCTGTGTCAGTAGCATTTCCTTCCCCCGCCAAAGGCCACTTGCTCCTTTTTTCTTTGGTGTCCTTTCTGAGCCATGTCCTATCATTCCAGGTATCGCTAATTCAGCACATACATGCCATGATCCCATGTCCTTCGGCTGTGCCCTGCCAGGTGGAGTATGTTGCACTGTCTAACGCTAAGAAAATGGGGAGCTCTGGAGCCAGCAGAGGGAGCTTTCTGTCCAAATTGGAACTGCCTTCAAATTTGCAGCACAGATTCACACTCTTTTTAAAACTTTAGAAGGAACTTTCAGGTAGCCTGGCTTTGTGCATCAAGTAGCATGTATAATTCCACATCTGAGGCATCTATTCAATGCTTCTCGTGAGTGCCTTCCATGCATTAGTTTGCCACTGAGGGAGAGTGCCTGCAACTCTCCTGCACATTGCTTTCAGGTTAATCTTCCCTCTCCACGGTGGAGATAGTGATCCTGACTCAGGGCTCCACGATGTCCGAGGAATTTGGAGGAAAACAATCTGTTTTGTGGTTGAACAGGAGGCTTCTATTACCTGAACTGCTGTTTCAGCAGAGGTAAAAATGCACCCCCCCACACACACAGTCACACACACAACATACACCATACATGCAGTCATACATACTACATACATAACACACACACACATATATGTATCACACACACCACACATCACACACACTCATACTCACCACCCACACTGAATCTTGTTTCACTGCCCTGGCCTCAGCATAAAACTAGAGTGTGAGACTGGACTCTACATGAACTTTCTTGTTCTTTGTTCCTTCATTTATAAAATGAGGCCACTACAACCATGTGGTAGAATAAACAATGACCTCAGCAATATAATATAACTCAGTGCTAAAGCCAAAACCAGGATCAGAGAATAACAGCATCTCAAACCTGGAGAGACCAGGGTAGCAGAGCACTTGATCCAAGCCCCCATCTGAGGAGGCAGAAATCTTCCAGGACGGGAGGGTGTTTTCATATGGCAGGAGTCCCAGGACTTACGGCTATAGCCTCTTGTCCAATGTATTGGGTTTCTGCAGCCTTGTGTGTGTGACTTTGAAGAGCCACATGTTTTAACTCCAGGGAAATGAAAAGTGAGCTATCTGATGTAGCTTATACATGAACCCACATCCTTCCATGAAACAATACCATTCCAAATAGAAGCAGCAATAGTCAGCCTCATTCTGATTCTATTTCTTCTATAGAATTCGTGTTTTGTGTGATCATTCATTCAGCAAATCTTTTTTGAGCTCTTCTTGTGTGTCAATTATTGTGTTGCCTAGTGCGGCTGTAGCCACACTGCAAGCACTGCCTCTGACAGCTTATGAAGAGTGCTACGCTGAATGCAGCTAGTTTGGCCATCTTCTATGTTCACCTCCTTCCATTTCCTGGCTCTAGTGTTCTGAATCTACACACTGAACTTTGATGCCTACAGAGTCACTGTTTCACTTGTTTTTGGTGGTACCAGACATGCAATTTACCAAATAGTCCCAGCTTCCTGCCTTGCAGGCCAGTGGGAAGTTTGCATTTCCTGGCCCATTGTGGTGGAGTAGAACCACGTTACTAGTTCTGGCCAGGACCTGTGAGTGTGATGTGTTTCACTTCTAGGTCGGAGCATCTCTACCTAGCTCCGTATCCCTCAGACAAGGAGCTCCAGAGAAGGGCTGGTGCTGCTCCCCAGCCTGGCTCCCTAAGGGACTGTAGGAACACAGCCTTTTGCTGACTCCCAAAAGCCACATGCCAGGTATAAGAAATCAACCATTGGGTTGTTTTTTTTTGTGTTTGTTTGTTTTCTTTTTTTCTTTTCTTTTTTTTTGTTTTTACAAGGAGCCTATCCCAACTGATTACCTTCATATAGAACATAGCAATTGGGTTCCTGCTTTATTTGGGCTAATCACTAGCATATATTCATTTATTGATTGATTCATTCATTTAACAAATAGGCCTCCAGTTCCTCCTGTGTGTCAGGAACAATTCCGGGGATTCAGCTGTGAACACGAGTCAACGATCTTCCCCATGTCAAGCTTATCTTCCAGTGGAGAAGAAGAGGAGTGATCACACTTAATAGGAAAAACAAGCAGGAAATAAAAGCAAAAACACAAATCCAGGTGGGCTTTGTCATTGCTGAGACTACTCCTGATAAATCCTGACATTTCAGGGTACTGTGCAGGAGACTTACAGACACCAGAAACCCGAAGGCAGCATTCACCTGGATAATGCTAGAAGGAAACATAAAAGGTCAGAGAAGGCCCCGACCATATGTACATCTTACGGACCACTGATGATGCTTCAAGATTGCTGGTCAGGTGAAGGAAACACCATGACCACCCCAAATCAATCACATAGAATTCCATGACTGAGGAAATTCTCTCCATTCTTTGCCTCCTCCAACACCTGCTCTCACTCAGCTCAATCTAGCCTCTTCTTTTGCCACATGAATGGGGTCAGGAGTTAGCAGGAAATAGAACGATGGGAGTAGGAGAGAATGTCTGTGAGAAAAATATAATGGTCCTCTTCCCCTTAATACTCCAGGCACAAAGGGGAGACTCAAGCTCATGGACAGTGAGAATAATTTAGCAGCATCTTCAAGCTGAATCCCAGTACTCTGCTTTCTAGTTTATGTGGTCTTGGAGGTGACTCGATTTATTCCTTTAAAATGAGAATAATACCTGTCTTACAGCATCACTGTGAAGGGGAAGGCAAGCTGAAGAGTACCACATAAGAAGGACTCACTGGCAGCCATTATTTTATGAAGGTAGAATTTTTTTTCCAAGTGCGTTAGCATCTGTTGTCCATTTGCTTTTTTAAAAATGATTGTAGAGATGGGGTCTCACTATATTGCCCAGGCTGGTCTCAAACTCCTGGGCTCAAGCTATTCTCCAGCCTCGGTCTCCTGAAGTGTTGAGATTACAGGCATGAGCCACCATGTCCGGGAGTTGTCTACCTTCCTACAACACTCCTGAAGAGGATGGCTAGAGAGGAACTCATGTTGTTGTAATCCCCCACAATGAGAAAGCTGCACACTGGTATACAAAATATTACCTCTTTGTTGTTAGGCCACTATGGTTACTTCTTGAGAAATCTGCTTTCTACTGAACATCAATTTATATTTCAAATAAATGAACATCTATAAAAATAGACGTCTGATTGAATATAAACGGGTGAGTTTTTAAATACCTGGATCATGGGGATTCTAAATGCTAAATTCTCGGTGTATTCGGAACTCATGAATTAAGAAATCCTTCCAGTGGTGCTTATTAGTTGGTATTTTAGGAAAGTAAACATTGAGTAGAAGTATTTAGAAATATTCCATCTGTACACCGGGGCCTGTTGTGGGGTGGGGGGAGCGGGGAGGGGGGAGGGGTAGCATTAGGCGATATACCTAATGTAAATGACGAGTTAATGGGTGCAGCACACCAACATGGAACATGTATACATATGTAACAAACCTGCACGTTGTGCACATGTACCCTAGAACTTAAAGTATAAAAAAAAAAAAAAGAAATATTCCATCTGTGTTTGTGAACTCCTAAGGACTGACCTAAGCCTGGAAATTGTGAACTTTTGAATGTTCATCTGTGCTGGCTTCTGCGAGGTCTGTGAACTTCCCTTACTCAATATTCCAGACTAGCTCTTAACTTATTCTGCATGGGAGATACTCCGGAATTCAAATCCTTAAGCAAGCATCCATTTGATTAGAGTTTATGGTAGTTTTATGCGTGAAAAAATCCCTGACCATTTGCTCTTTCTTTTAGGGAGCTGGTTAAAGAATGATGGCAACCTTGGAATATTATGCTATAGAAGACCTACTGCTTTCTAGAAAATGCTTTCCTGTTGTACATATGCCATAACCCCATATGTGGGTGTTGGCACTTGGTGTTTTAGATGATGAATAATAAAACATACTACATCAAGTCAATGCTCACTTCCGTCACTCTAATGGAGTGTTGGGCATTATTGTGATAATATCCTTAAAATAACTGAGTAAAAAACAAAAAAATCTTCCAACCACAGCCAGTTAACTTCCCTATATAAAAAATGTAGGTTCTTTTTTTATTAGGCTACAAAACTATTTCAAGCAAATGGAAACCAAATGTGTACCAAAAAAGAGCCCATGTGTATTTTCAAACTGTTGTACCTCAATGGTTCATGCCTTTGGGCTCTAGAGCAAAGAGCAGCCAAGTCTCCCTCCTCTCTTTGTGCCTTTAGGAGGGAATAAAATACATACCTGTTGAGAACATGTTTGCATGATTGTATTAAGCAAGTGACATATTAAAATAGTCCCAAATGTTTTGAATAGAACCATTTTAATATTAGCTTAAAAACTACCAAAATAGTAAATACATGATCGTTAAGCTCCAAATACTCTGCTTATTGGAAGAGAGCATTTAAAAAAAAAATAGAGAGGTTAATCGTATTTTTAAGAGTCCTGAGATGTGGACTTCTCTGATTTCTTGATGTCTGATGAGCAAAGACCTGTGAGTCTCCTAATCACTAATGCCAATGGAATTTAATGCTCTAAAATTAAAATTTCCCTTTTAAGTCAATAGGTACTCCTCTTATACCAAGAAGTTCTGAGGGGTAAGAAATGTATGAGAATATGACCAGGACAGACAATAATCAAGGAAAAGGAATAGATCCCACATAGGCACACACACATCAAAGCCCACACTCACATATACATATCCACGAGCACAGACACTCAACTTGTAAGCTTCAGTTCGTATCATGTCAAACATCAGAGAGGTTTAAATTTTTATTTTCAAGCCAGTGCCCAGGGATGGGCATCTCCAGGGAGCTGAGGATTAGCACAAGGCAGCCCTGCCAGCCATGCCTACATCCCCACAGGCACAGGACAAGCCAAAGCCTTTGTTGTATGTTGGCAATGCACTTTTATGAATGTAATTTCTATTGCTGTTTTTAGCCTTTTCACATCATGTAATGTGAGGCCTTATACTTGTTAAAAAATTTATTTTCAAAATTGAGAAAAATGGTATTCAATGGCCAATGTTTTGAAGAAAGTTTCTTGAATTTCCTTGTATGTTACTCCTTGAGTCCTTCCTGCTCTCGGAATTCATATAATGCTATGTTCTTGGCAAGCTGGGCTACTGTAGCAAACACAGTGTAATCAATAAATGAAAAATTAAATGCCCTATTATGGGCAAAGCAGGCCTGGCCATAATCCAGCGTAAGCCTTTCCTGTCCTCTATATTTATTAGACTTCGCGTTGCCCTTGTTCACGTTCGCCTTAATAAAAGCTAAAAGAGGTGCCAAAGAATAGATTTGTTGAATACTTGATGCCTGTTTTTCTCGCCATTAAAGCATCAGCTCTGATTAGGAGAAGCACTATATCCTGTGGGAACCAGAGCCGGTGGTGGCATTTGGTGGGGGATTTCAAATGCACAGATGTGATCTTTGGACAATGGAAAATCAAATGAGCTGAAGTTGGACGAAACCAGATGTAGAGCCTCCAAGTTCAACCAAATACATTGTAAAGAGGCAGTTGTGCTGCTGGGGTAAAGTGATCCAAAAGTTAGACATTTGATGGTGAGTTAAATAGGTCTTGCCCAGCCCACACAATGCATCATCTTGAGGTTCACATCTCTATCTCCCCAAGACGAAGAAATCATCTCAGCACAAGTGTTTTAATGGGATGTAAAAAGGATGATCATCTGTCAGAGCCTTAGAGATGCAGCATCTGAATGGGCTCAGGTTTTGGAGGGTGCTCACACCAAAGGCTCATGCACTCTCCACTTGTCATTTCCCTTAGAGGTATGCAATTTGACGGAAAAGATTGATACTAACCTCCAACTTTTAAACCAGAAAGACAGTGTTTTCCTAGTGGAGTCCAAACCCCTTTGTTTGTATAAATGTTCTGGGGAACCAACTTTGCTTTAAGGGGATCACTTATTAAGCCTAGGATTGGAACAAACATTTTGAGGAATCTGTCAGCCAGTGCCTTATGAACTGCTCCCTGCTCCATTGTAGAGTACAGCTGTCTCGAGAACCAGCTCTGAGGTTCCAGCACGAATTGTCTCACTTGACATGAACTGTAAAACCATTGGCACCACCTTACCTTTTCTATCATAATGCCTATGAATAAAACCCCATAATCCTCTGTTTGTTCTGCCTGCATGTGTCTTTTTTAGTTTAACTTCCTTTCATGATATGTTAAAAATCACATTGACGGTGGGTGCCAAAAGCATTTAATTCCAACTGTGGAAAATGAATTCAAGGTAGCTTCTGCTCATGGGTGGCTCCTTCCCCTCCAGAACAGCCTTATCCCTGAGTTGGCATCCACCATGAGCCTGAAAATCAATCGCTCTTTGGATTTGCAGCCCAAGGGAAGTGAATAAATGCCTGAGTAATTGAAGGGAGGGTGATTATGAGTAAATCACAATATAACTCTTTCTTGAAACTGATGTGTTGATTTTAAATTGTGATCTAAGATGTTCAGAATGAGGAGGCTTTGGGATTCTTCAAGAAGAGGTCTCTGCTAGAGAAGAATGAAAAGGTTAAAGCTGAAGGGGCTTAATGAATGTGGGATTGAATTCTTATTAATCAGGAAGCTCAGAGGGGTGGGGGCAAGGAGTGAGGACAGTGTTCCTGTGAACACTCAGGGAAATAAAAATCACAAGTGAGTTGAACAAGTCAACAGAATGTGAGGAAAGAAAGTAAGGTGGGCTTTTCCCTTTGTTTATTTCTGATCCGGGAAAGGAGCTGATCCACGACAAAGAAGGGGCAAGGGAAAAGGTACTTTAAGACCTTGTTTGAGTTCAGCCATTTATTGACCGAGATGATCAGTAACATAAAGACATTCACATGCATTATAACTGTATGCTTCAGAGAAGGCTCTGAACTAGCTTAGTGTTAAAAATTAATTAAGGCAATGCAAACACATTGTTTAATAGAAGTGTACGGAAGAGTTTATGATGAAAAGGACCTGCCTTCTTTCTCACATTTCTCCTTCCCAAGGCCTGTCTTCAGAGACAACCACTTTTGATCCCCATTATTTGGGAACTGCTCATATTTCTAAATAATGTGATTTTATACTGATAATTAGACTGATAAAATGAGCTTATACTAATCTTTCTTATCAGCTTTTGACATTGTGTAATTGCTTTCCAGTTACTTGCGTGTAGATGAAATTTTAACTTTCTCACACCTCTTCTCTCCCAAAGTGTCTTTGTTTGTTTATCCTTTAGTATGCATTTTGTTTATTTTCTTTAATTAAAGGTTTTATTTTGAGATAATTGTAGATTTACATGCAATTGTAGCAAATAATGCAGAAAGAGCTCATGTACCCTTTACTCAGCGTTCCCCATCTTGCACCAGTAATAGTCCAATATCATCACCAAGATATCAATATTGATATAGTCAAGACACAGAACACTACATTGCCACAAAGATCCCTTGTCTTACCCTTTCATAGCTACCCTGCTTCCTTCTCATTCTCAGCCTCTTTTTAACCCTGGCAATCACATTCTATTCTCCATTTTTATACTTTTGTAATTTCAATAATAATATTAGCATTATTATTTGAGACAAGGTCCCACTGGACACCAATTGCACAGGTTGGATTCCAGTGGCACAATCCTGGGCTCAAGAGATCCTACCACCTCAGCCTCCTGAGTAGCTGGGACTACAGGTGCATGCCAGCACACCTGGCTACTTTTTCTATTTTTTGTGGAGACAGGGGCTCACTTTATTGCCTAGGCTGTCTTGAACTATTGGCCTCAAGTGATCCTCTGGCCTCAGCCTCCGAAGTGTGGGATTACAAGCATAGGCCACTGTACCTGGCCTAATAATATTATATAAATTAAGTTATACAGTACAGAACTTTTTGGAATTGCTTGTTTTCCTTCAGCACAATTTGCTGGAGATTCATTCAGGCTTTTGCATATTATCAATATTTTGCCACTTTTATCGCTGAGTAGTATTCCAACGTATGGCTTTACCACAGTGTGTTTATTGATTCACCCATTGGAGGACATCTGGATAGTTTTCAGTTTTTGGCAATTAGGAATAATGCTGCTATAAACATTCATGCCTAGGTTTTTGTGTGAATCTAAGTTTTCATTTCTCTGGGATAAATAAATGGAGTGCAATTGATGTTTTTTATGGCAGTTGCATGTTTAGGTTTTTAAGAAACTGCTCAACTGTTTTCCAGGGTGGCTGTACCATTTTACATTATTGTCAGCAATATTTGAGTGATCTTGTTTCTCCACATCCTCACTAGCATTAATTTTGTATTTGTGGCCGGGCGCAGTAGCTCACGCCTGTAATCCCAGCACTTTGGGAGGCCGAGACGGGCGGATCACGAGGTCAGGAGATAGAGACCATCCTGGCTAACACGGTGAAACCCCATTTCTACTAAAAAATACAAAAAAATTAGCTGGGTGAGGTGGTGGATGCCTGTAGTCCCAGCTACTTGGGAGGCTGAGGCAGGAGAATGGTGTGAACCCAGGAGGTGGAGCTTGCCATGAGTCGAGATCGCACCACTGCACTCCAGCCTGGGCAACAGAGGGAGACTGTCAAAAAAAAAAATTTTGTATTTGTGTTGTGGTGTCTGGCTTATTTCACTTAGCATAGCGTCCTCCAAGTTCATCTGTGTTGTTGGCAAATATATTTCAGCCTTCTTTTAAAGGCATGTGTATGTGTATGTGTATGTGTATGTGTATGTGTATGTGTATGTGTATGTGTATATGTATATGTGGGGAGAGAGAGAGAGAGAGAGAGACAGGGTCTCACTCTGTTGCTCAGGCTGGAGTGCAGTGGTGCCATCATGGCTCACTGTAGCCTTGACCTACCAGGCTCAAATGATTCACCTCAGCCTCCTGAGCAGCTGGGGCTACAGGCATGTGGCACCACACTCGCCTAATTTTTGTATTTTTAGTAGAGATGGGGTTTCATCATGTTTTTCAGGCTGGTCTTGAACTCACATGATCCACCCATGTCAGCTTCCCAAAGTGCTGGGATTACAGGCATAAGCCACCATGCCTAGCCTTGAATAATATTTCATTGGATTTATATATCATGTTTTCTTTATTTGTCATCTATCAATGGAAATTTAGTTTGATTTCATATCTTGGCTATTGTGTAGAATGCAAAAATGAACAATGGCAGTGTAGATATCTCTTTGAGGTACTGATTTCATTTCCTTTGAATGGGATTGATGGGTTCTTTGTGAGGAATCTCCATATTGTTTTCTATAATGGCTGCCGGCACCAGTTTACGTTCCCACAAACGGTATACAAGTTTCCTTTTCTCCATATCCTCGCCAACACTTACCTTTCTTCTTTCTGATAGTAGCCATCCAAATGGGTGTAAGGTGAGGTGATATCTCATTGTGCTTTTGATTTGCACTGCCTGATGATTAGTGAAGTTAAGTTGGCCATTTTTATGTCTTCTTTTGAGTAATATCCATTCAGGACTTTTAACCATGATTAAATTGGGTTATTTATTTTTTTGCTGTTGACTTGCACGAATTCCTTATATGGTTGCCTTATTATTTCCAAAAGATTATTTCCTTTGCCATGCAGAAGCTTTTTAGTTTGATGCCATTTCATTAGCCTATTTTTGATTTTGTTGCCTGCACTGTTTGTGTTATATCCAAAAAATTATTGCCAAGACCATTGTCAAAAAGCTTTCCCCCTATGATTCTTCTAGTAGTTTTATGTCTTACATGTTAGACATAAAACTAAGATGTTTTAATCCATTTAAGTAATTAAGTCTTTCATCCATTTTGAGTTGATATTTGTATATGGTGTGAGATAAGGACCTAATTTTGTTCTCCTGCATGTGCATATCATATTTTCCCAGCATTATTTATTGAAGAGATCCCCACTTTGTGTTCTTGGCACCCTTGTCAAAGATGTGTGGATTTATTTCTGGCCTTTTGATTCCATTCTCTGTTGATATGTCTATTTTTATACCAGTACCACACAGTTTTAATTACTGTAGCTTTTAAATATGTTTTAAAGTAGGGATTTTTTTTTTTTATGCTTCCAGCTTTATTTTTCTCATGCAAGTTTGCTTTGGCTATTCTGGGTCTCTTGAGGTTCCATATGAATTTTAGGATTGTTTTTCTATTTCTGTAAAGAATGCCATTGGGATTTTGGTAGGCATTTTATTGAATCTGTAAATTGCTTTGAATAGTATGGACATTTAAAATTCTTTAATTCTTCTGTTCCATGAATATGAAATGTCTCTCCATCTATCTGTGTTTTTTAAAATGTCTTTCATCAGCGTTTTATAATTTTCAGTGTATAAGTCTTTCCAATTTTTGTTGTTTATTCTTATATATTTTCTTCTTCTTATTATTATGTGAATAGGATTGTTTTCCTAATTCGTTTTTGGATAGTTTATTGTTTGTGTATAGAAAAGCATCTGATTTTTGTATGTTGATTTTGTATCTGACTTTACTGAACTTATTTATTAGCTCTAGTATTCTTTAAATTGAGTATTTAGGGTTTTCTATATATGTAGTCTGAAGAGGAAGAAAATTTTACATCTTTTCAGCTTTGGATGCCTTTTCTTTTCTTTTCTAATTGTTCTGGCTGAGACTCCCAGTACTATGTTGAAACAAAGTGGTAAAAGTGAATATTCTTGCCTTTAACCAGATTTTAGAGAAAATAATTTTAGTTTCCTCCCATTGATTATGATGCTAGCTGTGGCTTTTCATATCACTTTATTGTGCTGGAGTAAGTTCCTTCTATACCTATTTTGTTGAGAGTTTTATGTATAAATATATCTTACATTTCATCAAATGCTATTTCTGGGTCTATTGGGATAAGTATACTTTTTTCTTTCATTTTGTTACTGTGTTGTATCATATTGATTGATTTGCATAAGTTAAACCATTCTTGTATCCCAGGGATAAATTCCACTTAGTTATGATATATGATACTTTTAATTGCTGCTTAATTTGGTTTCCTAGTATTTTATCGAGAATTTTTTGTATCTATGTTCATTTGAGATATTGACCTGTTGTTTTCCTTTTCTCTAATGTCTTTGGTTTTGGTGTCAGGGTGATGCTAATCTCATTGAATCAGTTTGGAAGTGTTCTCTCATCTATTTTTTGGAAGAGTTTCAGAAGGATTGTTATTAATTCTTCTTTGAATGTTTGTTAGAATTCATCCGTGAAGCCATCACATCCTAGACTTTTCTTTGTTGGAAGGTTTTTGATTACTGATTCAATTTCCTTACTTGTTATTGGTTTGTTCAGGCTTTCTGCTTCTTCTTGATTAAGTTTGAGTAGATTGTATGTGTCTAGGAATTTATTCATTTCTTCTAAGTTATCCAGTTTGTTGGGCATAGAACTGTTCATAATAGTTCCTTATGATCCTTTCTACTTCTGAGACATCTATTGAAATGTTTCCTGATTTTATTTGAGTCTTCTGTGTTTTCTTAGACTAAGTGTTTGATTAATTTTATCTTTCAAAAAAACCTAATTCTTGTTGATTTTTTAAAATATATTTTTAAAAAATTTCTCATTTGATTTATTTTTGCTCTTTTGCTAACTTTGGGTTTAGTTAGTTCTTTTTCTAATTCCTTTGTACAATGTTAGGTTGTGAAGAGGTAAAGAGCTTTCTTCTTTCTAAATATAAGTATTTATTGCTATAAACTTGCCTTTTAGTGCTACTTTTTTGCCATCTTTAGGATTTAGTATGTTGTGTTTTCATTTTCATTTGTCTCAAGATACTTTTAAATTTTTCTTTTGATTTCTCTTTTGACCCAATGGGATGTTCAGTAGAGTGTTGTTTAGTTTCTACATATATGTGAATTTTCTTGGTGTTATTGATTTCTGGTTTTATTTCATTGTGGTCAGAAAAGGTACATCAAATAATCTTGATTTTTCTTAAGTGGAAGATTTTTTTGTGTGTGGCCTGATATGTGACCTATTCTGAGGAATATTGTGTATGCACTTGAAAAGAATGTAAGCATACTTTGGCTCTTAGGTTGAAAGTTTTGTATATGCCTGTTAGGCCCATTTGGTCTATTGTTTTGTCCAGGTACCTGCTTACTGACTTCCTGTTTGGTTGTTCTATCCATTATTGTAATTGGGCATTGAAGTTCCCTACTATTATTATATTTCTGTCAATTTCTGTCTTTAGTTCTGATACATTTTCTCTTAATATTTAGGTGCTCTATTACTGGGTGCATGTATATTTAAATTGTTATATATTTATGTTGAATCAACTATTTTATTATTATATAATGACCTAATTTGTCTTTAGAGACATTTATGGCCTTATTTTACACTTATATTTTATCTAAGTGTAGCCACTCTTGCTTTCTTTTGGTTACCATTTGCGTAAAATATTTTTTCCCATCTCTTTACTTTCAGCCTATGTGTCCCTCTAAAGTGAGTCTCTTATAAAAAACATATCACTGGATCATGCTTTTTAAAAAATCCATTCATCCACTCAATGACTTTTGACTGGTGAAATTAATCTATTTGCGTTTAAAATAAATACTGATAAATGAAAAACTATTATTGCCTTTGTGTTGTTTTCTATTTTGCAGTTGTTTTTCCCTTTTGTCTTGTCTTGATGTCTTTGTTGTTTAATAATTTTTTTGTAGTGATTTGCTTTATTTTCTCTTTATATTTTGTACTATAAGTTTTTTATTTGTTGTTAGCTTCAGGTTTGCATAAACTATCTTGTAGTTATACTCTTCTATTTTAAGTTGATAACTGCTTAACTGCAATTTCATAAAAAAAAAACTACACTTTTACTTCCCCAACATACTTTGTGTTTTTGTAGTCAGAATTTGCTTTCTACATTGTGTGTTCATTAACATCTTTTTATGCTTTAACTTTTATATTAGGGTCAAAAGTAAATTCTGTACCACCATTACACTGTAACATTAATCTGTGTATGTCTACATATTTACCTTCACCAGTGAGATTTATGCTTTCATATGCTTTTGCACTAATGTTTAACATTTTTGTTTCAATTTGAAGTACTTCTTTCAGCATTTTTTAAGCTACCTTGTGTGGTTGATACTGATAGCCTCTGTCTGCCTTCTTTGTTCCTAGCCATTTTCAGGTATCTTGCTATGAAAATCTCCTCAGCTACCCAGGTGGGATGAAACAAAGTGGGTCTTTAGGGCATTGTCCTGAAATACTGGGGAAGTTGGGAGCAGAATTCATTTCCATTGGTGCTGAGTTCTTCTGGCCTGAGAATGGAATGAGCAAGGCAACATAAACCTGTTCTTCCTACCCTTTCTGCATGCTTCTTCCTTCTCCTTCTCCTTCTTTTTCTTCCTCTTTTTCTTCTCCTTCTTCCTTCTTCTCCTTCTCCTCATCCTCTTCTTCCTCCTCCTCCTCCTCTTCCTCTTCCTCCTTTTTCTTCTTCTGCCTTCTCCTCCTTCCTTCTCCTTCTTCCTCTTCCTCTTCTTCTTCCTTCTTCTTTCTGTGCTCCACCTTGTTGCTATACTTCTTAACTGGACTTCTGAGCCCTCCCAGAGCTATTTTCATTAGTGTACAGCTGTCTAATGTTTTTGTGTTTAGTGGGACAAAGACTTGGATCTTCTACTCTGCCATTTTGCTGATATCTAGGATCTATAATTTTATATTTTAGACATGTCTTTGATCTGTTTTGAAATAATTTTTGTAGAAGTTTCAGGGTTTATGTCGAGGTTCTTTTTCTTTTTGTCCTGTGGATGTCAAATTGCTCCAGCACCATTTGTTGAAATGGATATCTTTTCTCTATTAAATAGTTTTTGCACCTTCTGTTTCTCTCTTCTAGTTCATTGGCCTATGTTCTAGTCCATTAATCTATGTTTCTACCTGTCTGCCAATAGTCTTGATTATTGTAACTACATAGTGCCTTGATATTGGGGAGACTGATTTCTCCCACTTGATTCTTTTTTTCCTCAAAATTATTTTAGCTATTCCAGTTTCTTTGCCTTTCCATATACATTTTAGGATACTGTTGTTTATATCTACAAAAATCTTGATTTTGAGATAAATTGCATTAAAGCTGTATATTAATTTGAGGTGTTTTATTCCAATCATAAATATATGTTTCTTTAATTATTCAGAGCTTTGATTTCTTTCATTAGCATTGTATAGTCTTTGGCAAGTCCTGTACATATTTTGTCAGATTTATCTGAGTATTTTATTTTGAGTGATTATATATTGTATTAGGTTTTTAATTTTGTTGTCCATATTTATCACTAGCATACAGAAATACAATAGATTTTTACATGTTTATATTTTATTCTGTAATCTTGATGATGCACTATTTTTAGGAGATTTTTGGAGACAATCATGTCATTTGCAAATAGGGACATTTTTACTTCATTCTTTCTAATCTATATGTCTTTTATGTAGTATTCTTGCTTTATTGCACTGGCTAGAATTCCAGAAATAAGTTGAATGAGAGAACTGAGAGCAGAAATTCTTAAGGAGAAAGCATTCAATCTTTTGCCATTAAGTACAATGTTAACTGTAGGTTTATTGTAGATGGTCATTATCAAGTTGACAGGTTTCCTATTTCTATTTTTTAAGTTTTTTTAAAAATCATGAGTAGATGTTGAGTTTTGTCAATCTCTTTCTATATTGATTGATGTAATCCTGTGATTTTTCTCCTTTTGTCCTATTTTTAATTTTTAAATTATAAATTGACAATTTATAATTGTATACGTTTATGGGGCACAAAGTGATTTTATGATTTATGAATACAATGTGGAATAACTAAATCAAATTAGTTAACATATTCATCACCCCATATACTTAACACTTCTCGTGGTGAGAACATTTCAAGTTTACCCTCTTAGCAATTTTGAGTTGTGTAATACTCTATGCTCTATTTTGAGCAATAGCGATCAAAGAAGTCGTATTCCTTCTGTCGAAGACTTTTTACGTTTTGGCCATCATCTCCCCACAACCCCCAGCCTCTGTAACCACTATTCTATTCTCTGCTACTATGGGTTCAATTCTTTTGGATTCCACATATAAGTGAGAATATTCAGTATTTGTCTTTCTCTGGCTTATTTTACTTAGCATAATGTTCTTCAATTCCATGCATGTCGTTGCAAATGACAGAATTTCCTTCTTTCTTCCAGTCTGAATAGTATTTTATGGTGTATATATACCACATTTTGTTTACCTATTTATCTGCTCACGGACACTTAGTTGATTCTATAACTTGGCTATCATATTAATGCTGTAATAAACACAGGAATGCAGAGATATCTTTAACAATTGATTTCAGATCTTTTGGTTAAATACTCAGAAGTGAGATTGCTGGATCATATGGTAATTTCATTTTTAGTTTCTTGATGAACTTTCATACAGTTTTCCATAGTGGTTGTACTAATCTACATTTCCACTAGCAGTATATAAGGTTCCCTTTTCTCCACAGCTTCACCAATACTGGTTATTTTTTGTCTTTTTGATAATAGGCATTGTGACAGAGGTGAGATGATATCTTATGGTTTTAATTTGCATTTCCCTTGTGTTTTGTTGCTATTGAGTTGTATGGGCTCCTTATATATACTGGATATTAACTCCTTATTGGATGTACGGCTTGCAAATGTTTTTCTCCCATTCCATAAGTTATCTCTGCTTTCTGTTAATTATTTCTTTTGGTGTGCAGAGGCTTTTTAGTTTGATATAATCCCATTAGTCTATTTTTGCTTTTACTGCCTGTGCTTTTGGGATCAAATTTAAAAAAAATCATTGTTCAGACCAACATCATATAGTTTCTCACCATGTTTTCTCCTAATAGTTTTACAGTTTTGGTTTTAATATTTACATCATTAATCCATTTTGAATTGATATTTTAATATCGTGTCAGATAAGGGCCTACTTTCATTCTTCTGCATGTGGATATCTGGTTTCCCCAACACCATTTATTGAAGAACCTATCCTTTTCTCATTGTATATTCTTGGCACCTTTTTGGAAATAAATTGACCAAACATGCATAGGTTTATGTTGGGGCTTCCTATTTTGTTCCATTTGTTGATGTGTCTGTTTTTTTTTTTTACCAGTATCATGCTGTTTTAATTACTATAGCTTTGTAATATAATTTGAAATCAGGTAATGTGATATTTCCACCTTGTTCTTTTTGCTCATAATTGACTTGGCTATTAGGGATTTTTTTTGTAGTTCCATATGAATTTTAGGGTTTTTTTTTCTATTTCTATGAAAAAAGGCATTGGAAGTTTGATAGAGACTGCATTAAATGTGTACATCACTTTGGGCAGTATGGACATTTTAACAATATTCTTACAGTCTGTGGATATAGAATATCTTTTCACTTATTTGTATCTTCTTCAATTTATTTCACCAATGTTTTATGGTTTTCAGTGTGCAGATCTTTCACCTCCTTGGTTAAATTTATTCCTAAGTGTCTTACTATTTTCATAACTATTGTAGATAGGATTGTTCTCTCAATGTCTTTTTGGGATCGTTTATTTCCAATATACTGATTTCTGTGTTTTGATTTTGTATCCTATAACTTCACAGTATTTTAAAAAATTAATTCTAACAGTTTTTGGGTAAATTCTATTTTCTCTACATAAAATCATGTCATCAGCAAACAGTGATAATTTTACTTCTTCCTTTCCTATTTGAATGCCTTTTATTTTTTCTCTTGCTTAATTACTCTGGCAAGGATTTCCAATATTATGTTGAATAGAAGTGGTGTGAGTGGGCATCCTTATATTATTTCATATCTTAGAGGAAAGGATTTCAATTTTTCACTTTTGTGTTAGCTGTGGACTTCTCATATATGACCTTTATTGTGTTGAGGTATATGTTTTCTATAACTAATTTGATGACTTTTTATCATGAAATGATGTTTTTCTGCATCTACTGAAGTGATTATATGGATTTTATCCTTTATTCTGTTAATGTAATATATCACACTTATTGATGTGAACATTGAACCATCTTTGCATCCCAGAGATAAATCCCACTTGATCATGGTAGATAAACCTTTTAATGTGTTGTTAGATTGCTAGTGTTTTGTTCAGAATTTTTGCGTCTATGTTCATCATGGATATTTTTAAATTTTTTTGAATTTTTATTTCTTAAGCAGATCACCTGTCTAGAGCATATGTTCATCAAGGATATTGGCTAGTAATTTTCTTGTCTTGGAATGTCCTTGTCTAGCTTTGGTATCAGAGTACTGCTAGTCTCATTAAAAGAGTTTGGAAGCATTCTCTCCTCTTTAATATATTGGAAGAGTTTAAGAAGGATTGATGTTAGTTCTTTACATGTTTGCTAGAATTAAGCAGTGAAGTCATCAGGTCCTGGGCTTTATTTTTTTCTGATGAGAGACTTTTTGTCACTGATTCAATCATCTTATTCTTTATTGGTTTGTTCAGATTTTCTATTTCTTCATGATTGAGTCTTAGTAGATTGTATAATTTTAGGGCTTTATTAGGTTATCCAATCTGTTGGTGTATAATTGTTCATAGTAGTTTCTTACGAACCTTCGTATTTCTGTGGTATCAGTTTTATTTTCTCCTCTTTTCACTTCTAGTTTATTTGAGTCTCCTCTCTTTTTTCTTAGTTAATTTAGCTAATGGTTTGTCAATTTTGTTTATCTTTTCAAAAAGCCAGTAGATTTTTTTCATTTTTAAAGACAGAGTTTTTCTCTGTTGCCCAGGCTGGAGTGCAGTGGCATGATCGCAGCTCACTGCAGCCTCAACTTCCTAGGCTGAAGTGATTCTCCCATCACAGCCTCCCAAGTAACTGGGACTAAAAGTGTGTGCCACCATGCCTGGCTAATTTTTTAATTTTTTGTAAAGTCAGGGTCTCACTATGTCTCCCTGGCTGTTAACAAACTCCTGGCCTCAAGTGATCCTTCTACCTCAGCCTCCCAATGTGCTGGGAGTACAGATGTAAGTCACTGCATCCAACTTAGTTTATTGATGTTTTGCATTATTTTTCTAGTCTCTATTTTATTTATTTTTGCTCTAGTCTTTATTATTTTCTTCCTTTTGCTAACTTTGAGTTTAGTTTGTTTTCTTTTTCCTGTTCTGTGAGGTGTAACATTAGTTTGTTTATTTTGTAATCTTTCTTCTATTTTGATGTAGGCATTTATTGCCACAAATTTTCCTTTTAGAACTACTTTTGCTGTACACTACAAGTTTTGACAGTTTTGTTTCCATTTTCATTTGTCTCGATGTTTTTAAGTTTTTCTTTAATTTCTTTACAGACCAATTGATTGTTTCAGAGCATGGTTTAATTTCCATGTACTTGTGAATTTTGTTATTGATTTCTAGTTTTATACTATTGTGGTTGGAAAAGATACTTGATATAATTTCAATCTTCTTAAATTTTATGAGGTTTGTTTTATGTTCTAATATGTGATCTCTCTTGGAGGATGTTTTATGTACATTTTAAAAGATATGCATTCTCTTGCTGTTGGATGGACTATTCTGTACATGTCTGTCCAGTCCATGTTGTCTGAAGTGTTGTTTAAACCCAGTGTTTCCTTACTATTACTGTATTGCAATCTGTTCTCTCCTCAGATCCTTTAATATTTGTTTTACATGTTTAGATGCTCCAATGTTGGATATATATATATATATATATATATATATATATATATATATATATGTATATTTATAATTGTTATATCCTTTTGCTGAATTGAACCCTCTACTATGTTATAATATCTTTCTTTGCCTCTTACAGTTTTTGACTTAAGTTACATTTTGTCTGATATGATTATAGCTATTCCTCCTCTTTTGATTTCCACTTGCATGGAATGTCTTTTTCCATCCTTTTTCTTTCATCTATGTGTGTTCTTAAAAGCAAGGTGTACTCTTGTAAGCAGCATATAGTTAGATCTTATTTTTGTAAAATCCATTCAGTCATTCTACATCTTTTTGGAAGAACATAATCTGTTACGGTCAAAGTAATTATTACTAAGTAAGGACTTACTGCTGCCATTTTGTTAGTTCTTTTCTGGTTGTTTCTGTAGGTATTTTCTTTCTCTCTTTATGACTTCCTTTGTGGTTTGATAGTCTTCTATAGTATTATGGTTGAAATGCTTCTATTTTTGTTTTGTAATTTTACTAAAGATTTTGCTTTGTGGTTACCATGAAGCTTACAGACATCTTTCTTATCAACAGCCTACATCAAACTGGTAGTAACTTAACTTGAATTGCACATACAACTCTACATTTTTATTTCCCTTCCCACATTTTATGATTTTGCTGTCAAAATTTACATTACTTTGTAATGTAGCCCTTTGAAATTTATTTTAGCTATCATTGTTATTAATAGTTTTGTCTTTTAGCCTCATACTAGGGATAAAATTGCCTTATACACCATCATTATAGTCTTAGATTATTCTGATTATGGCTATGCTTTATTTATACCCTTGAAATTGCGCATTTATATGTTTCATGTTATTAATTAGCATATTTTTGTTTCAGTTTAAAGAAATCACCATAGCAACTCCTGTAAGACATTTTTAATGATGATGAAGTCTCTTAGTTTTTGTTTGTTTGGGAAATTTTTATTTCTCTCTCATTTCTGAAAGTTGTCTTTGCTGGTTAAGGAAGATTTGGTGGGCAGTTTTTTTCCCTTCAGTACTTTCAATTATTATCCTACTCTCCTTGCCTGCAGTTTTTGCTGAGAAATTTGTTGATAGACATATTGTCATTCCTTTGTATATGATGTATTACTTATCCCTTGCTGCTGTCTGAATTTTTCTTTGTCTTTGATTTTTGATAGTTTGAATATTATTTGTCTTAGTGTACTCCTTTTATGGTTGAATTTAACTGGGACCTATGTGCTTCCTGTACCTGGATGTTGTCACTTCTCTTCAGATTGGGAAAATTTTTAGGTATTTTTTTTTTTACATTTTTATTTTATTTTATTTTTTATTTTAGTAGGTTTTGGGGGAACAGGTGGTGTTTGCTTATATGAATAAGTGCTTTAGTGGTGATTTCTGAGATTTAGGTGCACCCATCACCTGAGCAGTGTACACTGTAACCAGTGTGTAGCTTTTCATCCCTCATCTACCCCACACCCTTTTCCCCAAGTCCCCAAAGTTCATTGTATCATTCTTAAGCCTTTGTGTCCTCATAGCTTAGGTCCCACTTATGACTGAGAAGATACGATATTTGGTTTTCCTTTCCTGAGTTACTTCACTTAGAGTGATGTTCTCCAATTCTATCCAGGTTGATTTGAATGCCATTATTTCATTCCTTTTTATGGTTGAGTAGTATTCCATGGTATATATGTACTACATTTTTTTTATCCACTTGTTGATTGATGGGCATTTGGACTGGTTCCATATTTTTGCAATTGTTAATTGTGCTGCTATTAACATGCATGTGCAAGTATCATTTTTGTATAACGAATTTTTTTTGGGACAGAGTCTTTGCTCAGCCTGGAGTGCAGTGGCGTGATCTCAGTTTACTGCAGCCTCTGTCTCCAGGGTTCAAGTGATTCTCCTGCCTCAGCCTCCCAAGTAGCTGGGATTACAGGCATGTGCCACCATACCTGGCTAATTTTTGCATTTTTAGTAGAGTCAGGGGCTTCTCCATGTTGGCCAGGCTGGTCTTGAATGACCAGACTCAAATGATCTGCGTGCCTTAGCCTCCCAAAGTGCTGGGATTACAGGCATAAGCCATCACATCCAGCTAATGACTTCTTTTCCTCTGGGTAGATACCAAGGATTGGGATTGCTGGATCAAATGGTAGATATACTTTTAGTTCTTTGAGGAATCTCCACACAGCATTCCATAGTGGTTGCACTAGTTTACATTCCCACCAACAGTGTAAAAGTGTTCATTTTCACCACATTTATGCCAACATTTGATTTTATGATCATGGGCATTCTTGCAGGAGTAAGGTGGTATTGCACTGTGGTTTCGATTTGCAGTTCCCTGGTCATTAGTGATGTTGAGCACTTTCTTATATGTTTGTTGGCTGTTTCTATATCTTCTTTTGAGAATTGTCTATTCATGTCCTTAGCCCACTTTTTGATGGGATTGTTTTTTTCTTTTTCTTGCTGAATTGTTTGAGTTCCTTGAAGATTCTAGATATTAGTCCTTTGTCGGATGTACAGATTGTGAAGATTTTTCTCCCACCCTGTGGGCTGCCTGTTTACTCTGCTGATTGTTTCTTTTGCTGTGCAGAAGCTTTTTAGTTTAATTAAGTCCCACCTATTTGTTTCAGTTGCATTCTGCTTTTGGGCTCCTGGTCATGAAGTCTTTTCCTAAGCTAATGCCTAGAAGGGTTTTTCTTAAGCTAATGCCTAGAAGGGTTTTTCCAATACTATCTTTTAAAATTTTTATGGTTTCAGGTCTTACATTTAAGTCTTTGATCCATCTTGAGTTGATTTTTCTATAAGGGAGAGATGAGAATCCAGTTTCATTCTTCTACGTGTGGCTTGCCAATTATCCCAGCACCATTTGTTGAATAGGGTGTCCTTTCTCCACTTTGTGTTTTTGTTGGCTTTGTTGAAGATCAGTTGACTGTAAATATTTGGCTTTATTTCTGGGTTCTTTATTTTGTTCCCTTGATTTATATGTTTTTTTTTTATACTACTATCATGCTGTTTTGGTTACTATGGCCTTCTAGTGTAGTTTGAAGTCAAGTAAAGTAATGACTGCAGATTTGTTCTTTTTACTTAGTCTTGCTTTGGCTATGCAGGCTCTTTTTTAGTTCTATATGAATTTTAGGATTTTTTTTCTGGTTCTGTGAAGAATGATGGTGCTATATTGATGTGAATTGCATTGAATTTGTAGATTGCTTTTGGCAGTATGGTCATTTTTACAATACTCATTCTAACCATACGAGAGCATGGGATGTGTTTCCATTTGTTTGTGTCATCTGTGATTTCATTTAGGAGTGTTTTGTAGTTTTCCCTGTAGAGGTCTTTCACGTCCTTGGTTAGGTATATTCCTAAGTATTTTATTATTTTTTTACATCTATCGTGAAAGGGGTTGAGTTCTTGATTTGATTCTCAGCTTGCTCGCTGTTGGTGTATAGCAGGGCTACTGATTTGTGTACATTAGTTTTGCATCTTGAAACTTTGCTGAATTCATTTACCAGTTCTAGCAGTTTTTTAGATGAATCTTTAGGGTTTTCTAGATATACGATCATGTCATCAGCAAACAGCAACAGTTTGACTTCCTCTTTACCAATTTAGATGCCCTTTATCTCTTTCTCTTCTGATTGCTCTGGGTAGGACTTCCAATATTGTGTTGAATAGACGTGGTGGGAGTGGGCATCCTTGTCTTGTTCCAGTTCTCAGGGAGAATGCTTTCAACTGTTCCCTATTCATAACAATGTTGGCTGTGGGTTTCTTATAGTTGGCTTCTATTACCTTAAGGTATGTCCTTTCTATGCCGATTTTGCTGAGGGTTTTAATCCTAAAGTGATGCTAGATTTTGTCAAATGCTTTTTCTGCATCTATTGAGATGACCATGTAATTTTTGTTTTTTATTCTTTTGATGTGGTATATCACATTTATTGACTTGTGTATGTTAAACCATCCCTGCATCCCTGGTATGAAAACCACTTGATCGTGTTGAATTATCTTTTTGATATGCTGTTGGATTCGGTTAGCTAGTATTTTCTTGATGATTTTTGCATCTATGTTTATCAGTGATATTGGCCTGTAGTTTTCTTTTCTTGTTATTTCTTTTCCTGGTTTTGGTATTAGGGTGATACTGGCATCATAGTAGGATTTAGGGAGGATTCCCTCTTTCTCTATATGTTTGAATAGTGTTAATGGGATTGGTACCAATTCTTCTCTGAATGTTTGATAGAATTCAGTTGTGAATCCATCTGGTCCTGGACTTTTTTTTTTGGTAACTTTTTAATTACCATTTCAATCTTACTGGTTGCTATTAGTCTGTTCAGAGTTTCTATTTCTTCCTGGTTTAATCTAGGTGGGTTGTTTATTTCTAGGAATTTATCCATCTCCTCTAGGTTTTCTAGTTTATGTGTGTAAAGGTGGTCATAGTAGCCTTGAATGATCTTTTGTATTTCTGTGGTATCAGTTTTAATATCACCCATTTTCTTTCTTTCCTTTTATTTTTGAGACAGAGTTTTGCTCTTGTTGCCCAGGCTGGAGTGCAATGGCGTGATCTTGGCTCACTGCAGCCTCTGCCTCCTGGGTTTAAGTGATTCTCCTGCCTCAGCCTCAAGAGTAGCTGGGATTACAGGCGCCCACCACAACGCCTGGCTAATTTTTTGTGTTTTTAGGAGAGACGGGTTTTGCCATTGTGGCCAGGCTGGTCTTGAACTCCTGACCTCAAGTGATCTGCCTGTCTCAGTCTCCCAAAGTGCTGAGATTACAGGCATGAGCCACCGCACCTGGCCTCACCAGTTTTGTTTCTAATTGAGCTTAGTTGGATCCTCTTTTTTTCTTCGTAAATCTCACTAATTGTCTATCAATGTTATTTATCATTTCAAAGAACCAGTTTTTGTTTCATTTATCTTTTGTATTTTCTTTTGTTTAAATTTAATTTAATTTTGTTCTGATCTTGGTTATTTATTTTCTTCTGTTGGGTTTGGGTTTGGTTTGTTCCTGCTTCTCTAGTTCCTTGAGGTGTCACCTAAGATTGTCTATTAGTGCTCTTTCAGACTTTTCTATGTAGGCATTTCATGTTATAAATGTTCCTCTTAGCACTGCTTTTGCTGTATCCCAGAGGTTTTGATAGGTTATGTCACTATTATCATTCATCAATAGGTCAAAACTAAAATCGAGATGGAAATTAATTTATTGTTGATTCAATGGTCATTTAGGAGTAGATTATTTAATTTCCATGTATTTGCATGGTTTTGAGGGTTCCTTTTGGAGTTGATTTTCAATTTTATTCCACTGTGGTCTGAGACAGGACTTGCTATAATTTCATTTTTTCTTAAATTTGTTGAGACTTGTTCTGTTTTCTATCATATGGTCTCTCTTGGAGAATGTTCCATGTGTTGATGAATAGAATGTATATTCTGCAGTTGTTGGATAGAATGTTTTGTAAATATCTGTTAAGTCTGTTTGTTCTAGGATATAGTTTAAGTCCATTGTTTTGTTGTTAATTTTCTGTCTTGATGACCTGTCTCGTGCTGTCAGTGGAGTATTAAAGTCCCCCACTATTATTGTGTTGCTGCCTGTCTCATTTCTTAGGTCTAGTAGTAATTGATTTTATTCATTTGGGATTGCCAGCATTAGGTGCATATATATATAGAATTGTGATATTTTCCTGTTGTACTAGTCCTTTTATCATTATATAATGTCTCTCTTTGTCTATTTATTTATTTATTTTGAGATGACGCTTCACTCTTGTTGCCCAGGCTGGAGTGCAATGGTGTGATCTCAGCTCACTGCAGCCTCCGCCTTCCAGGTTCAAGCATTCTCCGGCTTCAGCCTCCTGAATAGCTAGGATTACAGGCACCCACCACCACACACAGCTAATTTTGTGTATTTTTTTAGTAGAGACAGGGTTTCACCACATTGGCCAGGCTGGTCTCAAACTCTTGACCTCAGGTGATCCACCCACCTCAGCCTCCCAAGGTGCTGGGATTACAGGCATGAGCTACCGCACCTGGCCTCTCTGTCTTTTTTAACTGCTGTTGCTTTAAAGTTTGTTTTGGCTGATATAAGAATAGCTACTCTTGCTTGCTTTTGTTGTCCATTTGCATAGAATATCTTTTTCCACCCCTTACCTTAAGTTTATGTGAGTCCTTATGTATTACGTGAGTCTCCTGAGGACAGCAGATACTTGGTTCATGAATTCTTATCCATTCTGCCATTCTGTATCTTTTAAGTGGAGCTTTCAGGCTATTTATATTCAACATTAGTATTGAGATGTGAGGTACTATTCTATTCTTCATGCTATTTGTTGCCTGAATACCTTGTTTTTTTTTTTCATTGTGTTATTGTTTTATAGGTCCCGTGCAATTTTTGCTTTAATGAGATTTTATATTGGTGTATTTTGAGGATTTGTTTCATGATTTAGAGCTTCTTTTAGTAGTTCTTGTAGTGCTGGCTTAGTAGTGGCAAATTCTCTCAGCATCTGTTTTTCTGAAAAGGACTGTATCTTTCTTTCATTTGTCAAGCTTAGTTTCACTGGATACAAAATTCTTGGCTGATAAATGTTTTGTTTAAGGATGCTAAAGATGGGACCCCAATCTCTTCTAGTTTGTAGGGTTTCTGCTGAGAAATCTGTTGTTAATTTGATAGATTTTCCTTTATAGGTTACCTGATGCTTTTGCCTCATAGCTCTTAAGATTCTTTGCTTTGTCTTGACGTTAAATAACGTGATGACTGTATGCCTAGGTGATAATCTTTTTGTGATTAATTTCCCAGGTGTTCTTTGAGCTTCTTGTATTTGGATGTCTTGATCTCTAGCAAGGCTGGGGAAGTTTTCCTCAATTATTCCCTCAAATATGTTTTCCAAACTTTTAAATTTCTCTTTTTCCTCAAGATCACCAATTATTCTTAGGTTTGGTCATTTAATATAATCCCAAAACTTCTTGGAGGCTTTGTTCTTTTTTTTAATTCTTTTTTCTTTGTCTTCTGAGATTGGGTTAATTCAAAAGCGTTATCTTCAATCTCTGAAGTTCTTTCTTCTACTTGTTTGATTCTATTGCTGAGATATTCCAGTGTATTTTGCAATTCTCTAAGTGTGTCCTTCATTTCTAGAAGTTGTGATCGTTTTTTATTTATGCTATCTATTTCAATGGGGATTTCCCCATTAATAACCTGTATCACGTTTTTGATATCTTTAAGTTGGTTTTCACCTTTCTCTAGTGCCTCCTTGATTTGCTTAATAGTTGACCTTCTGAATTCTTTTTCTGGCAGTTGAGAGTCCTGTGATGTAATCCATCTTCAGGTCTGTTAGCTGTGCTGGTATCCCTAAGCTCCCAGGAGATTATGTCCTTTGTCTTAGGCTACCAGCGCAGGTAGAGAAAGACCACTGGGTAGGGGCAGGGTTAGCCATGTGTGAGCTCAGGCTCTCCTTGGGCAGGGCTTACTGCAACTGCAATGGGGGATGGCAGCATGGTTCCTAGGCCAATAGAGTTATGTTCCCAGGGGATTTTTGGCTGTCTCTACTGCATCACACAGGTAACCAGGGAAGTGGAAGAAAGCCAGCAGCCATAGGCCTCACCCAGCTCCCATGCAGCCTACAGCATGAAAGATTGGTTTCACTCCCATCGTACCCCCGCAACAGCAGTGAGTTTATTTCCAGGAAGCTGGTGAGCATGACTGAGAACTTGCCCCAGGCTACAAGCCTCCCAGCTGAGAAAGCAAGCAGACTCACAGTTTCTCCACTGTCCCATGGAGCAATCCTTCTTCAAAGGATCTGTGGATTCTCTCAGCTTCAAAGGATCTGTGGATTCTCTCAACAAAGGGTCTGTTGCTGTCCCAACAGCAATCCACCTCCTTCAAAGGATCTGTGGATTCTCTCAGCTTTCCTGGTACAATTCTGTGGTAGTTCTTGGAGCAAAGTTCACAATGTGGGTCCGCACATGCTGCTCTGTCCATCTGAATGGGAGCTGCAAGTTAGTCCTTCCTCCTATCCATCATTTTTCCTCTTCTATTCTAGGTATTATTTATTTAAATGTGTTTTCTGTCCCTTTTACATTATCTTCCTTCTGTAACTCCTGTTACACAAAGGTTTGGTCTCTTGGTGGTGTTCCATAATTTTCATAGGCTTTCTTTATTCTTTTATCTTTCTGCTCCTCTGACTGAATGATTTAAAATGTTCTGTCTTCAAGCTCACTAATTCTTTCCTCTATTTGATCAAGTCTGGTTTTGCAGCTTTCTGTTAAATTTCTATTAAATTTTTCACTTTAGTCACTGTATTCTTCATTTCTAGGATTTTTATCTGTTTCTTTTGTTTCCATTTCTTTGTCAAACTTTTCACTTTGTGTATTGTTTTCCAAATTTCATTAAACTTTTTATGGTATATTCTTGTAGTTCACTGAACTTCTTTATGAGTATTATTCTGAATTCTGTGTCTGTCATTTTATAGATAGATCTCCATTTTTGTGGGTCTACCATGGAAATTTTATTAGTTTATTTTGGAAGTGCCATGGTTCCCTGATTCTTCATAATTCCTGCATCCTTGTGTTGTTGTCTGAACATTTGAGATGACAGCCTCTCTCTTGTCTTCACAGGTATTCTTTGCTAGAGATGGACCTTCACTTTAATGTAGTCTGTGATTCTGCAAGGGACAACTGATGATGACCCTCACTGACCCTGGGCAGGCAGAGCTGTTGTGAGTTTTCTAGTTGTCTGGGCCACTGATTTTGGCCAGCTGTGTATTTTCTGGGATCCAATATCTGGTAAGGTCACTGGCTGGGCTCTGCTATCAGGCAGAGCTTCTGGCTAGATAACTCAATGGATTCTAGTCAGTCTGTTCACAAAATGTGTTTCCTGCTCCAGGTAACTCCAGTGTTTGCAATCTGCAGTTGTGAAAGTTTTAATTATGAGTGGATATTCAATTTTGTCAAATAAATTTTCTGCATCTATTGATATGATCATGTAATTTGTCTTCTTTGTTGTTGTAATGGATTATATTATTTGATATTTTTAACGTTGAACCAGGCTTCCATACCTGGAATAAATCCTACTTGTTTGCAGTGTAAAATTCTTTTTACATATTGTTAGATTTGATTTGCTAACATTTTGTTGATAACTTTTGCATCTATGTTCATTAAAAATATTGATCTATAATTCTCTTTTCTTGTAATATCTTTGTCTGGTTTTGGTATAAGGTAATTCTGGCCTCATAGAATGTGTTAGAAAACTTTCCTTTTGCTTCTCTCTTCTAAAACAGAGTGTAGAGAATTGGTATAATTTCTTCTTGAAATGTTTTTTGGAATTCACATGTGAATGTATCTTGGCCTAGTGCTTTTTCTTTGGGAAGATTATTAATTATTGATTCAATTTATTTGACACAAGACTATTTAGATTGTCTATTTCTTCTTGTGTGCACTTTGGCAGATAGTGTCTTTCAAGTAATTGGTCTGTTTTATCTAGATTATCAGATTTGTGGGCATAGACTTTTTCCTAGTATTTCCTTATTATTCTTTTAATGTCTTTCTTCATTTCTGATATTAGTAATTTGTGTCATCCTTTTTTCCCCCTTAGCCTGACTAGAGGCATATTAATTTTATTGATCTTTTCCAAAGACCAGCTTTGGTTTTATTTATTTTCTCTATTGATATTCTGTTTTCAATTTTATTGATTTCTGCTCTAATTTTAATTTGTTTTCCTGCTTACTTTGAATTTAATTTGCTCTTTTTTTTCCTAGTTTCCTAAGGTATAGCCTTAGATTACTGATTTCAGATCTTTCTTCTTTGCTAATATATGCATTCAATGCTATCAATTTTCATCTAATAACTGCATTTGCTGCATTCCACAATTAGAATAACTTTTGTTTTAATTTTGATCTTTTAAAAAATATTTTTAAATTTCTAATGAGATTTTATTTCCAACTCCTGTGTTATTTAGAAATGTGTTGTTTAATCTGCAAGTTTTGAGATTTCCCAGCTATCTTTCTGTTATTTGCTTTTAGTTTAATTCCATTTTGGTCTGAGAGCTGACATCATATGATTCCTAATTCTCTTAAATTTGTTAAGGTGTGTTTTATGGCCCAGGATGTGGTATATCTTGGTGAAGGTTCCATGTGAACTTGAGAAGAATGTGTACTCTGCTATTGTTGCATTAAGTTATCTAAAGGTGTTAATTATATACAGTTGATCAATGGTATTTTTAGTTCAACTATATCCTTACTGATTTTATGCCTGCTGAATCTGTTCATTTCTGATAGAAGGGTGTTGAAGTCTCCAATTGTAATAGTGGATTCATCTTTTTTTTTTTGTAGTTCCATAGGTTTTTGCCTCATATATTTTGACACTCTGTTGTTAGGCTCATACTCATTAAAGATTGCTATATAATGTTGGAGAATTGGCTCCTTTATAATTATGTCATGTTTCTATTTATTCCTAATAAATATGCTTGTATGAGGTTTGTTTTGTCTGAAATGAATAGAGATACTTTTGCTTTCTTTTGCTCAGTGTTAGCATGGTATATCTTTCTCCACTTATTAGTATTTACTCTTAAGCCGTATGTCTCTTCATATTTAAAGTGGATTTCTTATGGACAACATGTATTTTGGTCTTGTCTTTGATTCACTCTGATCTCCATCTGTTAATTGGTACATTTACATCACTGTTGTTCAAAGTAATTTTGCTATAGTTGGATTAACATCTACAGTGTTTATTACTGTTTTCTTCTATTTATTGCCCTTGTTCTTTGTTTGTATTTTTCCTTCTACTCTTTTCTGCCTTTTGTAATTTTAACTGGGTGTTTTGCATCATTGCATTTTATCTCCTTTCTTAGCATATCAATTATCCTTTTTAAAACACATTTTTAAGTGATTGCTCTAGAGTTTGAAACATACACTTACAACTAACCGTAGGCTATTTTCTTTTTCTTTATTTATTTTCACCTTGTTGTACTTTAATATGTAATACTTAACTCAAGGTACAAGACAATTGTATTTAACATTGTTATAAATAAAAGGGACATCAGATCAATCATTAAGGGCTCCAGAGTGAACAGCATGTTCATAACCTCCATGTTTATCATCTTTACTTTCTGGATGTAATTTAATAAGATCATCAATTCAAAGAATGGTAATTGCAGCTTCTGTGCAAATTTCAAATTTATTTATTTATTTATTTATTTATTTATTTATTTTTAGTATACTTTAAGTTCTAGGGTACATGTGCACAACGTGCAGGTTTGTTACATAGGTATACATGTGCCATGTTAGTTTGCTGCACCCATTAACTCGTCATTTACATTGGGTATTTCTCCTAATGCTATCCCTCCCCAAGCCCCCCACCCCATGACAGGCCCCAGTGTGTGATGTTCCCCTCCCTGTGTCCAAGTGTTCTCATTGTTCAATTCCCATCTGTAAGTGAGTACATGTGTTGTTTGGTTTTCTGTCCTTGTGGTAGTTTGCTCAGAATGATGGTTTCCAGCTGCATCCATGTCCCTGCAGAGGACATGAACTCATCCTTTTTTATGGCTACATAGTATTCCATGGTGTATATGTGCCACATTTTCTTAATCCAGTCTATCATTGATGGACATTTGGGTTGGTTCCAAGTCTTTGCTATGGTGAATAGTGTCGCAATAAACATACGTGTGCATGTGTCTTTATAGTAGCATGATTTATAATCCTTTGGGTATACACCCAGTAATGGGATCGCTGGGTCAAATGGTATTTCTAGTTCTAGATCTTTGAGGAATCGCCACACTGTCTTCCACAATGGTTGAACTAATTTACACTCCCACCAACAGTGCAAAAGCCTTCCTATTTCTCCACATCCTCCCAGCATCTGTAGTTTCCTGAATTTTTAATGATCGCCATTCTAACTGGTGTCAGATGGCAAGTTGGATTCCTAAGTATTTTATTCTCTTTGCAGCAATTGTGAATGGGAGTTCACTCATGATTTGGCTCTCTGTTTGTCTGTTACTGGTGTTTTGATTTGCATTTCTCTAATGAACAGTGATGATGAACATTTTTTCATGTGTCTGTTGGCTGCATAAATGTCTTCTTCTGAGAAGTGTCTGTTCATATCCTTTGCCCACTTTTTGATGGGGTTATTTTTCTTGAAAATTTGTTTAAGTTCTTTCTAGATTCTGGATATTAGCCCTTTGTCAGATGGGTAGATTGCAAAAATTTTCTCCCATTCTGTAGGTTGCCTGTTCACTCTGATGGTAATTTCTTTTGCTGTGCAGAAGCTCTTTAGTTTAATTAGATCCCATTTGTCTATTTTGGCTTTGTTGCCATTGCTTTTAGTGTTTTAGACATGAAGTCCTTGCCCATGCCTATGCCCTGAATGGTATTGCCTAGGTTTTCTTCTAGGGTTTTTATGGTTTCAGGTCTAACGTTTAAGTCTTTAATCCCTCTTGAATTAATTTTTGTATAAGGTGTAAGGAAGGGATCCAGTTTCAGCTTTCTACATATGGCTAGCCAATTTTCCCAGCACCATTTATTAAACATGGAATTCTTTCCCATTTCTTGTTTTTGTCAGGTTTGTTAAAGATCAAATTGTTGTAGATATGTGGTGTTATTTCTGATGGCTCTGTTCTGTTCTATCGGTCTATATATCTGTTTTGGTATCATACCATGCTGTTTTGGTTACTGTAGCCTTGTAGTATAGTTTGAAGTCAGCTAGCATGATGCCTCCAGCTTTGTTCTTTTTGCTTAGGATTGTCTTGGCAATGCAGGCCCTTTTTTGATGCCATATAAACTTTAAAGTATTTTTTTCCAATTCTGTGAAGAAAGTCATTGTTAGCTTGATAGGGATGGCACTGAATCTATAAATTACTTTGGGCAATATGGCCATTTTCATGATATTGATTCTTCCTATCCATGAGAATGGAATGTTCTTCCATTTGATTGTATCCTCTTTTATTTCATTGAGCAGTGCTTTGTAGTTCTCCTTGAAGAGGTCCTTCACATCCCTTGTCAGTTGGATTCCTAGGTATTTTATTCTCTGTGTAGCAATTGTGAATGAGAGTTCACTCATGATTTGGCTCTCTGTTTGTCGACTATTGGTGTATAGGAATGGTTGTGATTTTTGCACATTGATTTTGTGTCCTGAGACTTTGCTGAAGTTGCTTATCAGCTTAAGGAGATTTTGGGCTGAGACGATGGGGTTTTCTAAATATACAATCATGTCATCTGCAAACAGGTACAATTTGACTTTCTCTTTTCCTAATTGAATACCCTTTATTTCTTTCTCTTGCCTGATTGTCCTGGCCAGAACTTCCAACACTATGTTGAATAGGAGTGGTGAGAGAGGGCACCTCTGTCTTGTGCCAGTTTTCAAAGTTAATGCTTCCAGTTTTTGCCCATTCAGTATGATATTGGCTGTGGGTTTGTCATAAATAGTCTTATTATTTTGAGATATGTTCCACCAATACCTACTTTATTGAGAGTTTTTAGCATGAATGGCTGTTGAATTTTGTCAAAGGCCTTTTCTGCATCTATCGAGATAATCATGTGGTTTTTGTCATTGGTTCTGTTTATGTGATGGGTTACATTTATTGATTTGCATATGTTGAACCAGCCTTGCATCCCAGGGATGAAGCCAACTTGATGGTGGTGGATAAGCTTTTTGATGTGCTGTTGGATTCAGTTTGCCAGTATCTTATTCAGGATTTTCACATCGATGTTCATCAGGGATATTGGTCTAAAGTTCTTTTTTTTTGTTGTCTCTGCCAGGCTTTGGTATCAGGATGATGCTGGCCTCATAAAATGAGTTAGGGAGGAGTCTCTGTTTTTCTATTCATTGGAATAGTTTCAGAAGGAATGGTACCAGCTCCTCTTTGTACCTCTGGTAGCATTCGGCTGTGAATCCATCTGGTCCTGGACTTTTTTTGGTTGGTAGATTATTAATTATTGCCTCAATTCCAGAGCCTGTTATTGGTAGATTGAGAGATTCCACTTCTTCCTGGTTTAGTCTTGGGAGGGTGTATGTGTCCAGGAATTTATCCATTTCTTCTAGATTTTGTAGTTTATTTGCGTAGAGGTATTTATAGTATTCTCTGATGGTAGTTTGTATTTCTGTGGGATCGGTGGTGATATCCCTTTTATTATTTTCTATTGCATCTATTTGATTCTTCCCTCTTTTCTTCTTTATTAGCTCTGCTAGCGGTCTATCAATTTTGTTGATCTTTTCAAAAAACCAGCTCCTGGTTTCATTGATTTTTTCAAGGTTTTTTTGTGTCTCTGTCTCCTTCAGTTCTGCTCTTAGTTATTTCTTGCCTTCTGCTAGCTTTTGAATATGTTTGCTTCTCTAGTTCTTTTAATTGTGATGTTAGGGTGTTAATTTTAGATCTTTCCTGCTTTCTCCTTATAGCATTTAGTGCTATAAATTTCCCTCTACACACTGCTTTAAATGTGTCCCAGAGATTCTGGTATGTTGTGTCTTTGTTCTTATTGGCTTCAAAGAACATCTTTATTTCTGCCTTCATTTCGTTATTTACCCAGTAGTCATTCAGGAGCAGTTTGTTCAGTTTCAATGTAGTTGTGTGGTTTTGAGTGAGTTTCTTAATCCTGAGTTCTAATTTGATTTCACTGTGGTCTTAGAGATAGTTTGTTGTGATTTCTCTTCTTTTACATTTGCTGAGGAATGCTTTACTTCCAACTATGTGGCCAATTTTGGAATCAGTGCCATGTGGTACTGAAGAAGAATGCATTTTCTGTTGATTTGGGGTGGAGAGTTCTGTAGATGTCTTTTAGGTCGGCTTGCAGAGCTGAGTTCAAGTCCTGCATATCCTTGTAACTATCTGTCTCGTTGATCTGCCTAATATTGACAGTGGGGTGTTAAAGTCTCCCATTATTATTGTGTGGGAGTCTAAGTCTCTTTGTAGGTCTCTAAGGACTTGCTTTATGAATCTGGGTGTTCCCGTATTGGGTGCATATATATTTAGGATAGTTAGCTTTTCTTGTTGAATTGATTCCTTTACCATTATGTAATGTCCTTCTTTGTCTCTTTTGGTCTTTGTTGGTTTAAAGTCTGTTTTATCAGAGACTAGGATTGCATTCCCTGCTTTTTTTTTGCTTTCCATTTGCTTGGTAGATCTTCCTCCATCCCTTTATTTTGAGCCTATGTGTGTCTTTGCATGTGATATGGGTCTCCTGAATACAGCACACTGATTGGTCTTGACTCTATCCAATTTGCCAGTCTATGTCTTTTAATTGGGACATTTAGCCCATTTACATTTAAGGTTAATATTGTTATGTGTGAATTTGATCCTATCATTATGATGTTAGCTGGTTATTTTGCCCATTTTTTGATGCAGTTTCTTCATAGCCTCGATGGTCTTTACAATTTGGCATGTTTTTGCAGTGGTTGGTACTTGTTGTTTCTTTCCATGTTTAGTGCTTCCTTCAGGAGCTCTTGTAAGGCAGGCCTGGTGGTGACAAAATCTCTCAGCATTTGCTTGTCTGTAAAGTATTTTATTTCTCCTTCACTTATGAAGCTTAGTTTGGCTGTATATGAAATTCTGGGTTGCAAATTCTTTTCTTTAAGAATGTTGAATATTGGCCTCCACTCTCTTCTGGCTTGTAGAGTTCCTGCTGAGAGGTCTGCTGTTAGTCTGATGGGCTTCCCTTTGTGGGTAACCTGACCTTTCTCTCTGGCTGCCCTTAACATTTTTTCCTTCATTTCAACCTTGGTGAATCTGACAATTATGTGTCTTGGGGTTGCTCTTCTCGAGGAATATCTTTGTGGTGTTCTCTGTATTTCCTGAATTTGAATGTTGGCCTGCCCTGGTATATTGGGGAAGTTCTCCTGGATAATGTCGTGAAGAGTGTTTTCCATCTTGGTTTTATTCTCCCCATCACTTTTAGGTACACCAATCAAATGTAGATTTGGTCTTTTCACATAGTCCCACATTTCTTGGAGGCTTTGTTCTCTTCTTTTTCCTCTTTTTCCTCTAAAGTTCTCAATTTATTTCATTAATTTTTTCTTCAATCACTGATACCCTTTCTTCCACTTGATTGAATTGGCTATTGAAGCTTGTGCATGCGTCACGTAGTTCTTGTGCCATGGTTCTCACCTCCATCAGGTCATTTAAGGTCTTCTCTATACTGTTTATTCTAGTTAGCCATTCATCTTATCTTTTTTCAAGGTTTTTAGCTTCCTTGCTATGGGTTCGAACATCCTCCTTTAGCTCAGAGAAGTTTGTTATTACTGACCTTCTGAAACCTACTTCTGTCAACTTGTCAAAGTCATTCTCCATCCAGCTTTGTTCCATTGCTGGCAAGGAGCTGTGATCCTTTGGAGGAGAAGAGGTGCTTGGTTTTTAGAATTTTCACCTTTTCTGCTCTGGTTTCTCCCCATCGTTTTGGTGTTATCTACCTTTGGTCTTTGATATTGGTGACCTACAGATGGGGTTTTGGTGTGGATGTCCTTTTTGTTGATGTTGATGCTATTCCTTTCTGTTTGTTAGTTTTCGTTCTAGCAGTCTGGTCCCTGAGCTGCAGGTGTGTTGGAGTTTGCTGGAGGTCCACTCCAGACCCTGTTTGCCTGAGCATCACCAGTGGAGGCTCAGTTGGAAGTGCAAAAATCACCCATCTTCTGTGTTGATCATGCTGGGAGCTGCAGACCGGAGCTGTTCCAATTTGGCCATCTTGGAATGGGGCATGTAAATTTCAAACTCTTAACTTTAACTATGGTTGGTTCAAACACCCTTGCTTGTTTGTTGTCTTGAGGTTTACCATTGCTCAAATCAAGACCAATCCATTTTAGATTTTTACGTTCTGGGTTAACCTGAGCCTCATTATGAAAAGCTCTTAACTTTGCAACCAGATCTGTGGATTCCTGGGCAGCATTAACTGCCAGTGTATTAGGAATACAAGAAGTGATCTTGCAAACTCTGCAATAGCATTCTGTTCCCGAGACCCCATGCTAGTTGCATAGTTTTCTTTTTTTTTTTTTTTTTTTTTTTGGTGACGTGATAAAATACATTATTATTGTAGTTATGGAAATTTAGTTAGAAAATTATTAGGAAAACAGTAAAAATGATATTTCACAAAAAGTAAAATTTTTTTTTTTTTTTATTATACTTTAAGTTTTAGGGTACATGTGCACAATGCGCAGGTTAGTTATATATGTATACATGTGCCATGCTGATGCGCTGCACCCACTAACTCGTCATCTAGCATTAGGTATATCTCCCAATGCTATCCCTCCCCCTTCCCCCCACCCCACAACAGGCCCCAGAGTGTGATGTTCCCCTTCCTGTGTCCATATGTTTTCATTGTTCAATTCCCACCTATGAGTGAGAATATGCGGTGTTTTCAAGGTATATAGAAAGGTATATAGTTTTCAAGGTATATAGAAAGGGCTACTTCTACAGCACCCACACCTGGAACCACAGATTTTGACACCAAAACTATCTTCACTACACAAAAAGCATCATGTAAAGAATGCTTCATCTCATCACACATGTAATCATTTGTCCCACGTAAGATAATCGATGCAAATGTATGAGGGTTAGTGTTTTTGATTAAGATCAGCTCATCATCACAAATTCTCTGCTATACCACTTCTTCTGCCTGCCCCAACACTGCAGCTTCAAAAGTTTCTTTACCTTTCAAATTGGCCAGAGTTGACAGAATAGTTGCTCCAGAAGCTTTCGGAATGCGTTTAAGGTCCCTTTTAAAAACTCTTCTAACTGCCGTAGCACCAGCCTCCACAAAATACTTCAGACACATATCATCAATTCCACCAGTGGTTAGAATAATGCTGGCACCAGTTACCAGGATCTTCTGAATTCTCTCCTTGGTAATATCTGATTCTCTCTGTCTAATTTGGTCCAGTTTTTCAGGGTCTGTAATGACCACCTGTATACCAAGCTTCATTTTTGTTTTTTGCAGGCCAAAGTCAAGGCAAGCAATTTTTGCATTTACAATTCTCTTGGGTATGCCCTGGGATCCCACCACACAGTTGAGTGCATAGCCACTGATGAGCATACTCTCTGTTTGACTTTTCCCATGGGCTTTCAAAATATTAACAGAATTGACTGGATAGCATGGCTGGCCTCTTATGTCTGTGTATTTAATAGCAAATACAGCATCTACTACCATGTTAGCAAAGAAATCGCCATTTATTCCAATGATTTTGGAAGACGTGGATGTCTTGGCAGCATTAATCAGGCAATCTCTTCCCACTTTATCTGTGTTAACAATTAGGTTTTCATTGATATAACGCACTGCTTCCTTGCAAGCAAGTCCATAGCCACTAATAACTGACGTGGGATGAATTTTCTGTTTGACTAATTCATCTTCATTTTTTAGGAGTTCTGCTGCAATAATAACCACGGAGGTAGTTCCATCTCCAACTTCTTTGTCTTGCAGATCAGCCAGCTCACAAAGAACTTTAGCTGCAGGATGTTCTACCTCCAGTAACTTCAGGATGGTGCACCACCGTTAGTAATGGATACATCACCAATATCATCCACCAACATTTTAACCAAGCCAACTGGACCAAGAGAACTTTTTACAGTATTGGCAATCAAAGCTGCAGCCATAACGTTCTGGGAGCAGATCGCCTCCCCAGTGCTGCGGTCCCCAAACACGGACAAAGGCCTCTCCATTTTCACGGCAGCGGTACACGTTGAATTCTGCTCACACCGCGGGCAACCAGTATCGCAGCCCCTCGGCTGACTGGCGACCACAGCGGTGGCTGCGACAGCGTGGAGCGAACCCGAGCGATTCTCCAAGAGGTGCTCAACCCAAGTCTATTTTCAAATAACACTATACTACTTCACAGGTAGTGTGAGTAACTTATAATAACAAAATAATCCTAATTCCTCCTGCCGATTCCTTGTATCATTGCTGTCATTCATCTTACTTGTACCTAAGCAAACATAAGCATATATATATGTAGATCAATTAAGAATAAGAAAAATAAGTTTTTATTTTACTTTCACTAATTTCTTCATTAATGCTCTTCTTTTCTTCATATAGATAGGAGTTCCTGACCCATATTATTTTCCTTCTCCTTAAATAACTTCTTTTAACGTTTTTTGCAACTCAGGTTTACTGGCAACAAATACCCTCAATTTCTGTTTGTATGAGTAAGTCTTTATTTCTCTCACACATTAAGGATAATTTTGCAGGATACAGACTTCTAGGCTGATTTTTATACTCTCAACACTTTCAATATTTCACTCCACTCTATTCTTGCTTGCATAGTTTCTTAGGAGAAGTGGTAGGATGTAATTATGATCTTTGCTCCTGTGTATGCAAGGGCCACCACCCACTCCCTGTGGCTTCTTTCAGGATTCTTTTTTTTAATCATTGATTTTCTGTAGTTTGGAAATAATATGCCTAGGTTTAGTTTGTCTGGAATTTATCCTTCATGGTGTTCTCTGAGGTTCTTGCCTCTGGGTTTGATGCCTGACATTAATTTGGGGAAAATTCTCAATCATTATTTTTTCGAATATTTATTCTCCTTCTGGTATTCCCATTAAGCATATGTTATGCCTTTTGTAGTTTTCTCACAGTTCTCAAATATTCCAGATTTTTAAAATGTTTTCTTTTCTCCTTTGTTTTTTAGTTTTAGAGGTTTTTACTGAGATATCTTTAAGCACACAGATTCTTTCTTAAGCTGTGTTCAGTCTACTAATAAGCCCATCAAAGGCAAGGCATTCTTCATTTCTGCTACAGTAGTTTTGATGTCAAGCATTTCCTTTTGGCTTTTTGCTAGAATTTCCATCTCTCTGCTTACATTTCCCATCTATTTGTGCATGCTTTCTACTTTGTCTATTAGAGTACTTAGCATATTAATCACAGTTGTTTTAACATTCCTCATCTAATAATTCCACCATTTCTTCCAATATCTGAGTCTTGTTCTAGTGCTTTTTCAATCTCTCCAAACTGTGTTTTGCCTTTCAGTATGTTTTGTAATTTTTTAACTGACAGCTGGACATGATGTATTGGGTCAAGGGAAGTGCTATAAATAGGCCTTAAGTAATGTAATTACTTATGATTAGGCCTCAGTTTTTAGTGAGCCTGTACCTCTTGACTGTGAACTTCAGTTCCACTCCCCTCTTTAGGTGTGACCATATGGCTGGAGGAGGCTGGAATTGTTTATTTCCTTTGTTCCACAGGAAGACTAGAGCCAGCTGGAGTTGGTAATTTTACTTCCTCCAAGTTCGTTAGGCACTGATGAAACCCCAGCAGTTTAGGTTCTGGTTAAATAGTTTCTCCTGAGGGCAGACTTTGTTAAGAAGAATACAATGCTCTGGCATATTTCAAAATGGCACTTTTCCCTCCCTTGCTGTAAGCATGGGGGCATTTTTAAAAATCTGCTATTTGCTTTGATAAACTGGTGGAGCTCTAGCAGGTAAAACTCGCAAAAGTAGGGGGCCCCTCAATAACTGAATCCCTCTGAAGTTTCAAACTCTCTGACTTGTCCACATTGAGCTTCCAGCAATTTGTTAATTACAGTTCAGGTTTTTCCAGTTTGGCACTGGTTCCCTTGGAGGTTTCTGCTCATGGGTTTCTGCTCTGGTAAGTTATGATTCTCTATACGTGTCTCTCTCGCTGATTTTGGGGCCAGTGGTTTGCCCTGTGACCTCACTTCTCTTACAAATCTAAGAATTGTTCATTTTTCCATTTTTCCAGCTTTTTACTTGTTAGGATTGACTGGCAATTCCATGCTTTTTGTATGCTGGCCAGAAATGAGAAATCCCGTGTTGTGTTTACATTTTATTCATTTCAATGTGCCATTTGATTTTCCTTGAAATTTCTTCCTGGATCCATGGAGCACGCTATTTAGTTCCAAGTGTTTGGAGAGTTTCCTAAAATCTTTCTGTCATTAATTTCTACTTTCATTCCATTGTGTTTAGAAAAACCCTTTACATAATTTTAACTTTTAAAATTTTGTTGAGGTTTGTTTCATGGCCGTCTATGATCTATCTTGGTGTATGTTCTATGGGCACTAGAAAAGAATATATATTCTGCTGTTTTGGGGTGGAGTGTTCTATAAATGTTGATTAGATCCTATTGGTTGATGGTGTGATTGAGTTCCATATCTTTGGTAATTTTTTTTTTCATTAGAGATGGGGTCTCACTTGGATTTTTTTCTCTAATTGTTCTTCAAATTTTCAGAGAAGGTTGTTGAGGTCTCCAACTATATTACAGATTTACCTATTTTTGTTTTCAGTTCTACCAGTTTTTCTGCACAAATTTGGTAACTTTGCTTTTTGGTGCATATGCATTTAAAATTACTATGTGTTCTTGCTGTATTGACCCTTTTATTATTACATAAAATCCTTCTCCATCTCTGGCAATTTTCTTTGTTCCGAAGTCTACTTTATCTTGCTATCATTTCATTAAGGTTTGCATATTTTTTTCATTATTTTACTTTCAACCAGCCTAAATTGTTACATTTGAACTGAATTTCTTCTAGAGAGCATATAGTAAAAGCATGTTTTTCTAATCCACTGTGCCAAACTCTGTCTTTTAATTGGCATATTTACACCATTTACCTTTCATGTAATTACTGATGTGTTAAGTTTTAATTATGTCATTTTATTTTCTCTGTCTCTTTCTCCCTTTTTTTTTTCTTTCTTTCCCCTGCCTTCCAGTGGGTTATTTTTTAGTATTCCATTTTGACTTATGTATAATGTTTTTAAATGCATTTCTTTTTATATATTCAAAAAAAGTAGTTGTTTTAGATATTACATTATATAAATATAACTTGTGGCAAACTGCTGGTGTCATCATTTTACTAGTGCAAGTAAGATATTGAAATCTAACTTTCCTTTACTTCTCTTTACCTCTCTGCTTGTAATGTAATTGCCTTAACCACATCAAATAATGTTATAATTTTGTCTCAACTGTCAAACATAAATTTAAAAAATGTAACAAAAGAAGAAAAGTATATTGTATTTCCCTATGTTTTTTGCTTACTATGTTCTTTCTTCCTTCCTCATGTTCCAAGATTTCTTCTTTTATCATTTCATTTTCATTCTTTTTGGATTGATCTTCTGATGACAAATTCTCTCTTCCTCTGAGAACATTTTGATCTCCAGCTCATTTCTGAAGGATATAAATACAGGATTTTGGGTTGATAGTTGATTTCTTTCAGCAGGTGAAAATATTGTGCCACTTCCTTATAACCTCCAAAGTGTCTGATGTGAAATTGCTGTCATTAGCATGGATTATTTTCCCCCTATAGGTAAGATGTCTTTTGCTTTTTACTGACTGCTTTCAATATTTTTTCTTTGTTTATAATTTTTAGTTTTTAGAAGCTTGTGGTGTGCTTTGGTGTGGATATTCTTGTTTATCCTGTTTGGGTTCTCTCAGTTTCTTTAGGTTTGTGTCTCTTGGTCAGTTATGAAAGTTTCCAGCAGTTATTTTTGCTAATGCTTTTTTAGCCCCACCTTTTTTCTTCTTTCCTTCTGCAACTCTCATGACATGAATGTTAGATCTCTTATGGTCCCATAAATCCCCAGGGGCTCTGTTTCCTTTAGTTTTTTTCTCCCAGTTTCTCTTTCTGTTGTTCAAATTAGGTAATTTCTATTGTTCTGTATTCTAGCTAATGGGTTATTTCCTCTACTTCCCCCATTTTGTTGTTCAGCCCATGTATAGAGCTTTTAATTTCAGTTATTGTATTTTTCAGCTCTAACATTTTTATTTGGTTCTTATTTATATCTTCTAGTCTCTACTGAGACTTTTTATTTCTTTGCTGAGGTTTTCTATTTGTAAAAAAATTTGCTTCAAGCATATTTCTAGTTGCTCATTAAGTTATTTTTATTGTGGCTGCTTACAAATCTTTGTCTCATAATTCTAACTTTTATGTCATCTTTGTGTTGGCATCTATTGCTTGTCTCTTGTCATTTAGTTCGAGACTTCTTGGTTCTTGGTATGAGAGTAGTTTTCCATGGAAACTTGGAAAATTTTAATAATATAAGATTCTGGGTCTTATTTAAACATTTTATTTTAGTTGTCTGCACTGGGTTGAATAGTATTCCCTCAAAACTCATGCCCACTCAGAAACTTAGAATGTGACCATACTTAGAAATAGGATCTTTGTAGATGTAATCGAGTTATAATGAGTCATAGGGATGGCCCTAAGCCAATGACTGGTGTCCTCATAAGAAGAGAAAAGTTTGGATACAGAGATGCACACAGGGAAAATGATGTGAAGGCACACAAAATGTGGTGTGATTCAGAGATGGAAGTGATGCATCTACAAGCTAAGGATTGCCAGCAACACCAGAAGCTAGGAGCAGGCAAGGAAGGATCTTATCCCTAAGCCTTCAGAGAGTGTGGCTGTGATGAAACCTTGGTTTTAAAGTTCTAGCCTCCAGAACTGTCAGAGAATACATTTCTGTTATTTTAAACCACCCAATTTAAACCAGTAAGGAAGGAGTACCTCATTTCTGTCAGGTGGGGAAAAATCCAGACTTTCTATGTGGTATCCACTGACAGTTTGGTTGGGAAGGGGTTGGGTAGTTGTAACCAGTGGGTGGGAAAAACGTTTGGTTCATTATGTTTCCTTCTCTTACTCTGAAATGGCAGAGGTGTTAAAACACTTCTTACAAACTTCTAAGGATGAATGAGGCTCCCCAATGTGCCTCTACTGGTATGATGGGTTTGGGCCACGGGTTTTCTGTGGTGGTAGCCCGAGTAGGATGGCCATTGTCTAAAAGTTGTCTCTCTTGATATTTGCCCCCTTCCTGTCCTCTGAGAGAGACAGTAGGCTTTTTTGGGGGCTCTTCTTGTCTGCTTCTATTGGCATTATGGAATTTCTGGCTTTTTAATCTCCAAGTCTGAAGTATATGAGGCAAAAAGAAAGCCTGGAGAGGTCACCATCGTGTTATTCCTCTTGTCCTGTGATCTCTAGCCAATGTGTCTTCTTTTTCCATAGTAGAGTCATCCTATTTTTTATATATATAAAATTTTTGGAGTTTAAGTTGTACTCAGTGAGAGGAGTTGGAAAAATTACATCTATTTCATCTTCCTTGAATTCCAGAAATTCTTTCAATGTATTTTATCTCACTGTTCTGAGCTTCACTTACAAACTCTGTGATTTTAAACAATCTAAACCTCCATTTCTTGTTTCACCAACCAGAGAAAATAGCTTATGAACCCTCATTTGGTAAGAGAAGCACCCTAATACTTCCAAATAAAGTATCCCATAGATAGCCAATCCTCTCTCTTCTTACTCCTTTTTACTTCTTTATCTCTGTTGAGAATATCTTTATTTTTACATTGACAAGTTGAATAATATTATTTTGTTAATATGATAGAAGCTGCCATGATTTCTCTACAAGTCAATATTAGGATTTTACAATCAATAAAATATTTTTTATTATTATGACTAGGTAAATGTTGTATACTCTAAGCCTAGTAATAGACTAAGATTACATTTCCTTCTTTGTGGATTAAATATCATAACCACTGTGTCCTTCAATGGAGAATATTTCCTGTTTAAACTTCAAGTATGATTTCTTTTTCCACCCTCCATTTACTTTATTATGCCATTAAATCTTTCCAACTTCTAAATTATATGGTTTCTCTGATTTTCCAATGTCAGCTGATTTCTTCCTGAATTTATATTCTATGTTAGATCTACTGGTTTTTTATAATTTAATTTATTTTATTTTATTTTATTTTATTTTATTATTATTATACTTTAAGTTTTAGGGTACATGTGCACAATGTGCAGGTTTGTTACATATGTACACATGTGCCATGTTGGTGTGCTGCACCCATTAACTCGTCATTTAGCATTAGGTATATCTCCTAATGCTATCCCTACCCCCTCCCTCCACCCCACAACGGTCCCTGGAGTGTGATGTTCCCCTTCTTGTGTCCATGTGTTCTCATCGTTCAATTCCCACCTATGAGTGAGAACACGCGGTGTTTGGTTTTTTGTTCTTGCGATAGTTTACTGAGAATGATGATTTCCAGTTTCATCCATGTCCCTACAAAGGACATGAACTCATCATTTTTTATGGCTGCATAGTATTCCATGGCGTATATGTGCCACGTTTTCTTAATCCAGTCTATCATTGTTGGACATTTGGATTGGTTCCAAGTCTTTGCTATTGTGAATAGAGCCGCAATAAACTTACGTGTGCATGTGTCTTTATAGCAGCATGATTTATAGTCCTTTGGGTATATACCCAGTAATGGGATGGCTGGGTCAAATGGTATTTCTAGTTCTAGATCTCTGAGGAATCACCACACTGACTTCCACAATGGTTGAACTAGTTTACGGTCCCACCAACAGTGTAAAAGTGTTCCTATTTCTCCACATCCTCTCCAGCACCAGTTGTTTCCTGACTTTTTAATGATTGCCATTCTAACTGGTGTGAGATGGTATCTCATTGTGGTTTTGATTTGCATTTCTCTGATGGCCAGTGATGTTGAGCATTTTTTCATGTGTTTTTTGGCTGCATAAATGTCTTCTTTTGAGAAGTGTCTGTTCATGTCCTTCGCCCACTTTTTGATGGGGTTGTTTGTTTTTCTCTTGTAAATTTGTTTGAGTTCATTGTATATTCTGGATATTAGCCCTTTGTCAGATGAGTAGGTTGTGAAAATGTTCTCCCATTTTGTAGGTTGCCTGTTCACTCTGATGGTAGTTTCTTTTGCTGTGCAGAAGCTCTTTAGTTTAATTAGATCCCATTTGTCAATTTTGGCTTTTGTTGCCATTGCTTTTGGTGTTTTAGACATGAAGTCCTTGCCCATGCCTATGTCCTGAATGGTAATGCCTAGGTTTTCTTCTAGGGTTTTTATGGTTTCAGGTCTAACATTTAAGTCTTTAATCCATCTTGAATTAATTTTTGTATAAGGTGTAAGGAAGGGATCCAGTTTCAGCTTTCTACATATGGTTCGCCAGTTTTCCCAGCACCATTTATTAAATAGGGAATCCTTTCCCCATTGCTTGTTTTTCTCAGGTTTGTCAAAGATCAGATAGTTGTAGATATGTGGCGTTATTTCTGAGGGCTCTGTTCTGTTCCATTGATCTATATCTCTGTTTTGGTATCATACCATGATGTTTTGGTTACTGTAGCCTTGCAGTATAGTTTGAAGTCAGGTAGCGTGATGCCTCCAGCTTTGTTCTTTTGGCTTAGGATTGACTTGGCGATGCGGCTCCTTTTTGGTTCCATATGAACTTTAAAGTGGTTTTTTCCAATTCTGTGAAGAAAGTCATTGGTAGCTTGATGCGGATGGCATTGAATCTATAAATTACCTTGGGCAGTATGGCCATTTTCATGATATTGATTCTTCCTACCCATGAGCATGGGATGTTCTTCCATTTCTTTGTATCCTCTTTTATTTCATTGAGCAGTGGTTTGTAGTTCTCCTTGAAGAGGTCCTTCACGTCCCTTGTAAGTTGGATTCCTAGGTGTTTTATTCTCTTTGAAGCAATTGTGAATGGGAGTTCACTCATGATTTGGCTCTCTGTTTGTCTGTTATTGGTGTATAAGAATGCTTGTGATTTTTGTACATTGATTTTGTATCCTGAGACTTTGCTGAAGTTGCTTATCAGCTTAAGGAGATTTTGGGCTGAGACAATGGGGTTTTCTAGATATACAATCATGTCATCTGCAAACAGGGACAATTTGACTTCCTCTTTTCCTAATTGAATACCCTTTGTTTCCTTCTCCTGCCTAATTGCCCTGGCCAGAACTTCCAACACTATGTTGAATAGGAGTGGTGAGAGAGGGCATCCCTGTCTTGTGCCAGTTTTCAAAGGGAATGCTTCCAGTTTTTGCCCATTCAGTATGATATTGGCTGTGGGTTTGTCATAGATAGCTCTTATTATTTTGAGATATGTCCCATCAATACCTAATTTATTGAGAGTTTTTAGCATGAAGCGTTGTTGAATTTTGTCAAAGGCCTTTTCTGCATCTATTGAGATAATCATGTGGTTTTTGTCTTTGGCTCTGTTTATATGCTGGATTACATTTATTGATTTGTGTATATTGAACCAGCCTTGCATCCCAGGGATGAAGCCCACTTGATCATGGTGGATAACCTTTTTGATGTGCTGCTGGATTCATTTTGCCAGTATTTTATTGAGGATTTTTGCATCAATGTTCATCAAGGATATTGGTCTAAAATTCTCTCTTTTGGTTGTGTGTCTGCCAGGCTTTGGTATCAGGATGATGCTGGCCTCATAAAATGAGTTAGGGAGGATTCTCTCTTTTTCTATTGATTGGAATAGTTTCAGAAGGAATGGTACCAGTTCCTTCTTGTACCTCTGGTAGAATTTGGCTGTGAATCCATCTGGTCCTGGACTCCCAAGAGTAAACCAGGAAGAAGTTGAATCTCTGAATAGACCAATAACAGGCTCTGAAATTGTGGCAATAATCAATAGCTTACCAACCATTATTCACTTCTTTACTTTCTTCATAGCTTTGTTATCCTCATGTGCACCCTAGAAATTGCTAATAGCCTTGCCATTAACAAATAGACATGTTTTTATGTCTCCTTTAATCTGTAAGTCATTCTCCTATTCTTCTATTTTTCGTACAATTTATTTTCCTCCCAAGAGTTTATCTCAGTCTAAATTTTGCATTCTCTTGGTGTAGGTAAAAAGGTTCCTCTGTTCTCAGTATTTCTTGTAAATCAATAGCTGGATCCAGAGACTTGCTTAATCCTGCTGTCAGCACCACAGGTGGCATGATGTTCTTTCATCAGGAGGCACAAAATGTATAGTTGTCTCTCTTTTTGTGATATTAGTAGCTGTTGGTGCTCAATGCCTAAATTCATTAATTCGTATTCTAATGCTATCGCTACTTTTTATTTATTTGTTAGAAAACTTTTATAAAGTGGTACTTTATGTCATTTACTATTTTGTTACTCTGGTACAATTCTCACATAGGAAGAAGGATAGATGGTTGATTTTTTCTTTTATTTAACTTGTTTTAAAAATAATGAATTTATTACCTATTGTCTTCTAAGGAAACGAATTAGATTGAAATATTATTATAAACTCATGGACTTAAACATATTCTGTGAGTTTCAGTCTGTTGAAATTGTATTTATTTTGAGGCTCAAATTGTTTCATCTTTTGTGGAGAGAAGCTTCTTCAAGCTGGTTTCTGAGTTCTTTTGACGTGACCCTAATAGTTTTGAATGGCTTCCTCACTGTCTGAGGACATATGAGGAATGTCTTCTTCATACGACAAGGTGTTTCAGGCTTGTTTGGTTCACTTCTTGCCCCAAACCTGAAATCAGCCAAGAAGTTCTGATTTCTTTTAGTGGTAAATAATATTTTTGATGAAATTTGACTATTAGGAAAAATCATTGCTTCTTTCTTGGCCTTTATACCTAAGTCTCTTTGGTGAAGACAGCTAAATTTTCTTCTGTGTGTAAATATGTCTTAAATTTAAATTTAAAATTACTTCTATAAGTAATTATATGTTTTATATTTACCATCATTTCTTATATCAATATTCCTTTGGTCACTTTGTTTTCTAAAACTTACACTCAATAGATTTCTCACAAGGGCTCTTGAGAACATTTTTGAGTTCTTACATGCTGGTGACAGTTTGTATGTGCACTCTATACTTGAAAGAGAGTTTTTGGGATATAAAAATCCTTGGTTCACATTTTTTTTCCTGAAGTATTCTAAATATGTTACTTCATTTACTTCTGGCATTAAACATTACTGTTGAAAAGTCTAATAGTAATCTAATATTTTCCCTTATTAATCTCTTCCTTTTATGCCTAGCTGTTCAAAGGATTTTTACATTTTTTCTTCAAAGTGCAGTCGTTTTAGACTTTCTTGGCATTGGTCATTCTGAGTCAGTATTGTCAGGTATGTGCTTTTCTTGGTTTTGTATGTAGTTTCAAATAACATATTCAAGTTAAGGAGAGTTTTCTTGATTATTCTTTCTTATTTGCTCTTTCCTCTTGATTTGTTTTCTTCTTCAGAGATTCATATGATTTGTACGTTTAATCTTCTTTGCTTATATTCAGTATATGTCATCAATTTTTTTTCTCTTGTTACATTTATTTTAGATTTTTAATTTCTTATCCTCTTTACCTTTTGCTTTTCTTAGGGAATAGTTTTTCTGTTTTCTTCTTCTTGGTCTTTCTAATTTTGTCATCATTTCTGATAAATTTTTTTTCTTTCCCAAGTTATATTTCTTAATTTCTAAGTACTTGTAATTCTGACTTCAGTTTTTTCATATCTACAAATAAGAGATAGTTATTTTCTTCGATAAACCAAGGTCCGGTACTTCAGATAATTAGAATATACTGTGATACGTGCATTATAAAAGCAGAGTATATACATAGCACAAAAGAATAAGGGATGAGTAATTCAAATAGATTTAAGTTTTTGAGCTCCATGTTTAAATCACCAGAATATAATGTTTGACATTTCATGTAAAAATTATACCACGGTAAAAGTGTTTTTATTATTGATAAATATTCCATCTCAGCATAAGATTATTAAGTAAGGTCTGTATTTATTCTTTTTTGCTCAAATGGTGTTTTAAGATATAAATATAGAAATTTTGGCGAGAGCACCAAGATTTGATAAGTGTCACATTGCTCACTGGTATGAGACACTATCGTCACAGTTTTTGTTCTCCAGGACCTGACTCTGATATAGAGGTTAGTCTTCTAGATGTTTATTAAGTAGTGCCATTGGCATCCATATCTGTGAAAGGTAGAAGGATGGAGCAGCACTGGGAAGGGGAAGAAACTGAGCTGTGATGTAGGCCCAGCAGCCTAAGCAAACCCTACAAAATGATCAGTCAAATTTGTTCCATGTTGTGACAAAATAGGTGGTCCTCAATACCTTTGCCTCCATCATGTTGGCCATCCACAAAAAGTGTGTGACGTTGGGTGGATCAATTCCTAAAGGACTGTTATCTAAAGACTGTTCACAGACAGCATTCCGAGCAATTGGGCAATAAAAGTCCTTTCATGAAAGAGGATATGAGCACCACATCTCCATGTTTACCACTTACAGTGATGAAGGATTTACCGGGGGGTAATCATAATTTGGTTTTCTGCCTCTTACATCTCTCACCCACATCAAGGGTATAAAACAATTGACAATGAGAGATTATTATTATTCTTAAAAAGAAATCTTAGTGTCTTGTGATGCCTTCCCCCACCTCCATCTTCTCAAATCAAGACAATGAGGCTGCAACAGGACCAGGTACAGAATGCCTCATGTGTCCCCTGCAGTTTAAGTGACATAATGGATTGTTGCTAACATCTTTCTGGAAAATCTACATGATGAGCTATGGGCCAACAAGTCTGTTTAATGGAAGAGTGAAAGAGCAGTATCTTCTGTGGGCAGCTGGCACTCAAAGTGTTTGATGAGGCTCAGGCTGAGCAAGTGTTTCCCAGTTGTGGGACACCTGCAATAGAGATCAGTGTGGGGGTTTCCTGAGAGTTTCATGAGGAAAAACAAGAGAAGAGAAGAGATCTTAGCAGAAAGAAGTTTCCCTTTGAGCCAGGTGCCTAAGGACTAAGGAAAGAGATATATGACCAACTAGGGAGGATGGACCACCTACTCCGTGGAAGTAGTTATTGAAGATTTCCAGAGATAAAGGAGGTGGGATCCTTTAAACTGTGCAAAGACCCCATGAGAGACCCTGGCTGCAAGGATCAGAGAGTATGAAACAAACTCACCACTGTAAAACATTTCTGTTCCTCCCTTCTTCCAAAGCTGGGAAGGTCATAAATTGAGGTTGGGGGACAATACATAAAAATACACAATAGGAAAGAAGAAGTACTCTGACAACACTGACTCTCTTGACTTCAGAACTTTATACCTAATAGTTTTGAACTTGAGAAGAGAGTGAATTTAACTCCAGATTAAAGTCACTTCTATTACAGGGAAATGGCCATTTTAATCACTGAAATGAGACTTTATGATAGAGTTACCTGAAGATTCATGTAACTTGTTTCAAATTTCATCCTAGTGAGGAATTAGACCTAGAAAAAAATGGAGAGTTACCTGAAGATTCATGTAACTTATTTCAAATTTCATCCTAGTGAGGAATTAGACCCAGAAAAAAATTTAAGGTATAGTGGAAAAATACGAAAATCACCTTTTCATTACATTCCACAGTATACTTGCTTAGGTAAATGTTTAGACCCTTCAGAGTCCTGCTGTTTCTAAGTTGTTGCCTCTGATTTACTTAGGCAAACTCAACTCAAGGGTTTTCTGAATCCTCAAAGAAAAATTATGTACTATTTAATATAATCAATTGGAAAAGATGTTCAGATTTCTCAGGAGAAGCCTGAGTCTCTGAATTTGCCATAACATTGCATGCTAGCTGTGTTGAAAGTAGAACAATTCTAGGCCAGAAAGTTCTTCTGTGTTACAGAAATGAAAAAGGATATTGGAGAAAGGCAATAATTGTTATTCTGAGAATTGAATCAGCCTTGGGACAGGAAATGTCACTGAGAATTCAGGTCTGTAAGTTGTCATGGGTATATATCTTCCCTAGAAAACACTTATAACCTAGTAATATCAACAACTGAAATCTAATGTCACTTGCTCCCATATTTTAGAATTCAAGTTAAATTATGTCTCTGCCATGAAACCAGGACCTATCAAGCAGCCACTGATTCTTTTCTTCTATTGAATATTCCCTGGATGTGGTACTTATATGACCTTCGACAGAAATGGAATCACACTTTGAGTTACATTTAAATTACATTTAAGTAAAATTTTATTTTTATAAAAGTACATACAAAGAGTCAATAACACAGGGCTAATAATAAAAACCAGCATTCTCTGGCTCCATCTCTCCCACCCTTCCCTATACCCAAGTACCTGTCTCCAGAAGAAACCAAGTGCCTCTCTCCAGAAGTAAACAATTTCAACTGTTTTAAATGTTTCCTTTTGTAGTTATTTCCATATTTGTATATAATATACCTAAGTTTTTATTTCTTGATCTTTAATACTAGATTATCAATTCAGTTCCTACTAAGGAAGATGAAAATTTAGCTGCCATACTAATTATGTACCCCATCCCCAATTTTACACTTCCTTTCTCCCATTCTTCTTATGTAGCCCACATTCTTCTTACATTTAATAACTTTTACTAAATAAATATTCAGTATTTATTATGATCATGTAGGTATTGCTTGTACTTACAGTTGTAAAATGTTGTTCAAGTAAAACAGGAGCAATTTTAAAGTTTTTTGAGTAGAAAGAAGTTTAACTTCTTCTAGGAAAATAAAGCTGTAAAAAATTATTGGAAATGCAAGTATACGAGGAAATATGCTACCAATATTTTCAGCTCCCTGTAACTCTGAAGTTGATAATTCCTAGAGAATAATTGAAGTTTCTGGAAGTCGCTACTGCTGCTAACAATCATAGATGTGCATGCACCTAATAACAGAGTTTCAGAATACGTGAAGCAAATATTGTCAAAGGTAGTTGGAGAAATAGACAATTCCACAATGATGGTTGGAGAGTCTAATACTACTTTCTCAACAATTGAAAAGGCCAGGCACTCATGCCTGTAATCCCAGCAGTTTCGGAGGCTGAGGCAGGAAGCTGACTTGAGCCCAGGAGTTCAAGATCAACATGGGCAACATAGTGAGACCCTATTTTTATAAAAAACATTTAAAAAGTAGGCAGACATGGTGATGCACATCTGTAGTCCCAACCACTCAGGAATCTGAGGTGGGAAGATGACTTGAGGCTGAGAGGTCAAGGCTGCAGTAAGCTATGATTGTGCCACTGCACTCCAGCCTGGGTGACAGAGGGAGAGCCTGTCTCAACAACAACAAGAACAACAACAACAACAACAGCAACAAAAATCAAAAGAACAACTAAGAAAAAATCCAGCAAAGATAGAATATGTGAACAACATTATCAGCCATCTTGATTTAACTGATGTTCATAGAAGACTAAAATAACAATGGCAGTGAGAGAGGGGACATTACTATAGAACTTACGGATAATAAAAAGGCAACAACAGAATATTAACTTTATGCCAGTGGATTTGACAATCTATTAAGATAAAATGGCTACATTCCTTGAAAAATACAAATTGCTAAAATAGAAATGAGAAATACAAATTACCAAAATAGGAACACAAAACTTGAATAGCTCTATATTAATTAAAGGAATATGTACTAGTCTGTTCTTGCATTGCTCTAAAGAATTACCTGAGACCGGGTAATTTATGAACAAAAGAGGTTTAATTTACTCACTGCAGGCTGTATAGGAAGCATGGCTGGGAGGCTTCAGGAAACTTACAACCATGTTGATTAGGGGAGAAAGCAGGAGAGAGAGAGAGAGAGAGAGAGAGAGAGTGAAGGGGGAGGTGATACACACTTTTAAACAACCATATCTCAGGAGAACTTACTATCATGAGAATAGCAAAGGGGAAGTACACCACCATGATCCATTCGCCTCCCACCAGGTTCCGTCTCCAATATTGGGAACTACAATTTAACATGAGATTTTGGTGGTGACACAGAGCCAAGCCATATTATTCTACCCCTCGCTCCTCCCAAATATCATGTCCTTCTCACATTTCAAAACACAATCATGCCTTCCCAGCAGTTCCCAGTCTTAACTCATTCCAGTATTCATTCAAAGGCCGAGTCCAAAGTATCATCTGAGACAAGGCAAGTCCCTTCTGCCTATCAGCCCGTAAAATTAAAAACAAGTTAGTTACTTTCAAGATACAATGGGGGTACAGGCATTGGGTAAATAGACCCATTCTAAGAGGGAGAAATCAGCCAAAACACAGTGGCTACAGGTCCCATGCAAGTCCAAAACCCACCAGGACAGGCATTAAATCTTAAAGCTCCAAAATAATCTCCTTTGATTCCATGTCTCACATCCAGGCCACACTGATGCAAGGGGTGGGCTCCCCAAGGCCTTGGGCAGCTCTGTCCCTGTGGCTTTGCAGGGTACACAGAACCTGTAGCTACTTTCATGGGCTGGCACTGAGTGCCTGTAGCTTTTCCAGGTGCATGGTGCAAGCTGTCAATGGTTCTACCATTCTGGGGTTTGGAGAACGATGGCCCTCTTCTTACAGTTCCACTACACAGTGCCCCACTGGCGACTCTACATGGGGGCTCCAACCCCACATTTTTTCTCCACATTGCCCTAGTAGAGGTTCTCCATGAGAGCTCTGCCCCTGCAGCAGACTTCTGCTTGGACATCCAGGTGTTTCCATACATCCTCTGAAATCCAGGCTCCCAAATCTTAACTCTTGCCTTCTGTGCACCCACAGGCCCAACACCACATGGAAGCTGCCAAGGCTTGGGGCTTGAACCCTCTGAAGCAATGGCCTGAGCTGTACCTTGGCCCCTTTTAGCCATGGCTGTAGCTGGAGTGGCTGAAATATAGGGCACCATGTCTTGAGGCTGCACAGAACATTGGGGCCCTGGGCCTGACGTAGGAGACCATTTTTTTCCTTCCTAGGCCTCCAGGCCTGTGATAATAGTGGCTGACGTGAAGGTCTCTGAAATGCCCCAGAGACATTTTCCTCACTATCTTGGCTATTAACATTCATCTCTTCTTTACTTTTGTAAATTTCTGCAGCTGGCTTGAATTTATCCACTGAAAATAGGGTTTTCTTTTCTACCACGTGGTCATACTACAAATATTCTAAACTTTTATGCTCTCCTTCCCTTTTAAATGTAACTTCCAGGTTCAGACCACCTCTTTGCAAATGCATGTGAGTGTATGCTGTTAGAAGGAGCCAGGTCAAATCTTGAATGCTTTGCTGCTTAGAAATTTATTCTGCCAGAAGCTTAGAAGTTTCTTCTGCCAGATATCCTAAATCATCTCTCTCAAGTTCAAAGTTCTGCAGATATCTAGAGCAGGGGCACAATGCCACCAGTCTCTTTGCTAAAGCATAGCAAGAGTGACCTTTATTCCAGTTCCCAGTAAGTTTCTCATCTACATCTGAGACCACCTTAGCCTGGACTTTATTGTCCATATCACTATCAGCATTTTGGTTACAACCATTCAACAAGTCTCTAGGAAGTTCAAAATTTTCTCTCATCTTCCTACCTTCTTCTAATCCCTCCAAATTGTTCCAACTTTCACGCATTACCCAGTTCCAAAGTTGCTTCCACATTTTCAGGTATCTTTATAACAATACCCCACTCCTGGTACCAATTTTTTTGTAGTAGTCCATTCTTACACTGCTATAAGGACTACCTGAGACTGGGTAATTTATGAAGAAGGGAAGATTAATTGACTCACAGTTCCACAGGCTATACAGGAAGCACAGCTGGGAGACCTTAGGAAACTTTCAACTGTGACAGAAGGGCAGAGGGGAAGCAAGCACATCTCTACATCATGGCAGGAGAGAAAGAGATCATGAAGGGGGAAGTGCTACACCTTTAAACAACAAGTTCTCATAAGAACTCACTCATGGCCAGGTGTGGTGGCTTATGCCTGTAATCCCAGCACTTTGGGAGGCCAAGGCAGGCAGATCACGAGGTCAGGAAATCAAGACCATCCTGGCCAACATGGTGAAACCCTGTCTCTACTAAAAAAAAAATACAAAAAATTGGCTGGACATGGTGGCGGGTACCTGTAGTCTCAGCTACTTGGGAGGCTGAGGCAGGAGAATGGCGTGAACCCAGGAGGTGGAGCTTGCAGTGAGCCGAGATTGCACCACTGCACTCCAGCCTGGGCAGGAGAGTGAGACACTGTCTCAAAAAAAAAAACAAAACAAAACAAAAAAAAACTCACTCACTATCACGAGAACAGCAAGGGGGAAAACCATCCCCATGGTCCAGTCACCTCCCGCCGGGTCTATCCCTCAACATTGGGAATTACAGTTTGACATGACATTTGGGAGGGGATACAGAGCCAAATCATATCAGAGTGGAATTTATGACTTGAAATTTTCCCATACAGAAAACGCTAGTCCTAGATGGCTCTTATCAAATACGTAAAAAAGAAAATAAAGCTACTCTTATAAAACTCTTTCAAAAATGAAGGAGGAGGAAAAACTTTTCATCTTATTTTATGAGGCCACTATTACCTTGTTACCCAAACCAGAGAAAAAGTCCAGAAAAGACAGAACTATGGACTAGTATCTCTCATGAACATGGACAGAGAGTCCTTTTCAAAAAGTTCGCAAATCAAATCTAATTGTATATATGAAGGATAAGACATGATTATGGGGAAGTGGGGTTTCATTCCAGAAAAGCAAGATTGATTTAATATTTGAAAATCAATTAATGTAACTCACCATATTAATAAAATAAAGAGGAAGAAAACATACAGTCACTTCGAAAGTTGCCAAAAACATTTTACAACATTCAACTCTTATTCATAATTAAAATAATCTCAATGAATGATGATTTTTAGAAAGAAAATTTCTTGACCTGGTCAAGACCAAAAAAACTACTGCACATATCAGTGATGAAAAGTTTTGTGCTTCCTGCCTAAGATCAGGAATAAATTAAGAATTTCTGCTTCAGCACTTCTATATTTATAATTTTACTAGACATCCTAGCCAGTGTAGTAAAGCAAGGAAAAAAAGGTATAAACATTGGAAAAGGAAAAGCAAAGTGTTATTATTTGCAGACAACATGAGCTTACGTAATCTACAAAAAAGCTAGTAGGACTAATGAATTAATTTAATACGGTTGTAGGATAAAGGCCAATATTCAAAACCCAGTAGTATTTCTATGTTCTAACAATAAACATTTAGAAAATGAAATAAAACATACTATTGACAATAGCATAAAATTAGGAATAAATTTAATAAATGATGTAGAAAAGTTGCCAAGGGTAATTAATAAGTGGAGACTTATACCCTGTTAATCAATTTAAAGAGTCAATATTGTTAAGATAACAATTCTACCCAAAGTAATCTGCAGATTCAGTGAAATGTCAAACTATTAGCAAGCCTTTTTTAAAAAAAAGAAATTGACATGGTGACTTTAAAATTTATATAAATAGGCAAAATACATGGATATCCAAAACAATTTTTGAAAAGAGAAAGAGCATAAACTCCCTCACTTCCAGACCTACTATAAAGCTGTAGTAATTAAGACAGTGTGGTATGGTGTAAACAGATAAAATGATCCATGGAACAGAATAGAGTTAAAAAACGAATCCATACTTACATGCTTAATTGATTTTCCACAAGGTCCTCAGATATTCCTATGGGGAAAATACATGCTTTTCAATAAATGCTGCTGGGAAAAATTGGATATATGTTTGGGAAAAAATAACCTAGGCTCTTACCGTATGTTGCACAAAAATTAATTCACAATGGATCATAGACTTAAATGTAAGTGAAAAAATGCTTAAACTTTCAGAACTATAAATAACTAGGGAGTTGGAGAGAGAATGTGGGAAGAGTTGAGGTGTTAGTTGTATTCGAGATATGTTATTTTTTAAATGATCTGAACACATTTGCAGCCAAAAGTTACAGTGGTGAAATTTGAACGAGGTTACATGAATGTTTGTGAGAGTCTGTGCTTTCCTTTGTATATAAAATATTTACTGATTAAGGTATAGTAATAAATTACAATGAAGAAGAATAATGTAATTAGTAATGAAGATTATGTATAAAATAATAAAGTTTCGTAGTTAAAATTCTAGGGAGATAGATTTGACTATGAAAAACTCAAGATTTGTGTATGGTAAAAAACACTATATACATAATTAAAAGACAAAATTGTGTAATAATTAGCAACACATATAAGAGTCAAAAGGTTAGTAAACTTAAAATATAAGGTTGCTTTAAAATCATCACAAAAGATGGACGCCAGAAGAAAAAAAAAGAACCAACAACATGGACAGTAAATTCACAAAAATAAAACTAAGTATAAAATGATGATTTTATTAGTAATTGAATTCTGAGAATAGGGACCACTTTTTGTATATCTGATGAGCAAGAATGAAACATGATGGTGCTCGCAGTTGGCAAAGGTGTGAGAAAAGGCTCAGCCTTATACTTTGCTTCTGAAGATTAGATGGTTCAACCCTTTTCTTAGACAATTTGGCAATATGGAAAAAGATCATTAAAAATCAAACACAATTTGACCCAGAAATTTCACTTCTAGGAGGCAGCATATTGTTGAGAGTGCCTGCTCCCAGGAGCTAGAATTCCTTGTTTAAATTCTGGCTCCACAACTTACTATGCAGCTTTGGAAATGATATTTCAGCTCTTTGGGACTCAATTTCCCTAATCTGTAAAATTTGGGAAAATAACTCCTAGGAATGTTGTGATGCTTATAATTTGTAAATACCTGTAAAGGTAACTTAGAACAGTATTTGTCACATAGTGAGTATTATGATATAAGTGTTTGTTCCTCCTCCTCCTTCTTCCCATCATTTTATCAGACTAAAACTTTTAGCCAGCTTTTGCCTGACCTCTAACTTGGATTCTGAAGGGCAGTTTCTCTTTCAAGATGGCCTCAGCAACATCTTCTTGGGCCGCTGCTTGGCCCTTTAGCAGAACTCTTTGGCTGTTTCTTAGTTGCAGCTTCTGTCCTCCTGTGAACCCTGACCCCCTCTTCCTTTAGTGCCATTTAATTGCCTGGACTTCAAATTCACCCATCCTCTGCATCTATTTCTATCCACCCAGTCATTAACCCTGGCCTGGCAACTTGCATCCCTTCCTGGATTGCCCCTCGTCACATGCTTGCAACTTAGACATATTACAGGAGACATCTGTTGACTGGAGTTGGCTTATTCTTTGTTCACACAAGCTGAAATATGGGCAAAAGGGACAATGTTGAAAGAGGCTTGGTGAAAGATTCTCTCCTTTCCATGTATGTAAATTAGGCATTCCCTCAGGGAAGACTTAGAACCTATAATTCCAAACCTGTAAAATGTTTCCATTCCTTGTATTATTTAGATGGTGACTCATATAACTTTTCATCACTCATCAGCACATAATTGTGGAATACATAATCTGTCAGGTACTGGGCCAGGCACAGAGGATGCAAGTTCGAACAAGACATGAGCTTGGCCCTCAAGCAATCACACAGACCATCATGTAAACAAAACAATTACAATGTAGTGGGATAAGGAAAAGCATAGCGTTATACACATATTTCCATGGTGGCACAGAGAACGGAGTGGCTAGCCTGGTCTGAGCCGAGTGGTGAGTTTACAGAGGACTTGATTTTGAGGGTTTTCCAGGTAGCCTGGGGTACAAGTCGCATCATGAGACTGGCTTGCACAAAAGCACCAAACTGTACCAGAAGCCTGGTTTTCTCTGTAATGGCGATAGCTGGTATGGCTGGAGCAGGAGGTGGAAATTGGCATGATATGAATCTGAGCATCAGCAGGAGGCCACAATGTAGAGGGCACTGCTTGTCAAAGATGAGATGTAATTTTTAAGATAATGAGAGTTTTAAGGAGGGTACTGACAAGATCAGATTTGTGTTTTTATTAAGACAATTTGGGGTATGGTGTGGAAGATGGATTGCAGATGGAGAGATGAAATTGGGACCTTCTGCAATAGCTTAAGGGTGATGAAGAGGGGCATATCTGGAAGAGTGGAGGTGGGGGAAGGAGAGGCAGAGATACACTTATTTGGCAGAACCTGGTGATAAATAATATTGGATGGTGAGAATATTGAAAAGCATGACTCTTCGATGTCTGACTCAGGTCACCAGGTGGATAATAGACTCATTAACTGAAGTAGGTTATATAGGAGAACATCTGGTTCAATGGGTGATAAATATACTGAGTTAAGTTTGGAAATGCTGAATTTGAGATGGCTGTGGGACGTTCATAGGGAAATATCCAGAATGGCAATAAAAATACAGGTCTGTTGCACAAGATCAGAAGCATGAAGTGGGGATGTCAATTTGGGAAACATCATCATATACAGAGCATTTAATAGTACCAGATCAGATGAATTTGCCCAGTGTGAGCATGAAGAGCGAGGAGTTAAGTACACTGAAATGAAATTGTGGGGAATATAATATGTAGATGGATACAGAACAGCTCTTTCCAGGCATTGGTCATATCACAGTCTAGGTGAAGGGCAACCCCAGAAGTTGTGTAGTGCACAACCTGTGTGACTGTATGTGGCAACTGGGGAAAGAGAAAGCACTTGTATAAGGCTAAGAAAGACTAGTATTAGAAATAGGAACAGAACTGGGAATGAACGTGACACAGAAGCCACAGAATATTTCTCTAGGAGGCAGCAGTAAACTACGTCTGAAAACTCTGAAGTGATCTAGTAGTTTAACCGTAAGGGTCTGCTTGATAGGTATTTTTTGGTGACCTTGGGGAGACAGATTTCCACACGTTGGTGGGGACAGAAGTCCTAACTCCGAAGGTTGAAGTGTGATTGAAGGCGAGGCAGTGGAGGCTACAACTGGAGGCCACTCTCCACTGGTTGCGTCTGCGAAGAGGAGAGGAGGGTGGCTAAAAGGGGCGGAGCGTCACGGAAGGGTTTTTCTGCACATGGTTATGAGTCAGGCAGGAGTAAAAGGCAGAGGGCTGGTTGGTAAGAAAGGAAGAAGGTGCTACAAAGAGAGTTTGGCAGGAAAAGTGAGAAAGGAGGGAGATTAAGGCGAAAACAAAAAAAGGAATTGAACCAGTCACCACCATCATCCAAAACAAGGTCCTTTCCCTCCAGGACTGAGAAGGTGGCATCAGTCATGGTGTGGCACCGAGGTCTCCACAGGGGATTGTCCCAGCCAGGAGAACATGTCAACCATGTGCCAGAGGGGGGCTTACCCCTGTGGGAGGGGCTGTCCGAGGGTCTGCAGTGTCCCCTGCTCTAGAACTTGTTCTCCCTGAATCCTGTCCCCTCCTGGCTATCTGCTCTCCTCCCTCCATCGTGCCCTCTATGCTGTGTGCAGGAGGCTCCGCACATCTCTAACTGGAAGTGAACACTTCATCACGAATGAATGGAGTGCTCACCAAGTGTCAGGCACGACTCCAGACATGGCGGGTACAGCAGGACTAAATTAGACGGTGTTTCTTCTCACAGTCTAGACATGGTTGGTGGGTGACAGCGTCAGTATATACTGTGGAGGGTGGTGAGAGCTATGAACAAAATGCAACAAAGAGTGGTAACAGGGATAGAGTAACATGGGTTCAGTTGGGGGAGGGCTTCTCTGATTGGTGACATTTGAGCAGAGACCCTCAGTAGTGAGAGAGGGGGCCCAGGGCAAGAGGAAGTGCAAAGGCCACAGGGTGGGCACCTGCCTGGACCTTTGGGGAGCTGCCAGCAGTCTAGAGGGTGGGAAAGGGTCCATCACATATGGCCTCCCACCCCGTGGTGAGAACTTTAATTTTACTGAGACCAAGGAGAAGTCATTGGACCGCGTGTCCTTCAAGGCTCTCTCTGGCAGTGGGAGGAAGATGCTGCAGTGGGAATGGAGGCAGCAAGGCCAGGCTGAAGGCTCATCAGGAACAACCAGAAAGAGGTGATTCTTCCTGATGCTCACACTTTGGCCCTCTTGCTCTGGCTTTGCCCATGAAGCACTTTGTTAATGTGCAGTTTTTAATTTACTTTAAAAGTGTTACTGTCTATGGATTTTCCCAGTCAAAAGACACCGAAGGTCGTCGACACAGCATCCAAAAATGCTTCCTGGGGAAGATGGACCAAGACGCTGCCGCGACAGGCTCCAAGAGGAAGAGTGGTAGCAGGCTATAACACAGAGGATAATCTTGTCTCCAAAAGAGGTAATGAGTGAGAAGAGCAATGATAGAAATAATTTAAAAGCTTTGGCTAAAAAACTGTTTCCCTCCAATAGATTACCATTCCCTGAGTCACTACCTCTACAGATAAGTTTGCCAGATAAAATTCAAGGCACCCAGTGAAATTTGAATTTGAGATCAACAATGAATAATTTTTTGGCACATGTATTTCATGCAATATTTGAAATAATGTATTTTTATAGGTTAAATATGGCAATTTTACCTACAGATGGAGACTGCATTTCAGTCAGATAGTTTTATGGGGTATTAAACTATTAGATCTCTTCAGAGCTTTCAGGCATAGTTTATTCCTCCCTCCTAGAGAAATATTCTTCTCCCAAGGCTTCTGTGTCACATTCTTTCCCACTTGTGTTCCTATCTCTAATACTAGTCTTTCTTAGCCTTATACAAGTACTTTCTCTTTACCCAATTGCCATATACAATCACACAGGTTGTGTGCTACACAACTTCTGGGGTATGCCCTTCACCTAGAGTGATATGACTGGTTCCCATAAACATGCAGTGTACAACCTACACAACTGTACTGAGCAGCTTGGCATCCACTCTACATGTTAATATTCTCCACAATTTTATCTCAGTACACTTGAACTTTTGCTCGTACTGGACAAATTCATCTGACCTGATAATTTTTAATACTATAAATATGCATATTTTCAATATATGATATCACACTGTGAAATAAAGTTTTGAGAACTTTTTTTTTCACATAGCATCATTTTTTAGGCTACTCTATAGTTTCCAAAATAATTTTAAAAATTACATAATTATCTTCACCAGTTCTTCATATGGACACACTATGATTTATTCAAGCCTTCCCTATATTCTAAGGCATTTTTAAGCATAACAATGTAATTAAACAAGTAGTATTCTGAGGATATGACCAAAGTGCATTTTGATTTTTGTATCGCAAGGTTTTTCCCATCCCGTGGCAGGACCCATGACTTCTCTGTTATGTCCTAGGTAATAGAAGGTCTTCGGACTTTCCATTTGATTATAGACTACACAGTCTTGTGTTTATTTCAAAACTTCTGAACTTGATTTAGAGTTAAACATTCTCCTTTCTGTCAGCTACCTGCAGAAAAGAAGTCACTGTCTGGAGAGTGAGGGTGAACTGTCTTCCTGCACACTGGGCCTGAATGCTGTTAAAAACTGATGATTTCCCCCGTGACTTTCTGTCTGTACCCCCATGATCTTCCCACCAGGATTCTCTTTTGTCCCCCTGCCCTGTGACATGTTTCCTGTTGGAAAAGATCCTATTAAAATGACCCCAGGTCTACTTGCCTTCTCAGGATGCCACATCTGATCTTTCAGCCCCAGGCAGTTTTGAAGAGACATCACTCTCTGGAAATCTTTGCAGGGACATATGCTATCCTTTCTCTTCAGTAAATACCCAGCAGTGGAAAGGCGGGGTCATATTTGGAGTGACAGTTTTATATTCCCACCAGCAGTGTAGGAGAGTTCCAGTTAATCTACACACCCACCAACACTTGGTATGGTGCCCTTTTAATTTTAGCTATTCTAATAGATGTGCAGGGGCATCACACTGTGATTTTAATGTTCATTTCCCTGATGACTAATGATATGACAGTTTTCTTGTTACTCACAGCCAGAGTATATAATACTAGGAATGCAGATGTTTTGCAAGTCCTGTTTGGGCAGGGGGAGGGCAGAAGAGCTGATAGAACTATGGACAAGAAAGATCAGGATGAGGAAGCAGAGCGAGGGAACTGTAGTCATGAAGGTCGTGGTCGGAGGTGCAGACACCTTCAAAGACCAGACCCGATGGTGGGCATCTGTTAAACAAGACTAGCGATTTGGGGAATTGGGAGGCTTCAGCTGGCCCAAAGGAGAGCATAAAGCTCAGACTTCATTCCCCTGCTGCTCTGAGATGCTTGGAAGGAGAAGGTAGAGGGGAACCCCACTGGAGGACATCATTCCTGATATGAGCCTGAACTTTGAATTGACTGAATGTTTACTCAAAAGAGACTGCTTTAAAGCCAAAAGGATGAGCTCACCAAGGAGGATATAGAACAAGGACCAAGCTGGCTCAATGTGAAGAGGTGAGGACAGGTGATTACACAAGGAGCCACTCTTGGTGGCTGGGTGCTATGTGGCCCCTTGGTCATGATGGATTCATGAGTCAAGTTTAAAGCCAAGTCAGGAATGGGCATCACACTGATCAATTCAGAGTGCATTCTCGAAGAATACCTCTAATCTCCTTTTATAAGTCTATATTTCAGCTTATTTTTTCATCCCATACTTGTGCAGTTGTTTCATGGATCCCAAATCAAGAAGCTTTTTCGGTATCATATTTTTATCTTGTTGAACTTGGATTATATTTGAGTCTGTTAAAGGCCTTTCATGTTCTGATTTAGTCACTGATAGGACACACTGTTGAAAAATCACAAAAGTTTGGAGACAATGTTAATGCTGATATTCAGCCTCTTATGGGCCTTAGGAAGATCACTCGGTTTTCTTCTCTGCAAAATGCAACATGTATAATGACATAATGTGAATTAAAGTAATCAATAAATAGTGGTGGTAATCAGTGGTGTGCTGGTAAATGTTTAACAACTGATTCTGTTCAGTGCTTATCAATTTCTGTGTTGTAAATCCTAATGTTATGGCTGATGTCAAACTACATTGTGATGCCACTGGGGATGAGGTTGGGCAGAGATGAGCACAATCTGCTCTTCTGAGCTGGGGCCAGCCAGCTCCCGCATCCCACTGATGGCAGTTGTATTTTGATTCTGTCAGCTAAAGTATTGGATCTTGTCATCTGTAAATATATGAGCATTACTTTAATATTTTTATCCAAATCTCAATGAATGTTTCGTACTGAACAGGAAGGAGATTGGTAATTTGCCCAGGAGGACTCCATCAGGTTGTTAGCAGTCTATTTCTGTGAACTTTAAAATTTCTTATCAATCAGTTTTTAATCAACATCATTACAACTTGATTCACTCAATATTTGTCCATCTTGACTCAGGCCGTCTTGAAATTTTTTAAAATCCTGTGTTGAAGTTGAATTACATTTTTTCTACATTTCCTAACCTGGCAGTTCTCAGCACTGACCACCGTTAGAATCACCTGAGAAACCTTGAGGATACACTTAAGATACACTGAAGGCCCAGCCCAGGGCGGGCTACATAATTTGTAGGGATGAGTACATAATGGAAATGCAGGACCACTTGTTCAAAAATTATTAAGAATTTCAAAATGGCGATTTTGCAGAGCATGAAACCAAGTGTGGGCCCTTCTGAGCCTGGGACCCTGTGCAACTGTACAGGCTGGGCACCCATGAAGTAGCCTATTCTAGTCATTTAATCATTGGTTTTCCAAGGTGAAATATGGGAATTCACACTGTTTAAAATCTTTCCAGGTGGCTCTAATGTGTAGTCAGAGTTGAGAACTTGATGGTCCTCAAACTTATTGCAGTGGAATCCGAGGTTGTTAAAACACAGATGGCTGAGCCCCACCTTAGAGTTTCTGACTCAATAGGCCTGGGATGGGGCACTAGAATTTGCATTTCCTTCAAGATCCCAGGGGATGCTGATGCTGCTAGCCTGGGAACCGCATTCTGAGAATCATTGACCTCAAGGGTGAAGTGCCAAGCCCTTGTACGGTATGCATTGTCTTTATGATCTGACTCCTGCCTGCCTCCAGGTGGTGGAGTCTTAAACTCAAGCCACGTGGAGCTCCTCACCAATCCTCAAATTCCCCATGCTCTTGCATGCCTTCATGCAAGAGCTGTAGTTCTTGTGTCTGCAGGAAAATTTCTGTTCCTCCCTTAAGGATTCCCTTCTCCAGGCCCTCTTCCTGCGCTTGGAGGCAGGCAGCCTTCTATTCTCTGCTGTGTGTCAGCACTCATTGTGCTCACAGTCTACTCGTATGTGTCTCTGAGAGCAGATGACTGTGTCTTTCATCTTTGTCTTCTCAGGGTCTGACACACTGTGAGCATTTAATAAGGATGCTCACATCTTTATTAAATGTGTACATGGAGAGAATAATTTAATTATGTGTTCTGAGTAAATACATGATCGTTCTTCATGATTACTATTGTCTGGATAGGATCTAAGAAAGAGTGAAGGAGTTTGTTTTCCTCTAATCCTTACAAGGTGACTTAAAAATGCATGCTGATGATGCCTAAGAGAACTGGGCTAGGGATAGAGATCAATTGTTGTAGATCCCTTTCTACAGGTGGAAAAACACATCACATTCTTGACTGAATCAGCATTTTGATTTTTGCCTTTAGCAAAGAGATTTTAATGAACAACTTCAACCCTAAGGCTATTACCATCATGTTTTATATGGAATGAGACAACCTTTTGCAAAGAGCAATGGTAGCTTAAGAAAAAATCCATCAATATTTAGGGTTTTGTTTTTCCCCTGACTGCATGTGACTGAACATTGATTGGACTGAGAAATGATGTGAAAAAGAGAATATAAACATATATGTATTGTGAAGGGATTAATGAGCAAATATCCAAAGTTTTTTGGTCAGTTGTTGGTCCATAAAGCCCTGTTTTAAAGTGTGTGTGGGAGTGTGTGTGTGTGTGTGTGGTTTGTGTGGGGCTGTGTGTGTGATTGTGTGTGTGTGTGTGTGTGGGGTACGGGTGGTATTATGTGTGTGTGATTGTGTGTATTTGTGTGTGGTATGGTGGGATATGTGTGTGATTGTGTGTGTGCGTGTGAGTGGTATGTGTGGGGCTGTCTGTGTGTGTGAGGTGTGGGTTGGATGGAGGTGGTGAGGAAAAGAGGTTGCTTGAGGTTTCTCCCTCGAGGGATCATGCACACCCACATAAAATCCAAATATAATAAATTTTGGAATGCAAGCACAGATTATCCATCTAGCTGCAGAGGTGGAAGGCTGCCTTCAGACATGGAAAATGACAGATAATTATCCAGTCTTTTGACAGCATGTCTGCTACCTAATAATTCAAACTACTGGTATGAAGAAGAAAGCCAAGAATCCTGATGAAGTTAGAAGAGAAGCTTAACAATTTGCCTCCACCTTCTGCATTGGAGTCTATTCTTCTATATTTAGCTGCAGAAGTGGTGAAAGGTAGCCAAGCAGAGAACAACCCAGATACTTAGGGGAGCTGCAGTTTTACCCTTTGGTTCGTGTGTAGCACCTTTCTTTCAGTTCAGTTCATGTGTAGCTCCTTTTTCTACAAATGTTAAGAAAAAGTGCAATTCCAAAGAATAGTCAAATAATAAGAATCCCTTACATTTGCAGAATGCTTCAGAAGTTAAAAGAGATCTCATTTATTTCTTAGAACACTAACCCTGTAGGGAAGCCAAGATGGGCATCATTGTCTCTTTTATACAGATTGGGGCATGCAAGGCCATGCAAAATGATCACTGGCGTAGCTAACAAGAATCTACATTTCAGATTCCTTGTCCACATAGTCCACTTTAAATTAAAATACAGCGCTACTTTTATATTCATGGGGTTAGGTTTTTCATAAGGAGCACTTAAAACAGTGCCCCAGCAATTTCATTGGAAGTAATCTGATCAGTGTAGATTGATTTCACAAATTCCCTTTTCATCAAAAAGGAGTTTTAAGGAAAGAATTACGTAGATAGTTTTCTCAAATCTTTACTTGATTTTGCTTCAATTTACTTACACGTTCTTTATTTATTACCTTGCTTTCCTACATATGATCTGATTTAACAAACCATGAATGATACATAAATCACTATCATCAGCACAATCAGCCCTTATTCAGAGCAGGGATCCAGCCAGGGGCCACAAATGCATTGTGACATTCCTATCTTATTAGTTATCTGATTTAGGTCCCCAGGAAGAGATTTATCATTAGATTGTATGATAAGCATTCTTTACTTGTCTTTTTCTCTAATTGTTAAAACACACACAGACTCACATGCTCCTGAGTTACTGAGGAAAATTGAATAGGTGCCTATAACACAGGTTTGACAATATAGGAAAACTCCTAAAAATGTTTTCCTGGATTCCAAGTGAACCTAGTTGAAGGACGATATGTAATGAACTAAAGCTCAGTGCCTTATATGTTCTCTCACAAGAAAATCAATTAATTATTCAAGAAATGAAGAGGAATTTATGAAAAACTTCTAAAACCTATTTTTATTCAAGCCTTTATACTAAATATTGAAATGATGTCAGAACTTTCCTTTATATTTTTGGTTGAAATGAGTATAAATAACAATAATTCCCAAAGGGATTTCTCTTTTATTTTACAAGTGAAAATACCGGCAATGCTGTCTCTGGGGCAGACGGAAAGAGAAAACTTTCCTAAGTTTTCCTCCTCCACATCATTCCCTTTGACCAGGTTCAAAGTAGCTCACACTGGTGTTCTCCTGCTTTGAGAAAAAGCCAAGACTTTTGTTAAAGCCATTAGGAATCGCTGCTGGGGATATGGCCATGTCCCAGGCAGGCGGTGGGGTCCCTGCTCAGTCACACTGGGCCCATCAGTCTTCCGAGGTGAAGCCAGCAGAGGAACGATCTCCCTTTTATCCTCCCATTTCCAGGACTCCCTGGACAGCCCTGAGCAGCCTTGTGCATAGACAGCTCTGAGAAAATAATCTCATCCATGCTGGACATCTCCAGTGATCCTAGAGAAAAATGAGAATCTCTCGAGGGCCAAGCATGGCAGGATCTTGCACCTACAATGTAATGTCTGGTCCCTACAGTCCCAGTGTGCTTTGTTCTTTCTCTCCTTCATGCTTTTCTCAAGCCATTCATCCAAAATTCTCTTCTGTTCATCCTTCCTTCCAGAGCTAGCTTGTGATGCTTCCTCCACAAAGTCTTGGAGAACTAACCAGTCTTCACTTGCGCATCTGGGATAGGATTTTTCTGAAGACCAAAATAGCTTATTCTAATTTGAACCCAGGGCAAAAGGCCAGTCTGCTGTAACTATCATTTCACAAAACCACCCAAACTAATCAAAATTGAGTTTCCCTCATCCCGAGTTCCATTTGGAACTATGACTCCAGGGAATCCTGCAGATGCTAAATCCTGTTTTCCTTGGCCTCTGCCCCAAAAGCCCGCTGGTCATGGAGCACCCCTCATGCTCCAGACCCCCTTTCATTACCTCCTTTCCTCCAAATTTTCCATGGTGCCCACTGTCACCCCTGTTCCAAGAGAAAACATGTTCCCTCATTGATGACTCTTCTTAAAATGCAAACCCTTGTCTTGATCGTAGCCCCTGCTTATTTTTCAAGAAGGTTCACCTGCTCATTTCTACTGTGGGAAAGTAAAAGGTCAGGAGACAGATAGTACTCAACACTGTACCTCACGCTCTGCTCTTGCCTCTATACTGTATCCCTTTTGGCTCCTCTTCTCTCTTCTAATGCATTGATTGTCCGCCATCCAACGCTAACTCTGCCCTCACCCAGAGTGATCCTGAAGGCCAGGGAATAACCTAGATACAGCAGTATCTCTGCTGTAGATATTGACTGATGACTGATCTCCTACTTTATAGAGAAAATAGAAGTCATGTTTGAAACTTTCTCTATTTCTTACCCACCGTAACGTTTCTCATTTTACATTTATCATCTGGTCTGGTTTTTGTGAACGAGGTAGGTCCAGGATGAATAATCTCCACTTTGGATTCTATTCTTTCTCTGTTCCCTTTTCTATTCTAGTAACTGCCCATGCTCCTTTACTGGCTCCATCTCTATGCCCTTTTCCTCTTTGGCACACTTTGTCCACACCATCTCAAACCACTTAACACACCTCCCCACCATTTCTTCTTCCTTCATTACTGCTTCCTCTTTCTCACAATCACATAACGACACCCAAAATTTTCCTTCTACTCCTGCCATTTTGCTGAAAATGCTCTTGTCAAAGTCACCTTCCAGCTATTAAGTTCAGAGAAATATTTTCAGTCCTTATCTGGCTCCACATCCCTGCACTATATTTCACTGTTGGTCAATTTCTTCATGAAACTCTATCCTTCCTCTTCCTCTTCCTCTACCCTCCAGGATATCAGACTGTATTGGTTTCCCTATCTGGTCTTTCTTTTTCTCTTAGTTTGCTTTCTCCTTCCAAGATGGGAGGGCAATTTTTTGATATGGGTAATATTTTTGGGGGGTGGGATAGGGAATGTAAGTAATTTATTTGGAAAATGATCCCAGAAAGCACAAGCAAGGAAATGGGAAATGGGAAGGAGAAAAAAAAAAAAGAAGGGTATGATTGTGAACAGGTTAGTGAGGGGAGCCTCCTTTTCCATGGGGTCTCTGATGAGCCCTGTAGAACACAGCTCAGAATTGTCCCACCAAGGATGGGAAGCTGGATTATTTTTCCACCTGAATTTGTAGGATGTCCCTGCACTTGCAGAGGAAGTTCCCTGGCACCGGAGAAAGCCCTCAGGCAGTGAAGCAGAGAAGTGGCAGGCTGTCAGCCCACAGGAACTCTCCAGCACAGCTGCAAGTGAACTACTTGGATGTGGGCAGGGGCAGGGAAGTGGCAGGCATTCACAGTCGCTGGATCCTTTGTGAGCTGTATTTCTCTTCTGATATGGTTTGGCTGTGCCCTCCGCCAAATCTCATCTTGAATTGTAGTTCCTGTAATCCCCATGTGTGGTGGGAGCAGCGTGGTGGGAGGTAATTGAATCATGGGGGTGGTTTCCCCCATACTATTCTCATAATAGTGAGTGAGTTATCATGAGATCTGATGGTTTTATAAGGGTCTTCCCCCTTCGCTCGGTTCTCATTCTTCTTCTGCCTGCCACCATGTGAAGAAGGATGTATTGGTTTCCCCTTCCACCATGACTGTAAGTTTCCTGAGGCCTCCCAAACCAGGCTGCACTGTGAGTCAATTAAACCTCTGTCCTTTATAAATTACCCAGCCTTGGGTATGTCTTTATTAGCAACATGACAATGGACTAATACATCTTCCCTTCCCTTAAATGTTGGTTTCCCCGGTGTTCTGTCCTTGCTCCATTTCCTCTCTCTCTCCGTTCACCTCCCAGGAGCGCTCATCCACTTTCACGCCTTTAATTACCTCTTAATTCTGAAATATGTATTTTCTACTCAGGTACATCTCCTGAGTTTTACGCACATATATCCAGTTGGCTGTGGAAATCTCCTCTTGTGTGTACCATGGGCATCTTCACCTACACGAAGTTGAATTCATCATGTCCCTGGGCAATTCTCTCTCCATCCCTAGACTCCAAAGTCACTTCCACTCCATGGATATCTCTAGGAGAATGGCACAACCAGGTACACAGTTGTCAAAGTGAGAAAACCCAGAGAGAAGCCATCCTTGAAGCCCCGCTCTCTGTTAGCATCACATCAATTGCTGAATTTCATCAAAACTAGCTATCTTTAGTCTGACTTCTCTCCTCTTCCACAGGCATTAGTTCAAGCTCCTATCAATAAAGTCCCTTTCCAAAATAGATCTCCCTCCTGCAGCCTCACTCCTCATGTAAATATGACTTAGCGCCCAACTAGGTTGTAATATGCTTATGAAAGGAGACCTGATATTAACGAATGCCTCACATATTTTATTAAATAAATACTTCGGAATTAAAAAATTATTTTCAATTCCCTTTTCATCTTCTCCTCCTCCATGCTGCTAACAATCAAGGCCAAGTCCAGAGTTATTTAGCAAAGCCCGTGTTAGAGGAGTTGTGCTCAGAACCCAGATTCCATTGCTTTATTACAATCCTGTGTGACCTGACCCCAAACAAGGAAGAAGCATTTACAGAATCCCCTGATATAAGCTGAAAGTATGGGGGCAACTCTGTTAGTATTTATGGAATTTTGGCAATTGTTTACACTTGTCTTGATTCCAAAAAGGATTTGATAAAAATTATGAAATTATTCTTTTTGTAGGGGAACAAGAAATATTTTATAAAATATTAAAAGATAAAATACAGAGTTTTGTGACTGATTCCCTAAGATTTAAGTAAAATAAAAAATATCAGCATTGTTGGTCATGGGAAGAGCGTGGTTCTGCTCCCACTCCATGCATTACCAATATGTGTTTCCTATCTTAATAGCTACCTTAACATTAATAAAATAGAATGGAAAACAGACAATCCTCATAAATCCAGGTGATTCAAAATAATTCCTAGAGGAGAACACACTCTACTTGTAAATAATTCTCATTTAAATCATGTAACTTGGAAAGGCTGAAACCCACAGTCATTAAAATGACATTTCCTGTATTTTTATCATTTTAGTAGGAATGTCAGTAATCACCCATATTAAAGGTCTCTAGGGGAGAGGATTAGAAAGAAGATAGGCGGATCCTAAAATATTCAGGAAGCATAAATCCAAAATGCAGATTTATATCCTTGGATTTTCTAAGGAGAATACTTTTTAGAAAACCCAAAATTTTATGTTTAATTATCTTGAGAAATTTCATAAGCCTCACTGTATTTATAAAATTCAAATAATGTTTAAAAAATAACTGAAGACATTGCTAGAGCAGAACATTTACTTTCTCTCTTTAAAAAATATTTTAAAGTTTTTCATTGACCATTAAGCATAGTTTTTCACTCAGTAAATGGTAGCTCTCTTGCTGTTGTTATTTTATCAGGTGCTCAACAAATGTCTGCCCATTTGATAAACAGTCTTTCTGTATTAAAATTCCAAAAGTGCTTCTCTGGCTACATTGGTTTCTTGCTCAGAAATCTCCCATAGTTCCCTCCATAGTTGTCCAATATGGTAGCCAAGAGCCACAGGCAGTTATTTAACACTTAAACTGCAGTATGTCTAAACTGAGATGTGCTGCAAATGTAAAATATGCACCAGACTTTGAGGACTTAGTATAAGAGAAAGAATGTCAAATATTTTACTAGTAAAATACTAATATACTATTATACTGATTACTTATTGAAGTGATATTTTAGATATATTGAATTGAATGAAAAGTTGTAGCGTTTTATCTGTTCCTTTTTTCCTTTTTTTTTTTTTTTACATTTGTCGGCTAGATAATTTAAAACTACTTTTGTGGCTTTCATTTGTGGCTAACAGTATATTTTTATTAGTAGTGCTAGTGTAGAGACCTACACTGTGTGTGTGTGTGTGTGTGTGTGTGTGTGTCCCTCTATACTTGGTTTTCCAAATTTATTTCCTTATTTTATGTCTTCTTTTTTGTTTTTCTCTTGCTGCTTCCTCCTCTCAGGATGTCTGTTCTTCCTTTTAAGGACCAGCCACCCTTTAAGATCTAGCTAAAATTGTCCCCTTGTCTTTGAAGACTGTCTGATTCTCATAGCCACAAGAACGTTTTTCCTTAAGTTTGTAAACAAGGAAAGTTCTCAAGTTCTTTCTTTGTATGTTTTTTATGGTGCCAATAAATTTCTGTCTGTATTATACATATTTGTGCTTTTCTATTATTTCCCCACTAAGTTGCGAATCTGAGGGAGAAGGACACTTGTAGTTCTGTTTCAAATTCCTCAAACTGGGACAAGATATCAGTGTATCAATCAGAAACCAGATTTCACCAGATATCGGTGCATCAATCAGAAATTCGTTATTTTACCAGAAATTATTTAATGTAGAGAACTGGTTAAACCAGGATGGAGGGACTGAGAAGTGGAAAAGGAAACACCAAGATGACATAAAGGTAGTAACTGCAGGAAGCAGCTCCCACTCTTAGGACATGGGGGCCCAGGGAAGTGGTAGAATTTTCAGCAACTAGGAGCTGGCAGGAGGGCCCAGAGAAGCTGGATGTCAGACCTCTGAAGAAGGGTGCTCTCAGGCTAATGCTTGCAGGAAGGGCCACATGGAGCTAGATCTCAGGCCTCAGTGAGTGGACGCTGCCCTGCTGGTCTGCTCACTGAGCTCTGAGGTGGTCTGAGGAGACTGGTTCAGGGAGTATAAAAATCCAGAGACTCAGATCAACTGCTTCTGAATCCAGCTGCTGCTTCCAAGATGAAGAGCCATTGCTGCATTGATACAAATAGGAACTGAGGGCAATAAGAAGGAGTAAAATCCTTCTCCTTTCTCCTGCCTTCCTAAACCCTATAGAGCCCCAGGTTGATGGCCTTTAACAGGAACCCACTGACCGTGGAGGAATGTGGATACCCAGCCTGAAGTAAGCAGCTTCCTATATGGCTCCCAAGGGTCGTTGTATACTGGCATTCATGCCCTTGTGTAATCCTCTCCTCTGAGTGTAGTTTGGACCTAAAGATTTGCTAGAATATGGCAAAAGTTAACCCTTTTCCCATTTAGAAGAAAAAAGTTCAGCTTGCTGCCAGTGCTCATTTAATTTTAAATAAACATGCTATTTGAGGCTGAAGCAAATCTAACTGATTTTCAATGCGAAAATAAAACATAAAAACTGTTATTGGAGTTATTTCTGAACAGAACTAACATCAGGATTATCTGAATCATCAGAATCATCTATTTCGGAAAAGTCAGATTTATCAAATGGACCTTGAGCCAACAACTGTTAGAGAATGATGTTAATATCACACATAGGAATGCTACGTTTTTTAGAATTTGACGTTTTCAACGATCAAGAATTACTATATTTTGTAAATGTAAATACTACTACTAAAAACAGAATGCTATAAATAGAATGATGCCTTTGTTTCCAATATACTAGAGTGTTGCAACAATAATAATAAAAATGAGATATTTTATGGCAAAGTTATCTCTTGGTAAATGCTGCAGCCACAAGCACCACTAGTGAGTATTCTCAGGCAAATGGGAAAGTAAAAGCTATCATTTCTGTTTTTGGTTTATTAAAAACAACGACTCATCTTGCTGGTGTACTCTCTCTGTTGTCTTCTTGGCTTTCATGCTTTGATGAAGGCAGCTCCCATGAGATAGAAGCCCACACATCAAGTAACCGAGAGTGGTTTCTAGCCTTTAGCCACTAAGGACCTGAGATCTGCAGTGCAATAATGGCCTGGGAGATACTGAATGCTTACTGTCATATATCACTGGCTGAGCTTCAAAGTGATCCTTCCCCAGTTGGATCTTCAGATGAGACCATAAGCCCTGAGCTGACACATTGATTGTAGCTTGTGAGAGACTGTGAGGCAGGGATGCAGCTAAGCCCTGCCTGGATTCTTGGCTCACAGACAGTGGGAGAAAATAGATATCTCTTGTTTTAAACTGCTAAATTTTGGGGGGTAATTTGTTACACAGTAATAGCTAACCTATAGCTCTAGAATCACAGAGCAAAATATAGAAAGATAGATTTGAAAATAAGAGATAGATTAATAACTGGCAAAACTAACATCTGATATATATATATTTAGATATCATTATCTATCAATCATCTATCTATAGCTCTTATAAATCCATAAGAAAGAAATACCAAAACCTGACAGAAAAATAGGCAATAGATTTGACAAAACAGGAAACATATGACCAAGAAGTATATGACACAAACCTCCACATCATTAGTAATCAGGCAAGTACAAATTAAAACCACAGAGAGAAACAGTATTATATATACTGGTTGTAATAAACTTAAAAGGCCAACAATACCAAATGCTGGTGAAGCTGGGAAACAATGGGAACACTTTTCTATTGCAAATGGGAGTGAATATTTGTCTAACCACTTTGGGAAGGAAGTTAGTATTACCTAGAAGAGTAGAATGTTTACATAGTGAACAAACCAGCAATTCCATCCTACAGTGTACACTCTGGGCACTTGCACACATATACCAGAGACTACTGAAAATGCCCATGGAAGGTGAATGGTTATTGTCAGTGGGATGGATAAATAAGCCATACTACGTTCACATAGTAGAATAATATACAACACCAAATATGAATACACTACAATTATTCATATAAACATGGATGAATCTTATATGTATATAATAGTGAGTAAAAGCAAACAACAAACTAATGCACATGGTATGATTCTTTGTATATAATATTTAAATCAGGCAAACCTAAACAAATATTGTTTATGAATACCTTCATATATAGTAAAACTACTAAATAAAGCAAGGGAATGATTACTGCAAAAGTAATAGAGATGAGAGGAATGTGATCTGGGAAGCCCCACAGGGAGTTTTAAATTTCTTAACCTTATCCTTTCATGGATATCCACATAATTCTTTAAATTATACAGATTAATTTGATACTTTTAATTTTCAAAAATTTGAAGTTCAGCAATTCCTTTAGTGTCATTTTAGTTTCCTTTTTCTGTTAAATTTGAGGACATTAAATTAAAAATTATATACACATAAAAATAGCATATGATCTGGCCATCCATTTAACCATCCATCCACTTATGGATCCATGCATCCATCCATTCATCCATCCATTCTTGAGAGATATCTAGAACGATATTCACCAAATTTTAACACAGATTATTTCTGTATGGTAGAACTTTGGGTGATTTGTCACTTTTCTTTTTAATTGTTTTTATTGCTCAAAATGTATATAACAAGCATACGTAAGTTTTATAAAAACAATAATGCAAGTAGTAAAAACAAAGAAAAAATAAATATATTCTCATTCATTGCCTCAGTGGAACCTTAAGTTAACCAGATGAAATTGACATTGGATCAGTTAACTTCCCCAGCGTCATACAGAAACTGGCAGAATTAGAAGGCAGATCTGGATTTTCTTTGACCAAATACCTTAACTCTACAGTATGTAGCTTGATGTCCTGTCCATAATTCTTTACTCATGAAAAGCTCAGAGCCCTTCCATTCCCAAAATTCCTTGATATAACACAGCGGCTGTGCTAATTACTTCAGTGATTCTATGGCTTAGCCATGTGACTGCAATCATTTGCCTTACCTTGATGTCTAAACCCTCCATAAATATTTAAAACTATGGCCAAGCACACGTGCACCAATTAATTCACTGTCTGGTCACTTATTCCATTCCATCATGCTGGGCACGTGACCTGTGAAATCTTCCCCCACAGCATCTTAATGAATGATGTAACAGAAGCAGGCACACCAGCCTTCTCTTTTGACTTGAATAAATCCTCCTCTTCTCCGCACTCATTGCAGGTGTCTCAACCCTTGCAAGTGAAATCAGATTTTCCACGTTGAGTCCAAACTTCTCAAGTTTCCTACTGGCAAGGAGTAAGGCCCTAATTAGTTCATGTGTGCCAGCTAATTAGGTAAGAAATTATTTTGCTAAGAATCTCAAGCAGCCCTTAACCTGGGGTCAACCAGACTGTATTTGAGCCACAAGCTGCATATGCATGTTCCTGCTCTATTGACAAAATAATAGGATGATAATTCAGTTTTAAAAAAGAAGCAAATGAAGATTATGACTTTTCCTATGATTCAAACCAACCTCAGAATCATGCAGAGGCCAAGTTTGTCCCAGGTCATTCTAGTTATAGTTCATATTCTCCCCTGTGGGATTTTTCTGTCACTCAGAAAGTTCTCTCTTGCTTTTTTTTTTCTCTCCAAAGTTTAAGAAAATGACTCGATAAACTTATTCATTCTAAGGGATAAATGACTATTTGTCATAGTGATGTCTTTATTTCCAGATGGAATCAATCCTTGAGCCAAATAGATAGATTTCTAAGGATAATTTCAGGTTTAAGCCACATTTATAAAACAAAATTAGGTTCTAGGTAATCCCTCATGAATTTTACATGTTTTATATTATTGGTTTCTATGTGAAGGATAATAAGGGCATTCTAGGTTGGGCACGGTGGCTCCTGCCTGTAATCCCAGCGCTTTGGGAAGTTGAGGTGGGCAGATCACCTGAGGTCAGGCATTCGAGACCAGCCTGGCCAACATGGTGAAACCCTGCCTCTACTAAAAATACAAAACAAAAAACACAACAAAACAAAAAAAAATCAGCCAGGCGTAGTGGTGCATGCCTGTCATCCCAGCTACTTGGGAGGCTGAGGCAGGAGAATCACTTGAACCTAGGAGGCGGAGGTTGCAGTGAGCCAAGATGGGGCCACTGCACTCCAGCCTGGGTGACAAAATGAGACCCTATCTCAAGAAAAAAAAAAGGCATTCTACTTACTGTTATGTATACAGGAAACCCTTGGGAAAATGTCTCTATAGCAGCTCTAAGATGACTTACCATAGATTCAGTTAATTTTGTCTATGTCCTTATTAATTACTAATTAAGCACATGTACCTCACAGTCACCTACATAATCATAGACCATCAGCTCTGGAGGTATTATTAATGAAGATTGAACTCTATCCCCTTATCTTAAAGAGGAAAAAACTGATTTCCAGAAAAGCAAAAGTGGCAGGCCCCAGAAACACAGCTGGTTGGTTTCCCAACAGAGATTAGAACCCAGGTTGGCCATTTAACAAGCAAAATAAGGAAATGGACCACAACAATCTCCTCATTACAGCACAGGTAAGGAGCCCCCATGTTGGCTTGGCCTGATGGGCCATTTAATAATAAGCCACAGGGGAGGAGCTGGATTCCAGAGGGGAGATTGATGCCTTCGATGGTTCAAAAGATCTTTGTGTCCTCTGTAGAAGTCTGACCCTCATACTAAGACTCTAATACTAAAACATGAAGTGAAACATATATATTAAGCACCCAGTTACCCTGGGTTCCAGCCAGTGTTGAAAGAAGCAGTGGTGCTGTTTCTTTGGTTCTATAAGGCGAGTGATTAGAGATGGCCATTGTATTTCTTCAGGAGAATAGAAGTTAATTCTTAGGAACACAGATCTGATCTTGAGTCTCTATGATTTAACAGGAACATGAAGAATATTTTTGGAAAAACATAGTAATTTACCTTCTCTTCTAGAGATATTCCTTGTATTGGTTTCAAATTTTGGTGGTTATTGAAAAAACAGAGTATAAACTTCTTTCTCAACACTTTTAAATATGGAGGAAATATTGTCACATGCTATCTTATCTTTTGGGAAATATTGTCACATGCTATCTTACCTTAGATATGAAAGAAAATGGCACATACTGAAGGTATTAAGATGATGTTTTTATTCTAAAATGGTGTCTAGAATTGAGACAACTACTTCTTACAGTCTTCTGTGCACATACACTTGAACAGGCTGATACAGTTCTGGCTTGTGTCTCTGATTCACAGCCACTTCTTGGTTATTTAGAACAATACCTTCTGTAATTGTGATCTGGCTTTCAGTGGCAATACATGTGAGTCTTGGTTCCTTATTTCCTGGACTGTCAAGGTACACACTTTGTAAAAGTCTTCCTAAGCAGCCTCTATAGGGAAGTCTATTTCTGTGAGTTTCAAAACTTCTGGTGCAAAACAAAACAAAACAAACAAACAATACCCAGGTTGCAATGTCCTCCATTCAAGTATGTCAAGGGGTTATTCTGTATTAATAATACTTTTAGACAGGCAAAAACATTTTAAAAGTTAATATTGTAAAATAGGAATAATAGGAGCTAACATTTCTATGTTAGCCATTAATGTCCTGTGCACAATTGCATTTGAGATGTAAATTTGGCTTTGGAATGCAGTGAGGGTCTTTGTCTGGTCAGAGTTAATGATGAGGGTTAGGGACCCAGAGATCCTGGCAGTTCCTTGTACTAAGGGTGACAATTGTTATTAGCAGAAGTGATTTGCAGAAAGTTTTCTCCTCCACTGGAAGAATGGAGAACGGATGTGGGTGGGGAGTGGGTCACAAGGACTGAGTTCTGGAATTCATTCTCCTTAAAAGTAGGTCAATTCTGTTTTTCCTAGGAAGTCCCCTGGGCAAAGACCCCATCTCCTGCACTGGTTCGAATATAAATTGACCCTGACAGTGAAACAACCTCCAACTTTTGCAACTCCCTCTGGGGAATGGCTTTAAATACATTTCACCCTGTAAGTTCAGAAATGACTTTGATGCTCCAGGAAGCTTGGGCTCAGGGTTATAACCTCTCTTGGGCCTTGGGGCTTAGAAATCCAGAGGCCAAAAGACCCAAGAAAGTCGCATTGAAAGTAAACGTTTTCCTACTTCCTGCTGAGTCTTTTCCTTTCTGGGCCTAGTGTTTCACACACTTGATGATATCCAGACAGTGCTAACCTCTGGACTGCATGGTGAAACCCTTAAAGAATTGTTCTACCCTAAAAAGTCAAGCTCTCCAGAATCCCAGATTGAAAGAATCTGAATGACTTTGGCTTGGGTTTCTTTGAAAACACTATTTTTTCCCCCTATCTGTGGAAAATGAGCTCTTTAAATAGACCTCCCTTTATTGTTAAGAATTATGGGGAAGGGTAGGAAAAAGAAATAAGTAGTATTTTTGCTGATGAAGGAACATGCAAAGAATCTTGGAAACAAGAATGTATTGTTGGAAAATATTGCTTAATACATGCAAATTGTCTTTTTATAACAAAAACTCGCCTCATTCCACACTTTGCAATTGTGGTTATAAGACACAGTGTGTTCAAATTTGATTATTTACAGGATCAAAGGACACATGTCAAATTCACATTGGGCAAAGGCCCTTCTGTTTTGTGTTTTTAAACCAGATCAAAGAGGCCCTTTATTTAAAACAATGACTGTAATGCTCAGCTTGCGTCCAGACACCAGCAGCCCAGGCTCTTGGGAGGGAAGAGAAAAATGGTCTCTAAACTCTCTGGTCTGCTTCTCAGACTTTCTTTCTAATGAGAGGAGGCTCATTTACTAAGTTCTGACAGCTTAGTGCGGCTGCCCCCAAGGAGTTGCAGGACTCATTGAGGGGGAGTCTTGTGTGGTGGGAGAATGTTCGTTTCCTCAGCTCACCCCTTTTCTTTGGTTGGTCTGGTTCTCTATATAGAAGATAAACTGCATGGATATAAAACCTAAGATAAATTGCTAAAATGTTTATGTAAAAAATCAGCAACAATAGTACCCAATTAATTTTATTAAGTTACTTGATGTACTGATAAAATTGAAAGTCATATCCTTGCCTTAAACATCTTAACATTTAAGTATGCTCTACTGGTAGTGTCAAAAACAGAAGGGATAAAAAGGAAAACATACAGAAAACTAAAAAATGGACGTAGCCAAGTGACGAACATAGGTGACTGATTAATTTTAGCAAAAACCATGGTAAAGGCCTAATTGACATACCTAAATTGGGAATTCTTGGATATCAAGGAAGGAGATGTATTTACCTCTCCTACATCTTCTAGTAGAAATAGTGAAGAGCATTCTGGGATTTAGCACTAGGTCTGTTGGGTGCCAGGATCCATTCACCCATTTATTTGACAATATAACAGTATAACATGCCAGGCAACTGTTGTAGGATCTTGTGAACCAAATAGACAAAATTCCTTGCTCTCATGAGCTTCTATTCTAATTAATAGGGTGGGTCAGATAAGAAAAAAAAGAAACGGAAGTTATACACGATGTTGAAAGGGGATAAGCACAATGAACATCCCCTCCCCTGCAAAAAGAGTGGGAAAATGGGAATGGGAAGTGCCAGGGTGTGGGGAGCAGGACTTGGCCAGGAAGGCCTCACTGAGAGAATGACAGTTGAGTGCAGACTTGAAGGAGGAGGGGAAATGAGCCATGGTGATATCTGGGAGAAAGGCATTTCAGGAGGAAGAAACAGCTGGTGCAAAGGACCTAAGGTGGAAGCATGATGGGGTATTTGAGGAGCAAAAAGGGGGAGAAGAACAGGCAATGAGGTCAGAGATCATGGGGAGCAGATGGCGAAGGGCCTTGCAGGCCATGGGAAGAAGTTGGCTCTGAAGAACATTTCACTCTGCATGAAAGGGGGCAGACCATAACTTGACCCACATTCAGCGTGATCACTCTGGCTGATTTTGAGAAAAGACAAACTGGGCAGGGGTAGAAGGAAGGAACCCAGTAAGGAATCTCTTGCACTCATCAAGGCAAGAGATGATGGAGGCTGAGACCCTTGTGGAACCAGCACGGGTGGTGATAAGCAGTTATATTCTCAATATAATTTGAATGTAGAGGTTACAGAATTGCCTGAGTAAACAGATGTGTGGTATTAGCAAGGTTTGATCTAGAATTTAAATGGCTAGAAGATTATACAATTTACAGGCAGAGCCTGGAAGATGCTCACCCATCCATTACTCCTTCTTGAGTACAGAAAAGAAGACTTAGTTTCCCAGCCTTCCTTGCAGTTATTAGGCCACGTGACTGGGCCTTTAGCATACTTATTACTTGAATAGTGAACATTGTATCCAGTAGGTAATTTTTCAGCCCTCACTTTCCTCTCACTTTCCCACCTTCTGGCATCTCCACTGTCTGTTTTTCCATTCTGTATGTCCGTGTGTACCCATTGATTAGCTCCTATTCATAAGTGACAACCTACAATATTTGACTTTCTGTTAGAACTTAGATTTTGGGGGTAAAACTTTTTCTAGATGTGGAAGTTGCAGAATCTCGGTGTAGGATCAGTCACGAGAGTAAGTCAAACATCAGGCTTGAGTGCAAGGAGAGGGAGGTGATGACGATCTCTGAACAAGCAGGTTAGCCACCCCAAGAAATGAAGGCACCTGCATGGCTTGGAATCTTGGTTTTGTCATTCTCATAGTCATCTGTGCAAGGTAGTGGCCATAGATGTATCCTGAAGTATAAGTCGCCATGTAGGTTCTGTATGACCCCACAGCTGAGGCAGAAACAGCTAATTCATCTATGGAAGAGTCACGAAATCTGCAGATGTTACAGCACAGTGAGCTTTGTAATCAGATTGGCAAGGTAAGTATTTTACTAGATCTAAGTCCCAGCCTGAGTTTTATTTTCTGTCTAAGGGGGCTAATACTTAACACATTGCCTGGCCCATGGTACATGATTAATACTTTATGGTCATCAGCATTATCATCTTCATCACTGTTGTCATTTTTTCATGTCAAAAGTTGGAAGTATTGATGTGAGCAGTCTGCCCATGGAGTCTTTGATGAGCAAGTTGTGATAGTGTTGGAGAACTTGCACAAGAATATCGATCAAAAAACTCTTATGCTCACCCCGTGACTGGTGGATAGAGGATAATTGCATATTAGGTGGTCTTTTAGCTCTCAACTGTTTTAGTCTTTATATGGCCCAGCTGCATGTTTTTGGCAAAGTTCTTTGAGTCCTAGTCATACATCAGTTTCTCTCTTCCTCATTTCCATATAGATAACTCTACACACAATATCCTCATCCCTCCATTATTTGCTTAACCCCAAGGGAATCTCTGAACTGACCTGTTCTTTTCAGTGCTCTTTGGCTGTGGAGAATTCCCTTTTCTGCCCTGGATTTGTTTTCTTACATATAAAATTAGAATATCATTATGTACTTATTTCTTTGGAACTGGCTGATTTGACAGGCATGTCAGTATGTGCAAATTAAAAATATGTTGGATATGTTGGATATTCTATGTAATTTTCTGTCTCATCTTTTTTATCTTTATATGTATTTTCTTAGCTATTTCTCTCTTCAGTGTCCCTGGGTACATTTTCATCCAATTTTATTTTCCTTTGGGTACCTTGTAATTTTGGCTTCATGTCTTTATTTTAGGGAGCACAGACCAAGGGGGCAAATAAAAAGAGTGAACGAAAAGGAGCAAGAGTTCAAAAGAGAGCAACACAGATAAAGTTCATCAGGCAGTCATTACCGCTTTTTTCATCTCAAGTTTTTATTTATGCCAGAAAAGGGAACTCTGTAGAAAGGGTGGGGTTGCTTCTGCATTATTTGTTGATGTGGTCACATATTAAGTCAATCCCATTTAAAGTCTGTAAACTCCTAGATTTCTTCATACATATGCCTTGAATGAACAATCATCTCTCTGAAGACCGTATCAAAGGTAGAAAAAGAGCAAAAGAAGGAGGAATGAGAACTGCAGTCATCAAAAAGTTATTGGAAGGTGTGTCAAACTCGAAACCAGATGAAACCAGAAATCACAGCTATAGTGCCTTGACTTTGCTATGTGCTTTACAGCTACAAAACATTTTTCCATAAATCATCCCTGTCAATACCTCTCTGAAAGAGGTAGGAATGAATGTTATTAACATAATTGTAAATATAGGAAAAAAGTTGAGAGAATTGAGGATTTACCTGAAAGTCACAAGGTAGAAGGTAAAATCGTGGCTAGACTCCAGATGTTCTGGCCCCTCAAGGAGGGCTTTTCCCACAGGGAGGTATACTTAAATACAGGATGACATGAACCAGCCATGAGCCAGGTATGCTTAAATAAAATGTGAGTTCCTGGGTCCAAGGCCAACCCCCACCCCAATACCCTTACTCCCCAGGGCCTGGGTTTCTAGACAGGAATTGATATGTATGACGGGTTTTTTTTCCTAGAGTACACTGGGAGAAGTCTATGCAAGGGAATTAGGGAGACCAGTGGGAAAGTGACGGGTGACATAAGGTGCCATAATACCTATCCTTACTTTGGACTATTTGGGACCTTTTGGAGTTTCTGGAAAAACAAGAGCATATTTATTCCTGAGCCTAGGCGACACTCTCTCTGAGAGTCTGAGAAATAACTGGTGAAGATTTTGGAGAGGCCAGATGACCCTGCACTAGGAATAAGGGGCTAATGCAAGGCAATTTATAGATTCAGTGCCATCCCCATCAAGCTACCAATGACTTTCTTCACAGAATTGGAAAAAACTAAAGTTCATCTGGAACCAAAAAAGAGCCCACATTGCCAAGACAATCCTAAGCCAAAAGAACAAAGCTGGAGGCATCACGCTACCTGACTTCAAACTATACTACAAGGTTACAGTAACCAAAACAGCATGGTACTGTTATCAAAACAGAGATATAGAGCAATGGAACAGAACAGAGCCCTCAAAAAGAATACCACACATCTATAACCATCTGATCTTTGACAAACCTGTCAAAAACAAGAAATGGGGAAAGGACTCCCTATTTCATAAATGGTGCTGGGAAAACTGGCTAGCCATATGTAGAAAGCTGAAACTGGATCCCTTCCTTACACCTTATACAAAAATTAATTCAAGATGGGTTAAAGACTTAAATGTTAGACCTGAAACCATAAAAACCGTAGAAGAAAACCTAGGCAATACCATTCAGGACATAGGCATGGGCAAGGACTTCATGCCTAAAACACCAAAAGCAATGGCAACAAAAGCCAAAATTGACAAATGGGATCTAATTAAACTAAAGAGCTTCTGCACAGCAAAAGAAACTACCATCAGAGTGAACAGGCAACCTACAAAATGGGAGAACATTTTTGCAATCTACTCATCTGACAAACAGCTAATATCCAGAATCTACAAAGAACTCAAACAAATTTACAATAAAAAAACAAACAACCCCATCAAAAAGTGGGTTAAGAAAATGAACAGACACTTCTCAAAAGAAGACATTTATGCAGCCAACAGACACATGAAAAAATGCTCATCATCGTTGGCCATCAGAGAAATGCAAATCAAAACCACAATGAGATACCATCTCACACCAGTTAGAATGGCGATCATTAAAAAATCAGGAAACAACTGGTGCTGGAGAGGATGTGGAGAAATAGGAACACTTTTACACTGTTGGTGGGACTGTAAACTAGTTCAACCATTGTGGAAGACAGTGTGGTGATTCCTCAAGGATCTAGAACTAGAAATACCATTTGACCCAGCCATCCCATTACTGGGTATATACCCAAAGGATTATAAATCAGGCTGCTGTAAAGACACATGCACACATATGTTTATTGCGGCACTATTCACAATAGCAAAGTCTTGGAACCAACCCAAATGTCCAACAATGATAGACTGGATTAAGAACATGTGGCACATATACACCATGGAATACTATGCAGCCATGAGAAAGGATGAGTTCATGTCCTTTGTAGGGACATGGATGAAGCTGGAAACCATCATTCTTAGCAAACTATCGCAAGAACAAAAAACCAATCCCTGCATGTTCTCACTCATAGGTGGGAATTGAACAATGAGAACACTTGGACACAGGAAGGGGAACATCACACACCGGGGCCTGTTGTGGGGTGGGGGAAGTGGGAGGGAAAGCATTAGGAGATATACCCAATGTAAATGACGAGTTGATAGGTGCAGCACACCAACATGGCACATGTATACATATATAACAAACCTACATGTTGTGCACATGTATGCTATAACTTAAAGTATAATAAAAAAAGGAATAAAGGGCTAGTGATCCAGAAAATTCAAATACTGGTGTTTGAAATGAATTCTTAGACACCAAAAAGAGATGAGGCCCAGCCGAGGTCCATATCTACTTCCACTCCACTCTCTTGCTATGTAGCTCCTTGTCTTTTCTCCAACTCCTCTGCTGAAACATATTGTCCTTTCAGCCAGAGTCCACCATATCTCTATAACTTACTGCCCTCTGTGGGACCAGGCCACCCATCCCCTGACTTGCACTACTCTCTGATGGCTGCAAAGCACATGATCTGCTCTCCTCCCTAACTCACAGCAATCTTCCCAGCCTCTGTCCAATATTTCCAGTTCTTTCTCTAAACAATCCTTAAACTGAGGTGTCACATAAGACCAGCTGAAGTTTCTACTTGGATTTCACTGCAAAAACTCTATTTATGTAAGACAGCATGTCTCTGTAATTTCACATTTCATGAAGACTCGAGAAGGTCCCTTATTTTACCTGCACCATTCGCTATCATTATATTTCTTTCTAAATAATTTTATTGAATTTAATATCATGAATGTTATTTCAGCTGTTGTAGTCAGAAGCAATTAGATATACATGAGACTTCTTTCTTCACTGTCCAGATGCTGCTACAATTATGTCAGTCATTTGTGTTTATGATGTCATCGTTTGTTACCATGGTAACAAATATGTAGTCACAAATGCCTCATTATCATTTCATTAGAGTGATGACATATTTATAGTATTCAGGAACAGCATATTACTTCTTAAATAATAGTGCTCCTATGTTGCACACAAGTAGCCTTCTTCCTCACTGTACATTTTTCCCTGTGGTTTGCATCATTTCCTATATAGACTGCACACTGTTTACTTGTTTCATATGGAGGAAAAAAATGAAAGCTTGTTTAAAAGAGATAAGGTAATACAAAGATGGTGAAACAAATTGACCTAAGAGAGAAGAAACATTTATAATGAGAAACTCAAACTAATGTTTAATTACTACAAAAATTAAGCTGTGCAAAACTTCATGAATAAAAGGATTTATCAACATGTTTACTGAAAATATTAACATTCAAAGTGAGAATCAATAAAATATTTAAATAATCTAAAATTACCTTTTCTATTACCTTTTCTATTACTTTTCCATATTAGAGCATTATTAATTACATATATGTGCAGAGTAACTTGAATTTTGGCACTCCAATGACTTAAAACAAGCATAAATTTCTATTTCATTTAAGACGTGAAGACTGATAAACAATTTCAGGTCACACATTTCAGATCAATCAATGAATATGGTTCTTTTCTCTTGTCACCACCATCCCCCTGCCTTTTTATGAATCCTATTCAGAAGTGAAACATTTATTCAGCTCAGGGAGATTCTCTCTGGAGGGGAAATAATTTTATCAGTAAGACTCCCTGGTGATCAGGCCGACTTGGACCTGCTGTTAATCAGGCTTTTTGACGTGGTAGCTTGAATAGCACTTCCCATGATGCTTTGTGATTCCACCTCAACACTTTCCTTTTGAACTCACCATGACTCATAAGTGCCTTTTTCTCCCTTTGTGTGTCTGAAGTTATCCCACTATTAACTCTAATTGGAAAGGTGCCTTTTGTTCCCTAGTGTAGTCATAAGCTAACCACTGAACTCCCTAGGTTGAAATTTCAGGGGTAGCAAAAACTTAATTTTTTTAATAAGTGAGGGGGATAAATGATGATAACTCTGATAACTTGACAGCTGCTAATAGGAAGTTACTGAAAAGGAGGGATGAGACAATTATATAGATTTGACTATGTAAAAATATTTTGGTTCAAAGGTCCAGCATGAGATGAATCTGCATTCACTTTAGGATTCGACAATTCCCAAATAAAATGGAAGTCTCCCCTGAAGGAGGAGAAAAGTGAAAAACACAGCTGGGGAAGTAGGGCCTCCAAGAGGGTGTTTGTATGAGAATCTGAGGAGCTTCCTGGCAAAGAACTGACCATGGGGAGAGAAAAGGGCTTGGAGGAAAGCCCTCTCACCATCAGTGAGAGGGGTGATTTGAGCACCAGTGGATAGTTATTTATCTGGCCTGAAAATGCCTTCTAGCCCAGTCCCCAGGGACTCATTCCTGGGCTGCACAGAATGTGCCTGTGAGCAAAAACAGAAAGAGCTGTTTGACTTGAATCTCTGGAAGATTTTGAGAGCATCCAGAAATTTTACTTGGGAACCTTGTAGCACAAAGTTCAAGGATATAGACTCAGCCACATTAGCCTTTTGTGCCCTTTGGAGCTCCTGGAAGCACTTCCAAGCAGGTGGACACCAGTGCCCTAGAGAGCAAACCTCAGTCACCAAAAACAGACTTGCAGAAGCATCATCATGAGCTGGGACATCTTTGTCTTGCATCCAAAGTCTAGCGCCCCTGGTGGACGTTGCCTGCTTCATAGGGATGAGAGACCCAAAGAATAGATCACAGAAAAACCAAAAGAAAATGGTGACTTCTCTGGGGTAGCTAAGAGGATGCATTTGTGGGTACATCAAGGATATTCTCCAAATTATTAGGAACAGAGGGTCCATGTCTTATAGGGGCATATTAAAGTCCTACAACGTTAATTGTAGATAGAAGTGAGAGCTATAGAAATACACTACTCTCTATGTCATATGACCACCTGTTTGACCTACAGATTCTTGTGTGGTTTAGGAAAGCATCTAATCACTATACCGGTGGCGAACAGTTTGAACAGTACCCATGTTACCATAAGTCATGAAACTATATGTTTAAGTTTGCTTTCATCATTATCCTTGCAATCACAGTGTTCATTTAAAAATGAACAAATCAAATCATACTGACATTATCAGCTTCAGGAGTGAAAAAGTTTATTCATTTTTGTTCTTATTGAATATAGTTTTTGTCTTATTTCAGGAACTGGATAATGTTACAAAGTACAAAGAGGGATCAAGATTGTTCATTGTTCAACTCCATGGTTACTTTGGTATTTCATGCGTCATCTTGAAAGCAACTGATTGTTTTCCTAGGTCCAAGTCCTTATGTGAAATTTGCTATTCTTTTTTATTCCACCCCATCTAAGTTGAGAGTTACGGTCATTCATTACTGGAAAGCACAATATTTTTCTTTCTCGGTCCTAGATTGAAGCACACCCAGACCATGACCCCACTGCTGCCCCTGGATGCTGCCTACAGATATTTTGTTAAATAGTTCAGAACACAAAATAACCCTCTTGCTTACTATGAATCTAATGCTCTCAAAGATTTCTTCATTCTTCCTCTGAGCTCCCAGTTTTCCAAAGATAGTTTCACTGACTTCTTCATTTTTAAAAACCACTGTACGTCAACCTTCATGTTAGGAATATATTTTGGGCTTCTAACCTGGAACCAACATGCTCTCTCCTGGGGAAGGCACACATTCAGAGCCCATCCCACATTATTTCCTCTCAAGCTAGTGACTATGGCATTATTCCAACCTGGTTGCAGTTTATATTTTACTTTCTACCAGGTACCTTCACATGCATGTTATATTTGGAAGTTTCTGCCTTATCCCAAGGTACTTCCTAGACTTTTAAAAAAATATGGATTTCATGGATTTGCAAGTCATAGAATCCTTTGAGAATTATGATTCATCTCCTTAGAAAAATGCACATATTCTCATATTCATATAATATTGCATTTGACTCCATAAGCCCCCCAAGTCTTTCCTTGGTCCCCAGATTAATTACTCCTGGATTAGGGCCTTTTCAGAATTTAGAGTTTAAATTAGCCTTCTCTGCTGTTTGCTTATGGGGTTCACCACTCATCCAGGGACAGTGTTGAGTACTGGAATATGTCCTCCTTTCCGTTTGATGAGTGGACTACATACCGCTAGACCAAATATCTGTGGAAAGGAAGAAAAATGATCAAGTTGATACATTAGATTATCTTAATGATTCTACTGTAACAGATAATAACTTACTGTACATAAATGAGTTTGCCTTGGTTAAGGCTGTTACTGACAATGAATAAATGAAAATGTGGGTAAATTTCTGTAAGTTTACATTTTAAACCCAGAAGTATACATGGGAGCAAGTTCAAGCAGCATTTTATCTGCTGAAAACTCTAAGCAAGCCTCAGGCTCAGCACAGGCATCAGGGCATCTGTGGAACTATAATTTATGAATTTGCTAGTGTTTCTTCTTTGCTAGTATACTTGGGTATCTTTTCCCACTTGGGGCTTGGAGCCAACTAGTCTTCTTGTTACAGACACCAGTGAACATTTGTACTCAATGAAGTCAAATCTTAGAGTAGGTTGATCTCATATTCTCAGCCCCACTGGGCTTGGTTTGTGAATTCTGGCCCAAGCAGTAAAGCATACTCAACCAGAGTGGATTAAAGTAAAGTGCAACTGGATTTTCCTCCATTCTGAGTCATTTCTGGGAATAAACTCTAAAAACTTATTAAATGTCTCTATCCCAGACAACAATTCAAAATAATCTATGAAGGCTTAGTAATAATACTTATTGATCAGTTTGAGAAAGAAGCCTAATTTCGTTTAGGTTGAAAATTTTCTCAAAAGTGTTTATATTATTAGAAAAATTCTGCTTCTCCCTCTGTGGACCCTAATATGTTAAAAAGTCAGTGTCCCAGTCATTGAATGCATCTGCATGTGGAGGCCCCAGCTGAGGGCTGGCTTCCTGCCGAGATTTTGGGGTGGAAATTTCAAGAGTTTCTTGCTATTATCCCTGCTCCTTGTGGCTGGTAGACTGGGTTTCACAGAATCATAGTGTGTTGGATGGATTCTTATAACATCATTGTCCAACCCTTCATTTTACAGCTGAGAAAATAGAGGATCAGTGGAGTTAGGGGACTTGTATAAAGCTGAACAGCTTACTGGTGACTGAGTTTGGCTCAAATTTGTTTCTGGTCATAAATTCATTACATTGTTTTGACAGAATCACACTTTCAGCTTCTTTTCTCTTCTCTTTCCCTTCTTCTGATTTTGCTCATCAGCACCCCCTGTGCCAACAAACAGATAGAAAACCTGGCTTTCCTTTTAATACATTCTTTCTTTTCTAGCATGAAAAGAGTGTGCGTAAAAAAGTATTTACCACATGTCTGCATAGCGAAGATATTCCCTGATATTCTAAATTTGTCTTCGGAATTTTTGTTGAGATTATTTTTCTATTTGTGCAAGTATAGGAATAAACAGAATGCTAACTTTAAGGCACAAAACCAACAGTATTTCAATAAATTTAAAAATTGTAAAATCTGTAGTTATTCAACCTTCATCATTACTTTAAAAAAAAAAAAGCTCACATACAGAGTCCTGTGAGTAATTATTCCATGTCTACAAGGATAACTAAGTGTTGGATGACCAAAGTCATCAAAAAAAAAAAAAATGCTTTCACAGGCTGCCAAAGCCAGCCGGGCCCCAGTGGGCATGTGTGGCTCCCTCCTTTGGAAAATATGTTTCAGAGAGTGATGAAAATGTAAACCACACGAACTACTTGGTTTCTAAGAGAACACGTTTGGAGAAACCATGTTTCCATTTTTCATTTCACAACAAAATTCCCCAAAGAAATTTTTTTGGAAATTGTAAGGAATACTGAGGCTAGTATGAGTAAAGAAGGCTTAAAAAAAGAAAATAAAAACCTAGTTTAAGCATGAAAGACTTTATTGCCCAGCATACAGTTGGTGTTGTGCAGTAGTCTTCTTACCTCTTTCTCACCTCACCACTCCTTTTCACAAAACCCTCCGCTGCAGCTTTTTAGTTCAAAGCTCCCTGAAAAGTTTATTCCTAGAGCGTAAGTTCCAGAACTCTGTTAAAAGTGAAATTCTTCTGGAAAAGAAAACACTAGGCTGCATACTAATATTAACTGATTTTAAGTCTTTGTCGAGCATAGGTTTTGGTAAGAAATTAGCACGAGAGGTTTTGGACATTTACAAGAGTGAAAGGGGAAAGTTACAGAACAGAGTGTCTGGAGACAGGGAAACATTTTGCCATTTCACCAGGTCAGCAGCCAGCCCACCACCATCTTTTGTGTTGTAAGGATGAGGTAGGAATAGAGCCAGAATTGAAACTCTGAACTCTGAATAACCTGGGGCAGGTGGCTTAGCCGCTCTGAGCCTCAGCTTTCTTCTAGGGAAAATGAGGTTATACTTGTCTTCTGCTACAAACATTATTAGGAATCATGTGGATAAGGTTATCCATAATTTTATTATTTTTACTTTATAATTAGAATTTATTATTTTGAAAGGTAGACTGAACAGAACCAACTATAAGTAGTTTGGATATATTCTATTCCAGCTATTAATTATGAGGGCTTTTCTTTTTTAATTTTAAGCAAATGTTGAGTAATCAAAATTATTTAAAGTCTATGCCTATCCAATTTTAATATCTAAAAGTAATACGCAGGGAAAATCCAATGCTCATCTAGAAATGTGAAAATGTGGTACATTAGAGACAAGGTTATTACCTTAAAATTATTACAATTAAGTGTTGTTATAGTGTTGTGTGTATTTGTCCACATTAACTTGATTAGTATCAAAATTTAAAAACAAACTATTCAAACATATAACATATCCATTTCACAGCACTTGTTCAACCCTGGGTTGAACTTTCATATAAAGATAGAAAATACAGAAGAGGATGAGACCCTAAATGCAAAGCATCTGCTCAGCTTGTTAGAGGACACACTCTAAGCTGTCACCCAAATAAACGGTAATATCTGCAAATCCTGCAGTGCATTCTTCTAGAAACAGTATAGGTATGATTAGCAAGGTCAAAGGGTAAAGAGCATTGTGTCCCACACCCAGGTCAGAAACCCCACCTCTACTAAAAATACAAAAATTAGCCGGGTGTGGTGGCACACACCTGTGGTCCCAGCTACTTGGGAGGCTGAGGCAAGAGAATCGCTGGAACCCAGGCAGCAGAGGTTGCAGTGAGCTGAGATCACACTACTGCATTTCAGCCTGGGAGACAGAGCAAGACTCCATCTCAAAAATAAGTAAATAAATAAATAAAATAGATGTATTTTTATTTTTATTTATTTATTAAGACAACTGAAAGAGAGTACGATTGGAACCAAGGGAGGATAATGTGTATAGATGACAGAGATGGAACCAGGTAGTTTAGCAACATACCCACTGAAAGCACTGCCAGGTGACTGTGCACAGGCAGGGCTTGATTCCACCTCATGCCCGTGCTTCTACCCTAGCTCCTGTCATGTTGTCTCAAAACTCTTCTGATTTCCTAGAGGTGAATTTTTATTTTGAACCACAATAACTTGCACATTCAGAGTCTGTCAAGCATTTTCAAATCTATCTGGAGGATTCCCAGGAAATTCTGCATTGACTCACAAGTTTTTCCAAGGTCAAGAACTCATTCCTGAGGCCAAGAACGATTGTAGTCTGGCATACTTGAACAATTTTCCAACTTTCCTGTGATTGGTTAAGGTCTAATTTAGTTGGTTCTTGGTTTTCCCTGGTTAGCATCCGAAGTTAATTGCAGACACCATACATAATTATTATTATTTTTTGTTTCCTGCCACTTTTTGTCAGTGAACTGTGTATTGACATTTGAAATCGAGTTAGGAAAAAGTTCACATCTGCAGCTGTTCCCTTCTTGTGGTGTGGATTTCTTTTATGAAATGTCCTTAAACATTCCTCAACTTCAGTGGTAAAGATGGAAGCTGCAGATTTTTTCAGAAAGTTTGGAGCTAAAACCCTAAAGCATGTTCCACCAACCCCAAAGAATACTTCTACCAGAGGTGAAAAAGACTTTCTTGCCTTTTCAGAAAATTATCATGTCTTCTTTATGTTATCTACAGCCATTGCCAGGGCCATTGTCCTGAAAACGCACAAAATGCAGCATGTCTGAACTGGAAGAACGTTTAGAGCTTTTTCAGTCCAACTTCTCAGATTGGAAGTGGAACCTCAGACAAGTGTTTGGGCCAATAATTCAACGCAGTGTAGCAGATAAAGGACACGAACCGAGGTTTCCAGTCCTCGGTCTTGTGATTCCACTAAACTACTCCTAATTGAAGAAGAGATGGAGAGATTATAAAGGATTCATCTGCTGCTTTACATCGACTCTGACAATCCAACACTAAATTGTTTCTCTGTGTAGCAGATGCTGTTGGCACCTCACCGAGATTTCTTCAGCACTCACAGTTCCCACGCTCTGTGCTGCTGGCTTCCTCTGGGAAGTGTCTACAACTCTTGGCCTGAGGGCTTTCAGGAGATGCCTCTAGGAGAGGCTCTCAGCCAATGATGGATAGAGATGTTGTGCTTTAGAGTGGGACAATTCTGAGATGAGTTTGACACCATCTCCCGGATGCCCCGGGGGGACTGAGCCCCAGGTGCTTACAGCAGCAACCTGCCCATCAATGCATGCTCTTTGGGCTTCATTCTCTTTGCTGTCTCACTTCCATACTCCCCGAGGTAGGCAGAATAACCCCCAAAGATGACCCTACCCTAGTCTCCAGGACTTCTGAGTCTGTTAGCTTACATGGCAAAAGGGACTTCGAAGATGTGATTAAGGTTATGGAACTTGAGACAGGGATATTGGATTATCTAGGTGGGCCCAATCTACTGTCATGGGTCTTGGGAAGCTGAGAATCTTTTCTGGCTGGTGAGAGAGATGACGGAAAAAGGGTGAGAGAGATGCAATGTTGTTGGCTTTGATGATGGAGGAAGGGGGCCATGAGCCAGGGGATGCAGGTGGCCTTGAGAGGCTGGAAAAGGCAAGGGCTGCCTACTCCTTCATCCTATCTCAGTGAGGTCAACATTGGATTTCTGATCTAAGAACTGTAAATTAATAAATGTGTCTTGTTTTAAGCCAGCAAATGTGTGATGTTTTGGCAACAATAGAAATTTAATTCACTCCTCTCTTCATTTTGGAATTACCTGTGAAATAAACCGTTTATATTCAAAGCCTTGTGTCAGGGTCCATTTCTTGGGCAACCCAAAATGCACAGTAATATCTAGAGTCCTCTACAGCTATTCATAATTGTGATAAAGAGATTGGAAACATAATTGGAATGCTTCACAGAGGGATGAAGAACAAACAGCACTTCCAGTGTTTTCATAAGGTTTTGTACAGCTACTATGGCCAAAATAGTTTTTGGAACCCACTCTTAAGTTTGCATAAGCATACGTTCATATCATCTTCATTTTTGGAGGCAAACTGGAAATTCAGGACAGTGGTTCCTCCCTCATTTTTCTTTCGTCTGTCTATCTCATTTTCCCCTGTATCTGAGTGCGTGGATGCAAATTAGATACGTCTCTGATGTTTCTTATAATTTTTTACTCCCTTTTTCTTTTCTTCTCTCTTGACCTTTTGGTTTATTCTATCTCCTTCTTCCTCATCCCATCCATTAGAACACATGGAAATGGTAGTGATGGTAGTGTTGGATGTTTGTAGGTTATTTGTCTATTGTTCACTCTCTTCTCCCTCTTTCCTGATGGCACCGAGGTTTCTCTTTGGTTGCTTAGCAGTCAGAACTTTCAGTAGGATTTACTCCACCAATCAATTCAGGATGAACCTGGACCAGCCTTAGCCAAACAATGTAATTTCATTGTAATGACTCCAGTTTCCAGTTCAGAAATTGTTACGTAACTCAGAATAAGCCAATCAGTGATTGACTTTCTCATGATCAAAGCGATTAGTTCAAGAAAGGAGAAGTAAATAGAGTTCAACAAATTAGAATGAAGGCCAGAAAGTTTGACTGTTGGTTGGGAGAAGAGAGAGTCTATACTCTAACAGAAAATGTAGTGTGAAGTCGTATAAACTGCTACAGCTCTGTATGCTAGCCTGAGACCTGAGGGTGGAGCTTAAACATGGAAGTAGGAAACAGCCATGAGAACAGAAGAGAAAGGGCCTCTCTCTTCCCTATTCTTACCCCTCAACCCCATGGACAGAGTTGACTGAGGAAGAAAAATCTGGGCATTAGGCTACAGATGGTTCTGCACAATATGTTGGTATTGGCTGGCAGTGGGATGACTACAATATTATCCAAGTAGGAGTGTCCTGAAGACCTTGGGGAGGGGAAATGATCCATGCTGTTGAACACTTCATCCTATTGTTCACTTTGCCTGGGTGATGAGAAGGCCAGAGGGGTACGTATCTACACTGTTTATGGTTAACTGGTGTGGCTGAGCATGCTGGTGTGGCTGAGCAGCCAGGGACTTGAAAAGAACAAGCTGAGAGGATGGCGACGAGGAAGGCTTTTGAAGAAAAGCATGTGGGTGGCATCTTGGAATGGGCACCAAGCATGAAGATATTTGTGTTCCATGTGAATGCTCAGCAGAAGGCACTCTCTAAAGAGGAGGCTCTCAGGAATCACATGGGTGACATTTGAAGGGTTCGACAGTCCCCTGCTGTTGTCATGGGAGCACTCCTCGGTGGTGGTGGCTGGGTCAATTGTGATAGGAAAAGGCTTTGTTGTCAGCCCCTTCATAACCTGTGTGTGTGAGCTGCAGCTTCAATGGTGTCTCATTCATGCCTGGGGCAGGAGTTGGTGCTGACAGCAGGAATCTTCCTGTGGAGGAAACTACCACTGTTTGAGTACCTCCTATGTACTAGATATTATTTATTTCACCCTCGCATCATTTCTGTAAGGCAAGTATCATTACAATTTTTAGATAAGGAAACCAGAAACCTGTGAGGGAAATTAATCACGACCATGGAGCTGGTTAGTGGAGGAACTAGCATTCAACACAGATCTGTCTGACTCCACAGACCCAGCTCCTTTCATGGTGCCCAGGATTTCTCAGCTGCATGGGATAAGTGACCCTTGGGAGAGAGCTGGCTCCACCTGGAGTCTCCTCTGCCCTGCTTGGGACTCCCCCTTTGGAGCTCATCTGTACTGCAACCCTGTGAGCTCTTCATGGAAGTATATCTGAACTATGAGCATTTCTCTGCACCTGCACTGCTGTAACCTGGTCCAAACATTCATTGCCTCTAGCCTGGGCTACTGTGACACCTCCTGCTGGGGTCCTTGCTTCTACCCTTTCCCCCATACTGCTTATTTTCTTTTTTTCTTTTCTTTTCTTTCTTTGTTTGTTTCTTTTTTTCTTTTCTTTTTTTTTTTTTTTTGAGATGGAGTCTCACTCTGTCGCCCAGGCTGGAGTGCAGTGGCGTGATCTCGGCTCACTGAAACCCTGCTTCCTGGGTTCAAGTGATTCTCCTGCCTCAGCCTCCTGAGTAGCTGGGACTACAGGCACATGCCACCACGCCCGGCTAATTTTTGTATTTTTAGTAGAGACAGGGTTTCACCATATTGGCTAGGCTGGTCTCGAACTCCTGACCTTGTGATCCACCCTCCTTGGCCTCCGAAAGTGCTGGGATTACAGGCATGTGCCACCACACCCGGCGCCATACTGTTTATTTTCAACATGGTAACCCAGTGATCCTATCAGAACATATCATTCCTTCACTCAAAGCCTTTTTATGACTACCTATCCTACTCAGGGTAAAAGCTGTTGTAATGGTCTACAAAACGTTGCAGATCCTGGCTCCCGCTTCCCTTGCACCTTCTCTGACCTTAACACCTTCTAGGTCACTCCACTCCAGCCACTGTGACTGACTTGCTTTTCTTCCAACTCTCAGCACATGCCTGGAATATTATTTTTTCAGTGATCCTATGGTTCATTCCCTGACTTCAATGTGTTTGAATGTTCACTTGCCTGTGAACTCTTCCTTCACCTCCCTTTTTGGTGTTGCAATGCTGCTTTGTATCTGGGTACTCCTGTAGCTCTTCCATGTTTTATTTTTTTCCATAGCACTTATCACCTTTTACCATGGTATATCATTCATTCCCATTACTTTATTTACTGATTCCCTCCACCCTTCCCTCCACGCCCCCTCACTGGACTGTAAGTTTTATAAAAGTAGCATTTTTTTAATTAATAGATTTATTTTTCAAAATAGTTTTAGGCATACAAAAATTTGAGTGGCAAGTATATATTCTCTCTCCTCCCTCCCTCAACACAGTTTCTCCTGTATTCACATCCTGTGGTAAGTGTGGTTTATTTGTTACCATTGATAATTGAATATTGATACATTATTATTAACTAAAGTTCATAGTTTATGTTAGGATTATTCTTTGTGTTGTACAGTCTATGGGTTTTGACAAATGTAGTGTGACATGCATCCACCATTAGGGTATCATACAGAATAGTTTCACTGCCCTTAAAATCCCTTGTGCTTGCCCTCTTGATTCCTCCCTCTGTTCCTCTACTGAATTAACCCCCTAGCAACCGCTGATCTCTTTAACTTTCTCCATAGTTTTGCCTTTTTCAGAATGTTATACAGTTGGAATCATAAAGCATGTAGTCTTTTCAAATTGGATTTTTTTTTCACCTAGCAATATGCAGTTAAGTTTCCTCCATGTCTTTTTGTGGCTCGATAGTTCATTTCTTCTTTTTAGTGCAGACTAATATTTCTTTGTCTGGATGTACCACAGTTTGCTCATCCATTCACCTACTGAAGGACATCATGTTTGCTTTAGAAAGTTTTGGAAATTATGAATAATGTTGCTATCACACTTTATGTACAGGTTTTTTTATGGACATATGTTTTCAATTCATTTGGGTAAATAACAAAAGCCATAATTGCTGGATTGTGGGGTAAAATTATGTTTATTTTTGTAAGAAACTGACAAACTGTCTTCCAAAGTGGCTGTGTCATGTTGCATTCCCGCCAACAATGAATGAAAGTTCCTGTTGCTCCACATCCTCACCAGCATTTGGTGCTGTCAGCATTCTGGATTCTGTCCATTCCAATATGTAGTGGTATCTCATTGTTGTTGTAATTTACAGTTCCCTAATGGGATGTAACGTTGGGCATCTTTTCATGCTTATTTGCCATCTGTGGATCTTCTTTGGTGAGGTGTCTGTTGATGTCTTTGACCCATTTTTTAAATTGAGTTATTTGTTTTTTATTGTGCAGTTTTAAGAGTTCTTTGTGTATTTTGGAGAACAGTCTTTTAATGGATACGTGTTTTGCAAAGATTTTCTGCCAGTCTGCGGCTTGTCTTTTTATTCTCTGAACAATGTCTTTCACAGAGTAGAAGTTTTTAATTTTAATAATGTCCAACTTCATTCAATTTTTTCTTTCATGGATGATGCCTTTGGTGTAAGAGTGGAATTTTTCATCTGTTTTATTCATTGCTTTATCCTTAGCTCTTAGAACGTTTCCTGGCAGATAGTAAGGACCCAGTAAATACTTGCTGAATGACTAAGCACTGTTATCTTGGGGAAGTATATGCTTTCTTTCTTTTTCTTTTTTTCCTAAGAGAAGTGTTCATTTGTCACATCACTCTTGAGAGGCAACCCCAGTCCAAAGCCCATCATTTTACATAAAGGATCTACACTGCAGAGGTGGAACACCATCTACCTGTGTTAAGAGAATGGAAGAAACTTATTGCATGCACATTATTTCAGGAAGATAAAGTTTTGGGTCACTGTATTGTCTGGCAACCTTTGGTTAATATAAGTTCTCTCTCTCTCTCAAATTAGAATCAAAATGAAATCATAAGACTAGAAATTATGACAAGACACATAATATACTAAGTTTATAAAATTAATAGATAGATATGTTTTTATGAAAAAGAAAGCCATTCTTATTTGTGGGCCAGAATGAGCACACTTCTGATTTCTCTTGAAGAAGCATCCCTGTCAAGCTGAATTGCGAGGTAGAGTCAAGACAAGATCTCACACCAGGAATTAAGACCCCATTTACTAAAAGCAAGAGAAAGGGCTCTTCTTCTTCTTCTTCTTCTTCTTCTTCTTCTTCTTCTTCTTCTTCTTCTTCTTCTTCTTCTTCTTCCTCTTCTTCCTCTTCTTCCTCTTCTTCTTCTTCTTCTTCTTCTTCTTTTCCTCTGGGTGAAAAGGACTCAGTAAACTTTGATTACATCATGCAGAGATAAATGGAAACATTGATTCATAAAAATTTGTAGCTAAATAAAGGTCTCTGATCTATGTGTTGAGTAATGGGAATGAGAAAATGTTTCTGAATTTGTTATTCTTCACTAAGTTGTGAAGAACAAAAAATCCAGGTGTAATCTTTCAGAGAGAGATAGGTCATGAGAATCTATCTAATGAGTTTTCATCATCTTTATCTGTCAGAGAGTTTTGAAAACTGAGTACGTTATACTGCACAGGTACTGGAGTTTTAATTTAGAATTTTTAGGCATTTTTTATTTTAAGGGAAAGATTCTTTTGTCCCAGGTATTAAAAAGCCCTCAGCCTTTTCTCCTGCTCCCTCCCCGTCTATGAACAGACTCACAGAGTTCTCGGAGGTACTAGGATAAGACTCTGAAAAGGAAATGCTCTTTCACAAATGGTTTCAATTTCCTCCTTGTAGAGAAAGGAAGCCTAAGCTGAAGGAAGCACCCTTGGAAGCAGCCCCAGGGTGGCGCGACCTGCACTAACATACACCTGAGACAGTGTGTCTGTTAGATGCTTGTTCTGGCTGCCTGCTTGTGGAGCACTGAGTGGGGCAAGACTCTGGACAGTGAGCTTCTAAGGGGCATACCATGCTGTGGCCGCTAGGAAGGTGCACTGCTGTGCACCTTGGAGAAAGTATTGGCTGTTCAGCTGCAAGACAGATGACAACCTCCAGCTGCTAGCACCTTCGGATCTACCTTGCTTCCCAGCCATCTTCACACTTTTCTCAGGCAGCCCTCAGACAGTGTGTGCTCTGGAGCTCCCATTGGGTTGGCCGTGCCTCTGGCAGATCTGCATCATCGTCTGAGGCTGCCTTGCCTAAGCCCACTTCCTCCTCCTTTCCTGTCACTGGTAGGAGAACTGCCTGCAGGTGGGAAGCCTTCCCCTGACCAGTTATGCTCCCTCCACATTTGTCTTTCCCCAGCTTTATCCTCCACTAAACCATTTGCACCCCTAACTCTCTCGATGTTGGCTTTCCAAGAGACCTAATTGACACAGTGTCTTTATTAATTTTTAAAGTTTTTAACTATACAAAAAATAAGTTTATTGTAAAAATTAGTAGAGAAGTATACAGTATAGAGTCTAACAGTATACAGACATTCACATCAAATAAGTAGTAAGTCAAATCCTTCTCTCTGATTCTATCCAGCCCCAATTCTACCCCTCACAGGAGTCTTAGATTTGGAAAGTGTCCTCCATATTTTTCTAGGGATATGCAAATGTATACAATTTTGTATTACACGAGTAACTCTGTATTACATATATTGTTTTGTACCAGGATTATTTTTTATTTAGCAATATGTTTTAGAGACCTTTTCCATAGCATGACAATGAATCTGCCCCCATATTTTGTACAGCTGCACAGTATTCTATTGTGTGGAATTTGATGCATGCTTATTTCTTTTTTCATTCTTCTATGTTCTTCTTTTGTATTTTCTTCCTTTAATTTTTTCCTCTAAATGAAAAAATATAGATATAAAAATATACATAGTAACAAAAAGTTCAAATTCTGTAAAATAAAAAGTAAATTTTACCATTCTGTTTCACGGGGTACAAATCCCACTCCTTAGAAACCACAACTTTTAAGTTTCTGATTTTTGTACTTTTGGTAGTTTCTATTGTAATTTTAAGCATTATATTTTTATTTATTTTTAAGTTTTTATCCAATAGTAGTTACCATAGCTAAAATAGCAAGAACAACTTATAATGAGTAATATTATCTCAATGGGCCCATAGGATGGGTCAAAAGCTTATACATATCCTGCTCAGGATGCTGCTGTGAACCAAAAGTCTGGCTGGGCAGGATGACATCATGGTTAATACCATGAACTCTACAGGCAGGCTGAATTCTAATTCTGGCTCTCTCACTTCCTGGCTCTGCAACCTTGGACCTTACGTGCCTCATTTTCCTCATGTCTAAAATAAAGATAAAATTGTACCTAGCTTATAGGATTTTCATGAATTTAAGAGAGTGGCCTTTAGTGTAAAATATGTCAGGATTCAGATTCCACTAGTGGCACATTTTGGCCAGATCTTGACAATGTCATCTTGGATCTCTTCTCAGATAGCAGTAAAAATGGGACTGGTAGGACCTCTCTCCCAAAGTTTTGTGAGGATTCTATTTATGAAATAGGGTATGTAAAAGTATATAGTAGATACTATATACTTTTGGTATATAGTAGGCACTCCATAAATGCTAGTTTCTCTTTTTCAGTCCTGTTAGGAATGAATGATTGCCCTAGACATGAGGATGTTGGATAATTTTCTACGGCATGTGTTTCTTGATTGCTTAAAGACTGTCCATAGGGTGCTGCAATGATTGCATGAGCCTCAAATCTGCAGTCTTTGATAAAGAAGAAAAATATTTCTGACTCTCAATGACAGAGATATACAGATAATGCCCATGTCTTCTATTTCAAAATATTGCCTGGTTATTCATAATGTGTCAAGATTATTGTATTAGCCCATTCTCATGCTGCTAATAAAGATATACCCGAGACTGGGTAATTTATAAAGGAAAGAAGTTTAATTGACCCACAGATCAGCATGGCTGGGGAGGCCTCAGGAAACTTACAATCATGGCAGAAGGGGAAACAAACACATCCTTCTTCACATGACAGCAGCAAGGAGAAGTATAAGCAAAAGAGGTGCAAGCCCCTTTTAAAGCCATCAGATCTCATGAGAACTCACTCACTATCACGAGAACAGAAGCATGGGGGAAAGTGCCTTCATGATTCAATTACCTCCCACCGGGTCCCTTGCATGACATGTGGGGATTACTGGAACTACAATTCAAGATGAGATTTGGGTGGGGACACAGCCAAACCATATCAACTATGCACATGTTTTATTGACTATTTGAAGAGGAAATATCATTTTATTTAGTTTTCATTAGCATATTTTTTTGCTATTAGCTGTTCCAGTGTTAAAATTAATTATAGTTGGATTTCTTTAGGTCTCATATATTTATGATTTTGATTAATTTGAAGAAAGCACTCTATGAAGAAACATGAAGATTTAGTGTAATGTTTGCTTAGTTACCAACTTTTGCCACATATTCATTAGAATTAATGATAAACTTTTTAAAAGTTTCCAATTATATTCATGTAGTAAAATATATCTGTTACAGTTTTTAACCTTCATGATGTAGTGCAGAAAGATATTTCAAATTTCTAGTTGATTGTCCAAAATAAACGGGTTAGTGGATTCTGGGAGCATTGCCCATTTCATGGAAGAATTATAGCTAAAGTGAAATACCAGCAGCAATATCATAGAACACTAACAATTTTGTGTTTTTAGAAAGGTAACTACAGAGTGAAAAGACTTAATGACAAAGGAATATCTGATGTTGGTGTACAATGTATGACATGAATTATTTTCTGTCTTTTCTTTCTCCAGCAGATTGGATTTGATGAGACTTAGCAAACCAGCCATTCACCTGGGCAAGATTGTCAAAATTCAAACTTGAATTGTAAGCTAATTTGGAACAATCAATGGTATTGGGAAAAAAAAAACTAGAGATGTTTTTGGCAATACACAGGCAGCAAGGGGAAAAAGCTTGGAGAGTTGGATACATTCATTTTGAAAATTTTCTTTTTTCTTTTCTTTTTTTTTTTTTTTTTGAGACAAGGCTTCACTCTGTGACCCAGGCTGGAGTGCAGTGGTGCAATCACAGCTCACTTCAGCCTTGACTTCTTCAGGCTCAGGTGATCCTCCCACCTCAGTCTCCTGGGCAGCTGGAACTACCGGTGTGCATCACCATACCTGGCTAATTTTTCGTACTTTTTGTAGAGATGGGGTTTCACCACGTTGCCTATGCTGGTCTCAAACTCCTGGCCTCAAGATATCCACTTGCCTTGGCCTCCCAGCGTGTTGGAATTACTGGCATCAGCCACTGTGCCCAGCCTTGAAAATTTCTCCCTATTTATATTTTTAAGTTCAGAGACTAGTAGCTTCTGAGAAGATGATGGTTTACAAGATTTCACTTAGAACCAACATTGCATGGATTTAACTTTTCCAAAATGGCTTATTACTTAGCAGGTCTGCCATTTCCATTTATAGAGATAGATTTTAATTCACACAATTTGGTCATTAAAAATCTAATCATGTGTCATGTACCCTGCTGGGCATTCTTTAGAAATGTAGGAAATCTTTTATCTCAGCATTCAATCTAACTTCTAAAATAACCAAAATGGGGGAAATAAAGCCATTGCAATATGCTCTACCATAGCCAAACAGGGAGTAGAGATGGCATAGCAAAGAAGGATTAAGAACTTTCACATGTCACTTGATGCACTGAGTTAAAATTCTGAGTTATGACTATGTGAATTATTTCTCTACCTGTGTTGTATATCTCTCTGTATATCTATGTATGTATTCTTTCAACATGCTAATATGCATCAGCTGTCATCCATGCAGAACACTGCTTCTCAAACATTAGCTTGGGGAGCTTGCTAATGATTCAGTAGCTCTTGGGTGGGGTCTGAGAATTTGCACTGTTAACAAGTTCCAGATGCTGGTCCTTGGACCATACCTTGAGTGTCAATTATGTAGAAGCTTATTTATGCATATGTTTGCATACTATTGGCTTTTTTTAAATGGAAGACTTCTGTGGCACATTGAAGTCATTTTTCTATAGTTGATAAACTGATAGATTAGTTTTGTTTTCACTTCTTTCTTATTAGGTGCATATTTTGATGTGGATGTTTTGATGAGGTAAGAAAGTAAATTCACATGTCATTACATTTATTATGGGGATGTATGCACTTGTACACTTAACTTGCTGAGTAGTAAGGGGTGTGAGAAGCAAGGTTTATATTGCCTCTGCCTTGCTGACCACTACTGGCCAGTTAATAAGATGATGCATTATTTTTGTTTCTTTGCTTTTAATAAGATGGGCAGCAGGAAAAATATTTTATTTATATAGAGTAGAAAACCTAGTGTTGGGAGTCAGTTTAAAGGTGCCATTAGATTCAAATGGAGCAGTCCAAATGTACTCTCAAATAACATTTGTTTATTTAAGACCTTGAGTTAAGTCATTAAACAATATGGTTAGACATTCTAAACTCTAGCAGTAACCTCTCACTTTCTTTATTCCCCTCCCCACCTCACTCCCATTTCTGTTCAACACTATCAAGAAAGGGGGCCTGTAATATTAATCAAGGACAACCTGGGTCCCAAGGTCACAATCAGGTCATGATGCCATGGGAATAGACCTTCTAGAGTAGGAACAGTGAGATTGTAAATAGAACCAGACTAGGGATCATACACTATAGTGGTGTTACTTACACTGAAGAGGTTCGGACACCTTGGTCTTGTGAGGCTCAGTAAAACATAGTTCGAGAACAATTGCATTGTCTTTGAAATAACATCACTTAAGCAATAACTTTGAGCTAATAGCTTTGTATATATATAAGCAGAAATGCAGTGATAAAATAGTGTGGAATACTTAGTTATAAAATTATCAGCAAAGAAATCTAGATTATGTTTATATTAGTTTATTTTAGATTATAGTTGACATAAAAATAAAACTAAGGGCACAACTCCAGACATCTTGTAGAAAACTTCCAGACATCTGATAACAAATCTACAGACCTCCAGAAGCCCAGCTTGAAAATCATGTTCTGGTGAGTCTTTGGATCATGTTTTCCCTTCGGATTGATTCCGCATTTCCCTTCTCATGGGACTGTTATGAAGAGAAGGCTGATTTTTCTCTCTTTTAAAAGAGGTATGACTATATCTGGCCCTTTCTCCTCCAACTTTAGAAGGTCATTTGGAAATGGGCTCAAGGAAAACAGGAGCAGAAGACACAGGCGAGCTCTGTTCCAGGCTATAGGAGGAAATATTTTTCCTTGGGTTTATCTCTTCATGCCTTTTATTGATCAACCTTGAAGGCCATAATCAGATGACAAGCCAAGGGGGAAAGCCTAAGCAAAAGGCTCCAATTATTTTTAGTTCAGGCAAAAAGATCCCTTTGTCTTACCTGAGGTCTGAGTCTGATCACAAAGGTAGGAGAATAGAGAGGGATTTCAGGCTAAGGATCAATCTGATATTTAAAAAAGTGTGTGTGTTTGTGTGTGTGTGTGTGTAAAAGGTACTGTTTGGAAATCTAGCATAATGGAATGTGCCTGCAAATCCTGATGATGCTCATCTTGGTAAATGAAACTCAAGGATCTATCCACAAGGGTAGTTCCCTGCCAGAGAGCTAGGGCCAGATGACTACCCTGCCTTCTGCTCCCACTGTGGAAGTATCATAGAAATATTTTCCATTTTTCTATTTTTTAAAACTCAAACGTTTAACATGTTGGTTTGCTGACAAGCCAGCCAGTTTTCCAAGTTTTTCATTTTATGTGAGCTGAGTTTTTATCCATTGTGGATTGAATGAGGAGTCAGTGAATGGTTTGGGAGAATGCTCCAAGACATGGAAATTTGGTCAGGATTATCGCTGAAAACAAGAGAATCTTTGAAATACTGGGCATTGTTTCAACTTGAAACTACAATTATGAAAGAATATAACTGCAACATTATAACATCTCAGTCAAAAAACAGTCAATGGATATTTGAATACTTTCTCTGACATCAACTCATCTTTATATCATATTGTCTACAAACCTTAGCTTATGAGTGATTTCTTGATGTAGTTAATACAACTTTTTTACAGTGCATTTTTTTCTTATCTATATTATTTACAACTGCTATTTGGAGTAACTCTTTTTTTTAGAGATGCATAGTACTCTTTTTCTACTTGAAGAATCTCATACCTTGGAATCATGACTTGAATATTTCCTAATGTTGATGATACCAATGACCTTTTCTTGGTTTTCAACAGGTAATAAGGTCACTTTCTGCCTTCCTTTTCATTACCTCATTTCTAAATGCAGATTAAAATTTGATTTATAGCATTTGTTCCTTGAGTAATTTCCATTTACAGGAGATAGCTTTTCACTTTAGTTTTTCAATAAAATATATTTTAAAGTTGCTACAATTTCTTTGGAGTTTTTTATTGTTGTTATCTAAATTGAAACTATGGAGTCACTAGTTGGATGGGGTAATAAATTAATACTAATCTCAGTTTGAGTTATTACCCTTATATCTGTCACAGATGGAAGGGGAATTCACCAGAAATTCTCAAGGTATTTTACAATGGAGGTTTTGAGGCACATGGTTAATGATTATGTCTTCACCAAAGTGTTTGCAAGACTGTGTACAGATGTGGACACTGGCAAATATATGTCTAATTTAATTTATGCACTTCGTATAGAAAGCAAAACTATATGTCACCTAGACCCAGGTAAAAGCTGTCAATATTAATTATAAAGTCAGATTTTAAGTTGCACGTGTACACAGAATTGGCAGTTCTAATTGGTCTGCCATAAGCTATTGGGAAATGGATGAGTGTCTTCAAAATATTTCAGGATAAAAAATTCAGAATGTTACTCTGAGCTTTGCCGGAAGTTGCAGATCTCTCTGGAATTTTTTGGACTAAAGTAATTTGAGAGGGGAACTTGCATCTTTCTTTAGCCAATTAAGCAGTGGGAAAATCATGCTGCCTATTTCAAAATTACGTAGTTTATTACCATTTTAGGAATCAAGTGATTTTTAAATTAATGTGCTAATTTATTTATATTTCAGAGTTTAAGCAAAAGAAAAATAAGACCACAAGCCCATGTGGGTTCTCAGGCTTACCCAACTTGTCTGCTCATGGAAGTTTTTAATGCAATTGGCTGGAATGTAATGCATTCCGCCTTCCCCACAGAAGCAGTCAAAGAGCAAAATCACTGTCTCGGGAGACGAGTTTGAATCACATCCCCCAACATCCTCCTAAAAATATGTCCTGAGTTCTTTTTGAGTAATGGAAAGAGAAATCAGGCACAGCCTCTCACACTCCTGATTTGGGTTCTAAAATGATGAAATGAATGAGGATAAAGGAGCCTCTGACACATCTCTCAGTCATGGGCACTGACCTGTCATACATATGTTGAAGTTACACTGAAATAAACCCAGGGACTTAATATCTTTGAGGTAACAGAGAACTTCTCTTTCAGCTGGACTTAAATAAATGAATTAAGGTTTGTCAGTGTGAGTTTTAAACAGACACAACTCCAGTTTAACCCTTCGCACTGGAAGATAGATGGATATCCAGTGTCATAGGCTCACTTAGAAAGGAGTAGTTATTGGTTGTAAGAGCCAATGAGATAGAAAAAATGATAAAGGAGCTCCAGGAGTCATCCACTGATTGGCCTCCTCTTTCAAACTCTTTCCCTCAGTATGACCTGGAGACTCATCCACAGCTGGGTCTCCTGGCGCAGTTCCTGCCCTTTCTCCTCTCTTCCATCTTGACAGCCTTTGCCAACTGTTCTAGAAAACTCTCCATCCCAGTTGCTGTTTTTTAGGCACCTGTACTAACGTCTATATCATTTTGTATTTTACCCCCAATGGGTATGAAGAGTTCTAATTCTACGTTAGCAAAATGACAAAATGGAATCTTCACTGGGGAAAAAAAAGTTTTGCATCAGAAATACCATGTGCCATAGGGAGACCCTTCTCTAGGGTGCTGAGGACCTGGTCTGGCTAGCCTCATTGAATTAAGATTCCCATTCAACAGAATCTTGAATCCAACAGTCAGGTAGACACCACTCAATTGAGGGATTGATATATAAAAATATCTGGAGGAATTATTTAAATTATGACTTTATGAAGAAGAAAATATATAAATTAGTTGATTAGAACATACTATGGAATTCAAACTGTTATGTTTCATGATGGAGGCCCATAAATATATAAACAGCTGTCTCATATGACAATCACAGATTCTCCTCATGAAGAAAAGTCCTGATACATTTAAGAAGTTTAGGTAGATATAATTCCCCCACCTCTCACAAAACACACAAAAAATGTTGACTGATACAGTCTGGTCAGGAAGGTGAAAAGAGAGGGAATTTAAAAAGTAGTCAGCTTTTTAGGCTAGGTGCAGTGGCTCACAGCTGTAATCCCAGCACTTTGGGAGGCTGTGGCAAGAAGATTGTGTGAGGGCAAGAGTTTGAGACGAGCCTGGACACCATAGTAAGATCCCGTCTGTACAAAAAAATTATTTTAAAAATTAGTTGGTCATGATGGCGCATGTTTGGAATCCCACCTGCTTGGGAGGGCAAGGTAGGAGGATTGCTTGAGCCCAGGAGGTCGAGGCTTCAGTGAGCAATACCCTTCAGCCAGCCTGGATAACAGAGCAAGACACTGTCTCCAAAAAAAAAAAGTCAATTTTTAAAAGGAGGAGATGAACAACCAGGCCTATTGAAAAGTCATGTAAAATGAGCACCAAAAAGTAACAATTGAACTTGAAAAATATCTCCTGAAAGGCTCATCCCATTTTGGGTCACCTCTGAAGCCTGGAGTTACTTCTGATGGGGTTTGTTGGTCCCTGGTCTTACCACCAGCACTGAGGCCTCTGGTCTCTCTGCACCACCAGGCAGCTCTCTCAGTGCCAGCCTGGTGACAGCTCCTTGAAAACAAAGACACTCAGACACTCTGTCACCCAAGCTTACGCTCCTAAGATCCACGGACCTGCTGTTCTGTGTTGATCCTGTGCTCTGAGACCCTCCCCTCCCTGCAGCCTGGCCAGGACAGCACTGCTTTTCTGGCTGTATGGCTGTCTTGATCCGTGGACAGATCTCTGTGCTGCTCTCTGTGCCAATTTGGAGGCAGCCATGGCCAGGATTTTTCTTATGGCAGCTCTGCTGGTTGTGATTCTTGTCTGTACATCCCTGCCAGTGATATGCGTTCCATGAGGTTCTCCTTGACTTGGTGAGAAACCAGAAACAGTGTAATAATGAGCAGGAAAGAGCTGTGCTGGCTTCTGGAGAACTTTCACAGCCAGGTGTCTTTCACAGGGTAATGTGATGTATCCTTGTGCCTGCTGCCATGGAGAGGGAAGGAAGGCTGGGAGCTTCTTGCTTGCATTACCCAGCCCTGCCTGGCCGGGGCCATTCTAACTTCCTACATGGGCATCCTAGAGGCTGCATAACAATAAGGACCTTCACCATTTCCATATGGTCATTCCTTGCAGCATTTATCAATTGTCAAAATTTCAAAACTCTGCATTGAGCTATAAGAAACAGACCTGCATTAAGCAAGTCTCCAGCAAGGATCTGAATGCAAGTCACTTATTTGGGAGGTGACCCCAGGAAGCATTGTTGCATGATCCCACTGGAAAAGTCTAGGAGCCAGAGTAGGTCATGTGATTCAGAATTAGCCCACCTGGTGGGGAGAGCTACACCACCTCACCTACTCTCCATCATTGCTGGAGGGCTGCTGGATAGGGGGAGGTTGCCCCTCTAGCACTTGCAGCCTACTTTTTGGGCAGGCAAAATAAGCTCTGGCAGCTGAAGGAAGTACTTAGGTACTAACAGGCAGACACTAGCAGTTGGAAGTCAGGCACGGGGGCACTGGCAGCCTCTGTAAGTCCTCTGAGCTCTCCTCCCCCGCGCCTTCACCCACTGTAGTCTTCAGAGAGCCTTGCTTCCATAACAGAACAGGACTGGGCTCATTTTGGGCCCACTCAGAGCCGGGAGCCTGGGAGGGTTAGGCACTGACGAATGGGCTGCTGCTGGCCCCTTACAGCCCTGTGTGGTGTGGGCTGTGTTAACCAGCACACGAGGCCTAGGCCACTCAGCACAATAGCTTTTTCAACATACTGTCAGGGGTGCCCTCCAACCAAACCCATGTTCCTGAAGCCGAAGTCAGCCTCAGCTCCTTCCTTAGCATAGCTTTCTAGATTTGGGAACATTGTTGGTGTCTCTTTAAGTCTCCAACAACAGTCCCCACTGACTACACTGGGCCTGCCCATTAGGTTGTAGCCAGGACTGATCTGTTGGTCCGCTCACATGTGCTTTGTGTGGGTTTGAGCTTCGTTCAGCAGATTCCCAACACAAGGAGGTCGCGCACACTGATGGAGAAGTAGTGCATGCAGTTGAGGCTGCACTTACAAGAGGTTCAGAGTGGTGGCTGTTTTCCAGTTTCCAGCTCCCAGTGCTCTTGTGTTTGTAGGACTGTGACACAAAGATGGCGCTCAAAGTCTTAGGATGAGGGTGTGGTCTCCAGGAAATAAGGAGAACCATGCTTCTTTTATTTCAGCCTCTGTAGCCTCCAGACAAAGCATCATTGTTTTTTAATTAATCAATCAATCAGCCAAGTAACAAATGTTAATTAGGGAGCCCCTTTGCCAAGCAAAGTGGCAGATGCTGAAGAAAATGCACAGATGTTGGAAAGGGTTCTTGCCTTTGGCAAATTTGCAGTCTAGATGAAGAGACAAAATTTATAATGTGTGACTCTAAGGTAGTGTGACTTAATTTTTAAAACAAACATGCCAGAATTTTTCATGGCTGATTTTCCCTCATATGTTCCTACATTAAATATTATCATTTCCAGTTATGTAATGTTTATATTATAGTTACACAGCTTTGCACTGTGACATGTTTGTGGTAAGTACAGTGGACAGCAGAAATGTAAAAATGAGATGATTTTTCCCAGCCACCACACAACCAGAGGGTATCCTCCTTGATCACTACATAGGGAGGCAACATTTTAATTGCATGTACACAGAGTCTAAAGACAAGGTTAGACAAAATGCTGATGGTGCTAAACTACAAACAGAGCATGGAGGCAAATTTATTTCACCATTGTTGGATGCTATATCTTGATCTTGTATAGAACAGAGGATTTTATTCTTCCAAAAGCCTAATTTATGAGGATTCTTTCTGTATACAGAGGGGAGCTGACTTCTAGAGACACAAAGTATTCATGTGAGCTAAGTAATATATATATATATATTTTCTTTTAGCCTCACATGACTGTACTGGGTAAACCTTACTCTCCTCCCCTTGAGAGGAGACTGTGGCTCCAAGAGCTTAGGAAGTTGCCCAACATCGCACACCCAGAAGTCAAGGCAGGTTTGAATGCTGGTCGCTGGGACACCATGGTCATATAATCTACTGCCTTCACCTAGTGAGATGTCTCCAGTCAGCTAGGGCTGCCATTCGTATAGGCCTCTCTCTTATTTAGTTGAAAAGAAGAACCATGTCAAAAGCCTCATCAGGATTTTGCTCCCAGGAGAATCACAGAGGATGCCTGGCCGGGGCTGGGCTGGGGCCCTGGCGGGGGCCACCATCATACTTGCTCTCTTTCCCCAGACACGGGGGCCGAAGTGACATTATTATTGGAGAGTAACAGCCAAATCTGTGCTATCAATGTAGATTCAAAAATCCAAATGCAATTCTTGGCATGAGAGATCGAGAGCAGGGGAAAGGATGAGAGAAGTCTAATGAAAGAGCCAGCGCTGTGTCAATTCCACTTAGGAAGAATCCAGAGAAGTCCTTTCTTGTGTCTGCATTGTCATCTGCTCTCCTCCTGCTGTGCCGGCTTTCTTTTCCACTACCCCTTCCCCTCAGTATGCATCTCCACTTCTTTCTCCTCTTTTGTTCAGTTTAGCAGGAAAGATCTTTGGAGCAGAAGGAATAGGAGCCTTTAGCAAGCTCAGATATCAAATAATTTTTCACCTCCCTGTAATTGAAATCACAAGATCAGGATTTTCTTCCCTCCAGCCGGCTCCTCTCTTGTTCTCCAGGATCACAGGTGGAGCCGGGCGAGGGTGCTATTGACTTCCCCACTGCTTGTCATGTGGCGGACGGATGCACCAGCCAGGAAGGGATCTGACTCTCAGATGAATTCTTTTATCCTCAAAGGGGCTTCCTGCAAAGGAAACCATTAGTGTTTTGCTATTGGGTTTCTACTCCCCATGGTGTCTAAGAAACCATTCATTTAATTTTGTGACATTTTGAGTGGATTTGGAGAGCTAAGCCCATTTGAAAAGCCCTGTTCCTGTCGAGGAGCACAGAAGGAATGCAAATAGAGTCCAAATGGCCAAACCACCAGCAGCTGATTGTGGCCAGCCTGGCCCTGGGGGATTTCTGCACCTCTCTTCTGCCTTCCGGACATACATCATGGGCTCCTGAGTCCATTCAGCAAGACTGAACCCAGCCCCTTGCTTGTCATGCCAGGATGGACTCCAGAACACAAGAAAACCAGCTTCAAGTTCAGCAGCAGAGACACCGTAAAAAATTAAGTCTCATGTTGTAAAGAGAGCCATGCTATATATGTTCCTTCCTAAGCGCTTTCTGGTGGATGGAGGGAAGGAAGGTGTCAAGGTGGTTGGGAGCAAGTGCTCTGGGGTCGGCAAGTCTGGCTGGAGGGTCAGCTCTTTCCCGCCCTGGCTGTGTGACCTGGGCAAGGTCACAGCCATGCTGTTGAAAAATGCAGGGGTTGCCTGCCCTGAGGGGTTGTTCTGAGGCCACAGATGAGATAGCTTATTAACACGTTTAGCACAGTGCTGGTACATAGTAAAACCACAGTCCATGTTAGGTGTCACAGATACTGTTTCCAAGATTGCTCTTACTTTTCTGCTAGTTGTTGACAACAATTTGTCCCATGTCCCTTCTTTTCCTAGACCAGCACTGTCCAATAAAAATGTAATGCAAGCCACATATTTAATTGCAAGTTCTCTAGTAGCCACATTAAAAAGTAAGAAAAAACAGGCAAAATTAATTTTAACAATATATTTAAAGTTCCCAAAGAAAAATATTATCATTTCAGTATGTAATCCATATAAAAATTATTAATGAGATACTTTACTTTCTTTTTTTTCTTCTAGGCCTTTGGAATCAGCATGTACTTACACACACAAAGCATCTTGATTCAGATGAGCCATATTTTGACTCCTTAGTAGCCACAGGAAGGTAGTGGCTCTGCTATTGGACAGCACTGACCTGGGCTTTGGAGCCAATAGAACAGGAAATATATCTCCCTTGACAATTGTAAAAAAAGAAAATCTCATGCAAAACCACTAAATTCTTTGATGATCTCATTTTTTATTACAGGTTTTGTTTCTTTTTGAGTCAATCTTTTCCTAGATATTAGTCTATTCCATTGAGATTTTCAAATTATGTATTTAATATTTGACAATTTATTCTTCTTTGATCTAAAAACTCTCATGCTTGTGGTTATGTCCTATTTTCCATTCCTAATTTCATGAGACTAAGAGATGTTATGGCTATACACTGTAACAATATGTTACTGAAGGAAATATACACAAGTCTCTTTTGGGGGCACTAATTATGAATCTATTTTAACACAGCCTGGGAAGTGTCCTTTGTGTTTGGAAACAGAATGCTACAGTAGGTAGCTAGTCAGGCATGAACAGGGCAGGGGAGGGTTCCCCACTACCTCACCACCCCAACCAGGAGTGTTGGGTGACCATCAGGTGATGGTCAGGCCGTTGCTAACTGTCTCTCTAAAGTAATAATTGGTCACAGCCAGCGCCAGGGGAAGGCAGGCTCCTAATAGATAGAAAACACCTGAAACTGGTGATCAGCAGCTTACTGATAAGATCTCAGGAGTTGGAAGAACTAGGGCAAGACTCCGGAAGTATGCCAACATATAAAACCCCAAGTAAAGAAGTCAAAATGCACACTTGTCTTTCAAGTCACCAGCTTGGCCCTCTTCCAAGTATACTTTTCTTTCTTTCATTCCTGCTCTAAACCTTTTTTTTTTTTGGAGATGGAGTCTCGCTCTGTCGCCCAGGCTGGAGTGCAATGGCATGATCTTGGCTCACTGCAACCTTGGCCTCCTGGGTTCAAGCAATTCTCCTGCCTCAGCCTCCCAAGTAGCTGGGACTACAGGCGCGTGCCACCACACCCGGCTAGTTTTTTTTTTTTTTTGTATTTTGGTAGAGATGGGGATTCACCATGTTGCCCAGGCTGGTCTTGAACTCCTGAGCTCACGCAATCCGCCCGCCTCGGCCGCCCAAAGTGCTAGGATTACAGGTGTGCGCCACCGTGCCTGGCCTCTAAAGCTTTTTAATAAACTTTCACTCCTGCTCTAAAATATGCCATGGTCTCTCCTTCTGCCTTATGCTCCTCAGACAAATTCTTTCTTCTGAGGAGGCAAGAATTGAGGTTGCCCAGCAGACCTGTAGGGATACTGATATTCTCCATCAGTAATGGGAAGGTCATTGCTGACCCTGGTGAGAGCAGATTTGGAGGCAGAACAGAGACAGAAGCCACATGACAATGGGTTGGAGAAAGCAAGGAAACCAAGGATGTGGAAATACAGACTATTCTGAAAAGAGGCCGCAAAGAGAAGAAATGTATGGGTAGGTAGAGGCAAGAGGCAGTGTATTAGTCCATTTTCACACTGCTGATAAAGACATAGCCAAGACTGGACAATTACAAAAGAAAGAGGTTTAACTGGATTTACAGTTCCACCTGGCTGGGGAAGCCTCACAATCATGGCAGAAGGCAAGGAGGAGCAAGTCACGTCCTACATGGATGGCAGCAGGCAAAGAGAGAACTTGTGTGGAAGGCTCCTGTTTTTCAAAACTATCAGATCTCATGAGACTTATTCACCATCATGAGAACAGCATGGGAAAGACCTGCCCCCATGATTCAATTAGTTCCCACTGGGTCCCTCCCACAACATGTGGGAATTCAAGATGAGATTTGGGGATATAACCAAACCATATCAGGCAGAGCTCAAGATTAAGAAGAGACCAACTATTGAGTAGGTGAGCTGGTACCTATACTGATCCCTGTCCACCCAGGTATATGCTCTTACAGAAAAACCTACCTAACCCCAGACCAAGGAGATAACCCCTGACATAAGCTTACATAACAGTGTGTTCTTCTCTTTTGCAGTTTTCAAATATTTCCAGTGACATACTTCTTTTGTATTCATTATGTATTGTCTCTTTCCTTCACTAGACCCAAAGTTCCATGAAGAGAGGGATCATGCCAATATGTTTTCTCAAGCCTGTTCTAGCAGCTGGCACCTAGTAGGCTCCCAGTAAATATTTCTTGCGTGAAGAGATGCAAAGATGCATTTCAGCTTTGATTTTGTGTTAGAAAGGAGATAACTGTAGGGTGTGGGGATATTACCAGCAGCTAGGAAGAGGTTGAAAGTATAAAAAAGACAGTATAATTATAACAAGATCCTTCACAAAATGGGACTAAATGGGTCTAAGAACAAATATAAAAGGCTAATTATGGAGGAGGAGGAAGAAAAGAGACACCTATTATATCTTTTGCAGAACATTACAATATTGGTAAGTGGGTTTGTAGACAGAAATTTAGGGCCATCATTTCCTGATAACCCTAACCATCCTGGTAAGGTGAGATGGAAGCTGATGTTTTGAGAGGGAGCCAAGGGAAGTAGTGAGGGCTTGGGACAGCAGTCACTGAAGGGAAGGCAGAAAAGGAAAGAAAACATAAGGACAAGTAAAAGGACCAGCGACGGGCCTCGGGGTTCAGCAAAAGCTGGAAAGCATCGGTGGTGTGGTCTCCAGCCCCTCAGCAGCCCTGTTAGAAGGGCAAGTGGGTTATGGAAATATTCTGGGCAAGGTTTCAGAGGGTCAAGGCAAGGGTGTATTAGTCAGTTCTCACGCTGTGATGAAGAAGTACCAGAGACTGGATAATTTATAAAGGAAAGAGTTTTAATTGACTCATAGTTCCGCATGGCTAGAGAGGCCTCAGGAAACTTACAATCATGGTGAAGGGCAAAGGAGAAACATGCACCCTCTTCACAGGGTTGTAGGACACAGTGAGTGCAAGCAGGGAAAATGCCCTATGCTTATAAAACCACCAGATCTCGTGGGACCCACTTATCACAAGAACAACATGGGGGAACCACCCCATGATTCAATTACCTCCACCTGGCCCCACCCTTGGCATGTGGGGATTACATTTCAAGGTGAGATTTGAGTGAGGACACAAAGCCAAACCATATCAAAGGGGAAGGCTAAGGGAGTGAAGATGTTGACTCAGGAGCTGCTGAGAGGATTGATTTAGGGGATATCTCTGGCGTGAGGACTGAGCAGGTAAGAAAGTGCCACTAGGAGGCTGCTGGTCACAGGAAGCATCATGGAAGAGGAGGTTGTGGGTTCGAGAGCTGGAGATCAGAGTTTACCTTTTCAGAGGTGGGGTTATTCCAGGTGAAGGCTGGGTCCACGTGGTAGGTGGCTGAGCCCATGGAAGTGAGGATGGGGTTTAGAATGGTTATCACCCCAGCCATTGGTGCCCCTGGCAAGCCTTAGACCATGCACTGGAGAATAAGACTTGGTTTCATGTCTTGATCACCATGGCAGTGGGGAAGGGGCAGTTGATATTCAACAGAAACAAGAAGGGCTGGAGCCAGAGGGAAGGATCAACCTCGACAAGGAGAGGGATGCCTGAGGATGAAGAGCAGGTAGAGTGGCAGGCACTTTGACAAACCAGGGGACTGCAGGACATTTGGAGCTAATGTCTGGAAAGTCATGAAAACTCTTTCAGGAGCCCTCTGAAGCACCTTCTCTGAGTGGTGGTTCTCAGATTGAGATCTGCTGCATTCCTTTCAGCCATGCCTTCTCAGCCACTCAAAAACCATCCCTCTGTCTCTCCCATGCCTCAAACAACAGGAAGCTCTACTGAGACTTATAAGCCCAGAGAGCCTCTGAGTTTGATTAGGGACTAGAGATTCTCAGAGCCCATGAACTAAGATGTTGAATGGAAACATGGAAAAAAATAGTCAGAACTACCTTTTTGAAGTTGCTGCCAAAAATCAACGTGCTAAAAGCTTTATAGTAAAAATGCCCACATCATTTCTCCATCTGAGGCATGTTTGTGCAAATAAAAATCAGTTTGTTCTCATTACAGCTCTAGGGAGCCATTACTTATCTTGGATTTTCTGTTAATAAGCTCATGAAGTTCAAGATCATAAAATGCACCCAAGTGACTTAGAAAACATTATGAGTCTGAATTTCTCCTTGTCCCTTATTTTCCCCATGAACATTTCTGAGCGATATTTTGTCCTTAGTCTCACTAACTGTCTGTCAATTTCCCATCCATGACCCCAGATCACATGCCTCACATGATTCAGGTGTCAGTGCCCAGGCAAGTGTACAGAAGTCTGCAGTAAAATTGGTGCCTGTCCTTCTATTATCTGCTCACTTGTTGGGAAAGTAAGAGAACTTTGCAAGCTTAGCAAATGATAAGGCTTACCTGAGAGTGATAAAAATCTTAAGGAAAAAAACTATTTGGGATATAGACTAAAATATCTTCAGGTTGATCAGATAGGCACCATAGGCTTGGACAGCCTGTCAGCCAATGACTGGGAGATATGAAAGATCCCAAAGTAACTTTGGAGGAGAACTGAGGGACTTGATGGACACAATCTGCTTTCTCTGAAGGAGCTGGTTTCAGGACTGCAGGCCCATTTCTCCAGGAAGCGTACCATTCCTCTGACTGTTTCATGAATACAAGAGAAGGAAGTGGTCCACTGGGAGGCTTCAGGAACCTGAGATGTGGTCTGGCCCTGCCATTACTTAGCAACTATCTTGACATTCTGGCCCTAACTTGCCCATATGGAAAATGGTGCTGGTAGTCAAAATTGATGCTTTCAAACTGTGTTCCAGTTGGAAAGCTGAGGGGTGTCTCAGCACATCTCATGGCTCTTGCTCTCATGTCCTTGGCTTTCAGATTCTTGACCTCATGGCACCAGCTTTGATGTCTGTCTTTGGGGACTCATTGGAATCTCCACCTCGGTTTTTTGGACCTTGCCTCACCACCACTCAGCTCTTGCCTGTGCTTATTCTCTCAACATGAGGATCCCTACCGGAAACTGGATCCCACTTCATTTTACAAACAACCCCTGAATCTGTACAGGGGTAACCAGCTGGGAACTGGGCCCTACCCCAGGCATCACCTTGCCCCTAGCAGATGTCCCCGTCTAATGCCACACCATGTCATATTCCAGAGCATCTCTGGGCCAAGTCCCAGTGCCTGGCTGGGTTCACATGGGCCTCAGTTGAGAACTGTATGATGACCTAGATCCAGGACCCAAGCCTTCTGACATCTCAGTGCTAACAATCATATTTCAGTCAGGAGGTGTGCTTTGAATCTCTTTCTCTCAAGACTGCCATGTATGGTTGTGCATTGCACACCTGTGTGGGACACTTTCCAAGATCTATGATGCAAAAAGTGTCCCTGCAATCCCCGTGGGGCATAACCTTGCATGGCCATACATGGCAGACTGCCCATTCTTACTTCTGGAACAGATTGCTCCCAAGGCTGTTGGAAAAAGAACCCAGATTTATTAGGAAGACATAATTGGATATGTAGGAGCTGGGCCTTCTTGATGGCTTATAGGCACTACCTTAAATGATCCAGTATGTTGTGACAACATGATTTGATTACTAATCCTTGAATTCAGCTACTGCCAGGTGAGATGGGCCATGTCCTTCAAATGGTTTAACTCTGACACCATCAATTGACATCCTAGGCCACTGGGCAGAAGATTCATAACATGGCTCAGAATACCAAAGAGACACTCAGAGCCCTAAGAAACCCTCTGGACTGAGATGCTTTCAGCCTTTCAGACCGTATAACAGCTGATGGCAATAATCCATGGGGAGCAGCTGACACATGGTAACTCACAACAGATCCTGGCTGAGATCCATCGAGTGGCAGAAAGTATGGAGAGCTGGCTGTCCAGAAAAGAAGGCTCCATCTCCCAGGAGGAGATACTGGTACCCAAGGACTGTGGCAGTGCCTCAATACTACCCACATTCCAAGTTTCTTAACCTGGGCCATGGAAGTTCTACCAGCCCTACATCAGACATGGCACCTTCCAGTTCTGATTTCTCCATGACCCACAGGAGGGTAGAGATATTCATCTGTTTGTACATTGACCTGTTCCAAGGCCTGGTACAAAGCAGGTGCTCAATAAGTATTTGTTGAATGAATGAATGAATGCTCAGCTATAAGTCAATGATGGACCCTGGGCTCCTGAAGAATTTATGCATCTATTTCTGATGTCTGAAAATGTCCTAAGATCCCTAGGACACAATGTGCACTCTTGGGGAGCTGACCTCTCCCATAACCAAGACAATCTCAATCTGTCCTCAACACTGGTCTTGCACTTGCACCAAATTTAACTCCTCTGTTCATTACAGAGATCAGAGTCCATAGACAATTCAATCCCTTTATCTATAACCAGGACCACCTACTTCCACAATTCTATTTCTGGTTTTGGAAAACATTATCCAGAGCTGTCCATTTCTGACCTCAGTGTTCCACTTCCTGGTGCCACATGGAGTCCATCAACAGGTCTATTGATTACCCCCAACAGAAACACAGCACCAGATGAGTCCTTGAGCACTGAAGACATAGTCCACAGAAATTCATTCCTTATCTCTGGGCAATAACTTTGGGAATAAAGGTTCCCAAAGTTATTTAGGCCCTAATCCCTGGAGACAGTGAATATTTCTTTACTTGGCCAAAGGGGATTTGCAGATATGTTTAGGTTAAATCTCTGGAGATGAGGTTATTCTGGATTATCTCGGTAAACCCAATATAAACACAACTGTTTTTATAAGATGAAAACAGAGGGAGATTAGGCTAAGTAGAGGAGAAGGCAATATAAAGACAGAAGTAGAGATAGGTGGGATGCAGCCACAAGCCAAAGAATGTTAGCAGCTAACAAAAGTTGGAAGAGGCAAGGAACAGATTTTCCCTTAGGGCTTCCAGAAGGAACCAGCCCTTCCTGCACCTTGGTTTTTGCCCCATAAGACTCCTTTTGGACTTCCTGTCTCTAGAACTGTAAAAGAATACATTTATGTTGTTTTAAACCACTAAGTTTATGGCAATTTGTTATAATGGCAATGGGAAATGAATGTAGCCTTGATGTAAACAGCTCCTTTCCAGTTGATGACAGGTTCGTCATAGCACCTCTGGGCACCATAGTCATCCAATCAGCCATCTGGCTCCTAGAGAGACAACAACCTGCTCAAAAGAATTATAAATAGTTTCTGGCCTGTCCAGCAGAAACATCACTCATAGCAAAGCAGAAGCTAAAAGGGCCCAGCCAGAAGTCCATCTCCTGTAAACTCTACCATTCAGTAAAACTCTGGACACCAATCAGGTTTCCGACAGACCTGCCAGCCTCCAGCCTGCGTGGAACTTGATGACATCTATCACAGGGATGGATGTATGTACCTACCAGTGGCTTGACAATGAAGAATTATCTGGCCAAAACAATCCATGCTTTTAGTGTCCTGTGGCCGCTTCCTTCCCTCTCCTCATGATTTTGAAGACTTTTGCTGTTTACTAGCATCTCTCATGTGAGGTAAAGACAGAAAATAAGATTCAATAGGTTCTTCTGGTTCACACTGACAATTGTGATATTTGTTATGCTTTATATGATCCTTATTTCTTTTTAACTTAGTTGAAGTCCTACTGAAAAAGGTAAATTTTCTTTTTAGTTAATAAGAGAATAGATCTGATCAATATTTAACCATGATAAAAAGGTTCTGAACTTTTTATGTAGGTGCAACAAATTGAACTCCAACTCTGTTAGGCTCTGTGCTGGATGCTTTGAATACGTCACCTCATTTAATAGTCTCAAGGACCCTATGAATGAGTACGTGGTTAATTTTAGTAGTCAACTGGATTAAGGAATACCTAGGAACCTAGGAACCTGGTAAAGCATTATTTTTGGATGTGTCTGTGAGGGTGTTTCCAGAGGGGATTAGCATGTAAGTATGGGTGGACTAGTTGGGGAAGGCCCACCCCCAATGTGGGTCGGCACTATGCAATCTGCGGGAGGCCCGGAAAGAACAAAAACAGAGAAAAGGCAAATATGTGAAGACATCTGCTGAGGCTGAGCCACACTCTTTTGCTCCTTTCCTTGGACAACAACTTCAGGTTCCTCAGCCTTTGGACTCTAAGACTTATACCAGTGGTCCCAGGGTTCTCAGGCCTGCAGCTAGGGACTGAGAGCTGCACTATTGGCTTCCCTGGTTCTGAAGCCTTCAGACTTGGACTGAGCTATGTTACCAGTATCCCAGGGTCTCCAGCTTGTGAGTGGCCTGTCTTGGGACTTATCAGCCTCCATAATCAAGTGAGCTAATTTGCCTAATAAATCTTCTATCTATCTCTGTATCTCTGTATCTATGTATCTATCTACCCATCCATACATCCTATGATTCTGTCTGTCTGGAAAACCCCAACTGATACAGAGTATTTTAAGATGGAATAAACTGAATCTCAGGGACTCGAAGTAACTTGCCAAAGCCTGCCCACAGCTAGTAAGAGGTAGATCCAGAGAGTGCATTTGGTTGTTTGCAAAGCCTCTGCTCATTCCTCATTATCCCTGTGGCTAAGAAATTGCCTAATTACCTGTAGTTGCCCAGGAGGCTCTATTCAAACTCAGACAGTCTCCTAGGCAGAATGACCTTTGTGCTTTGTGCAATTCTGAAGTTCCTGTGATGGCCATTTTGGCTTGGAACTTGCCAAGGATTCTCAGGAATAATTTTGACATGGGAAAACATAGTTAATGGCACCCTAGAAGAGTGTGGAGTTTTGGGTTATAACATTATTGTTTATCCTATCCCTCACTCCAGCAGAAATTTTAGGCTGGAGAATTTGATGGTCCTGTGGCAGGATAGACTCTCATGGGTATACATCGATTCAGAACCCCAGAAAAGGCAGCTGTGGTTGCATAGTTCATGTCCGCCATCTTGCTGCCGTGTCTTCCCCTAGGCAGAGCACCTGCTCATAAAGTAAAGTCTAGGAGCTTGGCTATGATAGTCCAAGGGAGTCTATACTTTGCCAGTACATTTAAGATGATGAAGGCAAGGATGTGCGAGATGACCTCTAACATTCTTTTTGCACACTGATTCAAGTTTCTTGCCATTTGATGAGTGACAGTCTGACTGCCTCTCTCACCTTCCTTTCTGTATTGAGGTAGGTGAGATTTGAGAATGTTGAGAAGGTCCAGCCTTCTCAAATGTGCCCAGTCAGGTGGGACAGACATGCTGTTTCTAATCTGGGTGTTTTAATGTTTAAAAAAATGTACAAGTGTTTCCTTAAACATTATACCATTCAACAGGAATTTAGTAGTAATTCTTTCATATCATTCAGGATTTGAATGTATCAAAGTATATATTTGTTTGAAATCCACTGAGCGATGGTCCCCAGTTATTTGTGTATTGCATTAGTTCTGTGACTGCTGCTGTGTAATAAAAAGAATGCTATTATCAAAATATTTGAGGATGTGGTATTTTCTGGATCCTTTTGGAGATTAACAATGACATAGTCAGAGTTCACAAATTCTACACTTGAGAAGCTTTTTTACGCTTTAATGTTTTCAAGCCTATATGGCCAAGGAATCCATTTTCATGTATAACTATCTATTCACATCCCTCTGTTTTCCAACACACTCTTTGGGAAAGGCTGGGAAATGAGCAACTCATAGGAACAGAAGCCTAGTGATCCCAAAGTCACTGCATGCTGGTCTTGGCTGGGTCCAAGACACATAAAGAAAGCAGACCTTGGCAACCATGCCAGTGTTTAATCCGCAAACTCAGCCCTCCTGCATTATAGTGTGCATTACATGGCTGGACTCTCCACAAAGGTGACTGCCAGGCTGTGCTCCTTTTTAACTCCATAGAGTTTTAATAGAGGGAATAGAATGTCTTTCAGTTTTTGGTACCCAGACTTCACCATCTATAAAATGGGACCTACACTCATGTTTTTTCAGAGGCAGAGTGAATATTAGGTGAAAGGCACTATGAAATCTCAGATAGTGGGGCATTATCTTATCGCTGAGTACAACTCTTAGAGGTAATGACCGCTATTAGTACTGCAAAGGAGGTAAAGCTCATTTAATGCAAAGAAAAGTGATGCTATTTTGAACAACGTTCACACAAGGATACTTCACATATGAATTTAGCTCAAAGTTAGAGTGATAAAGATGGAGACAATAAAATAATTCTACCAGTACGCTGAAAGACCCTGTGCTTGTGCTCATGTTTTATAGAAAGGTGCAGGAATAATAATTTGTTCCCTTTCAGATAGGAGGGTTAATTATTCCCCCATCTCAACCTAAACAAGTTTTTTCTCTTGTTGGGATTAGGATGGATTTAGTCTGCCTTCTGGCACACTTTAAAAATGGATATGGTGCTTATATTACTGCCTAATGAGATTGATATTCAGGAATGTGCAAGATTCTAAATCCACCCAAAACATTGTATCTCCAGAGTACTTAGCTTACCCACAGGAAACATAGAGAAGCTCTTATTCACCCATTTTGCTCAATTATGTCCTGCCTAGTACCAAAAAGAATTAATAGTAGTTTGTAGTAAAATATGAAAAATATTTAAAACAAATTTAAGATTAAGAGAAAATAAGGCAGAAAAAAAAAAGACCAGGCCAGAAATTATGTTAGGAAAAGCAATTTCCATGCAATTCACTACAGTTATAGTTAAAATCCAGAGAGGAGTTTGTGGAAATTGACAACCTGAGTCTAAAAACTTCATTGGACAGTGAAGGGCCACAAATCGCCAAAACAACTTTTTTGAAGAAGAACATCATGAGGGAAGTGTTTGCCCTATTGGATATGACATCTTAGGAAGCTGGAGAGCTTTGTGTAGCATAATGTCAGTGCAGAGCTGGAGAAGTAGGTCACAAATGCACATATTTATGCATGGAAACCTGATCCGTGGCCGAGCTAGCCTTACAAAATGATGGGGAAAAATGCACTGCTTAATAAATACAGCAAGATCAGCTCTCTGTCTTAATGCCCTCAAATCAATTCTGGCTGGAATGTTGACCTAAAGATGACTGAGGAACTGTATGATGCTTGGGAAAAAAATGATAGGAGAATATCTTTATGGTATTAGCTTAGGAGAGGGCATCTCAGACAAAGACAAACAAAAATGTGAAAACGAAAAAATTACAAATGTAACTACATTAAGATCACAAGTTTTGTAGAAAGAAAGGAAGAGAGAAAGAAAGAAGGAAAGAAAGAAGAAAGAAAGAAAGAGGGAGGGAGGGAGGGAGGAAGGAAGGAAGGAAATGAGGGAGGAGGAAACAAGAAAAGAGGGAAGAAAGGAGGAGGGAAGGAGAAATAGACATGGTACTGAGTAGGAGAAAATGTTTCAAAATCTACCCCCAAAACAGATAAACGACAATAATATACAATAAATCATAAATTGTAAGTAGATAGATAATTTATTTATAATATATAAGTTAATAGGAAAAATAAACCTCAAAAAATTGAAACAAGGAAAGAATGAACAAGAGATTTATAGAAGAGGAATCCAAACATCTGAAAAATGCTCAAACTCATTAACGGTGATAGAAATGCACATTAAAACTATAGTAATATACTATGTCACAGCAGATTGGGGAAAACGAGTGAACTAAATACTCTAAATGTTAGAAAAAACGTGGAGAAATAGGAGCTGTCATATCCTGGTGGTGGAATTTAGTGCAATTACTTTGGTGATGGTTATTAAAGGTGAGGATGTGCATAGCCCATGACTGAGCCATTTAACTTTTACGTATGTTTCCTGGAGAAACTTTTGCATATGTGCATATGGAGACACATATAATCAGGTTTCCTGCATAATGTTTATGATAGTAAAATAAATTGATAAAACTTAAAAGTCCATCAATAGGAATATGCATAAATATATATTTTTGTATATTTATACAGTGAAATACTATATACCAGTTTAAAAGACAAAATGAGAGCCACAACAATCAGAATAAATCTCATAAACATAATGTTGAGAGAAAAGTAAGTTTTACAAACATTGACAAATAGGATGCTATTGATTGTTAGTTTAAAAAATAGCACAATAGCACTATGTATATATTATATATACACAAATATATGATAAATTGATCAAAAGGTGCCTAAGAAAGAGAAACATTAAATTAATGATAGTGATTTATGCTGAGGAATGAAAAAGGAAATGTGACAAGGATAGCTACATGAGGATCTCAACTTTATCTGCAATTTTTATTTTATGTAAAAAAATTCCGAAGCCACAAGCAATTCAATAAAAAAGATATGCAAAATATATCAGCGAGTGCTTTATAGAAAAGAAAACATAGATGGCCAATAAAATGATGAAATATTCCACCTCATTAGTAACCATGGAAATTAGAATCAAGGCCAGAATGAAATGTCATTTTTCACCTATTTTATTGGGAAAAATTAAGGAATCTGACTAACCATGTATTAGAGTGTATGGACCAACTGGTGGGAGTGAAAATTGGGACGACCGCTTTGGAAAATGTCTTGGCAGTCTATTAGGAAGGTAGTTATTCATATATCCTATGGCCCAGAAACTCCACTATAAGAAGTACACCCAGGACAATCTCTTGCACAGCACACCAAAAGATACCTATGAGCATGTTCACCAGTAGTTTATCTAATGGTAAAAATGGCAAACAACCCCAAATCATGCAAAATTGAGGCAAGTCTTCACAACAGAACAAGCCAGCATTGAGTGGACCAGAGACATATAACACGCAGTTGAATTTTAGTAATGTAATATTGAGTCCCTGGAACGCGTGTTAGACGACTTCGTGTAACATGATACGCTTTTAATGAAGGTCAAAACAAGTAAAATAATGTATCGGTTGAAAACAACATATTGACTATATATATATATATTATATATATATCATATATATGATATTTTTTATATGTGGTATATATATAATAAAATGTTTTTTAAAAACCAAGAAAGTGACAAACACAAAAATCAGGATAGTGTTTGTCCCGAAGGGGTAGGCAGGAACACAAGATAGGGTGAAGCCTAGTTATTGTTAATGTGTTAAGTTTTTGGATTGCATTGTGGATTCAGGAGTACTCATATTATTCAAAATAAAAAAATGACTACATGAATAAAGTAATCTATAACTAATTGAAAGCCATGAAAGAGCCGAGGATCATATTGTGTCAAGAACCAAGAACTCTGATTAATCTGATTTTGTGCATCTGGAGTTCAATAAAAATAAATTTAAAAAACAGTTAACAGAGACCAATGTTATTTTGATAAAGCAGGCTGGTGGGTGCTGAAGTTTCTTTATAGTTGTCTGTAAGAAAATACCTTACGATTTAAAAAAATAAAAATTCAAGCACATCATACAATCTTTTCCAAAGGTTCCTTTATGTTCTTATTTTTTGTGTGTGTGATATAAACAAAGCCATCTTACGGAAATAAAGAGACAGTCAGATGGGGGGGCCCAGAAAATCTCCAACAGACTTGCGCCCTCGGAGCAATGAGCACTGGGGTGGAGCTACGGCAGTTCCCGCAGTTTGCAATGAGGAGGAGTCTGGCCCCTCCTCTTCCTGTCTGTAGCGTGGGATTCAAGCGGTGAGGCAGGAAGCGCTCTAGCAGAGAACTCTGGCCTCGCGGAGAGTCTCTGTGTCCCCCTTTTCTTCCTTTTCACTCAAACCCTTCTTTACTCTTCAAACCATCTGTAAGCCTAAATTTTTTTTTTTTTTTTTTTTTTTTTTTTTTTTTTGAGACGGAGTCTCGCTCTGTCGCCCAGGCCGGACTGCGGACCGCAGTGGCGCAATCTCGGCTCACTGCAAGCTCTGCTTCCCGGGTTCACGCCATTCTCCTGCCTCAGCCTCCCGAGTAGCTGGGACTACAGGCGCCCGCCACCGCGCCCGGCTAATTTTTTGTATTTTTAGTAGAGACGGGGTTTCACCTTGTTAGCCAGGATGGTCTCGATCTCCTGACCTCGTGATCCACCCGCCTCGGCCTCCCAAAGTGCTGGGATTACAGGCGTGAGCCACCGCGCCCAGCCTGTAAGCCTAAATTTTTGTGGCTGTGGGATGGACAAGGACCCAGTCTTTAGCTGAACTAAGGAAAAGTCCTGCAACAATAAATTTCAGAAGTTTGATCTTAACAGGTACAGAAGTTTAATGCTTTCATAAGATAATAAAATTCATCAGCATTAATGGTATTCATTGCAATCACATGGCTACCTGGAGATTAAGCAAGGATACATAGTAACTAGATCAATTCAGTTCCATTCAATTACAGAAGAATTGAGAGTTCTTTATGTGCGAGGCACTGTGCTAACTTCTTGGGGTACAAAGGCAAATGTGTCCTGTACAGATAGTTCATGGTTTCCTGGCGTTTACTATCACACAGTAGCCTCACGAGCTTTTTGTTTCTCTTTGTTATTTCTTCCCTATCTGTAGATAACATGTATGTTGACAGTGTTCTTGGTATCATGTGCAGGTGGCCATAGGACATAACACATTTGTGTCCCCACACACATACATCCACTTTCTTATTCGATAACATTATTCAAACATTTGCTGAAGTGCTAAGTATCAGACATGGTTGCATACATAGTTAGTTGATTTTGTGCAAAAGGCAAAAGTACTGATGTGAATATATTGCACATTATTTGTTTAATTCCACTGGCGATGCAGATTGAAAATTCTTTCATATTCCTTCTGGGGAGTTCTGCTTACTTTGATGACCTCAGAGCATATGCTGAACTATGGACCTATATTTCTGAATTTTTTTCTCTAACTATACTCAATATGGCTGTGAATGAGCTTTATGTCAATTCACATTGTTAGGCTGCAAAGAACAGAAACCCATTTATGCTACCTTTAGTAATGAGATTATCTTAGGGATACAGAGGAGGAAATGGAATCTCAGAGGAAGAAGTATTTGGAACCAGGCCATGCAGAGAAGAGAGCTGGATGGTGATGGTGTAAGCCAGGTGTCTGGAGGGCCGGGTAATCCTTTTGCTGTCTTATTGCTTTCTGTGGTTGTTGCTGTAATGGCGTCAGAAGTAACCTCTGTCATTATTGAGGAACTCCTGGCAATTATCCTTCCACATGCACTTGTTGCTAAGATTAAATGAGTCAAGAGAGATAAAGCCCTTGAAACAGAGCATGGCATTTTGTAAGTACTGTATATTATTGTTTATTATTATTATTGCTGCCTTAAAGTTTACTCATTACTTGAACTTATTTGGTGCTCCCAACTATTTTCCTTCTCCTTATTTTATCCTCTGCTCAGACTATAAGTGGAGTCTCATTTTCAAACCCCTCAAAGAGGCTATTTCATTATAGTTTTTTTTTTTTTTTTGTCAGGCCAATTCATAATTTACTGGTTACCTTGACTATGGCCATTTGAGATAGCCCATGCAGTTAGGATGGCTGTGAAGCCACAGCCTTGTGGCACAGTGGACGGCTCCCAGCTCACAGGATGACGAAGGGGTCCTTCCTCAGTACTGACTATGGCCTTGGCAGTTTCTTGGATGACTATGACAGGCACTGGAACTGACCTTTTTGGTACAAGCTTACTTTCCCTTGTCTAAATTATTTATCTCAAAAATGTGCTTACTGGAGTCTTAACAACTCTTTAACATGAAGTCAGTGGTACCAATTTGGAGTCATCATGCCCATATACTAAAGTAGCTTTATGATTAGTCTCAAGGTCATTGAGGCATGATTTCTATCTGTGCAGAAAGACTCTAGAGCCAAAACAGTCTGCACTGAGGAAGGAACTCTAGGTTGTTTCATGATTGTACCAAGAGGCTCTGGCTTCCCAGACATCCTGTTCTGGCCCCAGAGTCTTTTTTATACATATAGAACTCATGCCTCAATCAACTTGGGAATAATCATGAGTTAATGTATTAGTAAGACTGAAATAATTCTCAGTAAATTTTGGAGTTACCAAAATTATTTTCTCATAAGAGCCCAACAAAATAGATCTAACACCTGTTTTTCAGTATCCAGATACATTGGAAATATCCTGACAGTTTATTTATATTGGAAATTATATGGGATTTGGGGTCAAAGGACAAGAAGTTGAATCCTGACACTGTCACTCAATAGATGGGTGGTTTTGGGTAATTTAACCTCTCTGAGACTAATTACCTTCATTTCAGAATTTTTCAATACTAGTCATTAGCACAGCCATGCTATAAAAACATGACATAACATGCTAGGAAAAAAAAATAAGGGGCTTCCAAGCCAAAGGCAGAAGATATAGTAGGTTAAAAGAAATGAAAATAAAATTGTAGACTAGGGATTTCATATTACTTTCTGTCATTAATATTTTTAAATTATTTCTGAGAACACGATATAGTCCATGAGGAAGAAAGAGAGTATAGAAATATGACCTAAATATGTGTCAAATGAACAAAACACAACAGAAGGTTTTGTTGTTGACTGTGACTTAATTAATAGAGGCTTTAATCCTTGTTTTCAGTAGGCAGAATGACTAATTGAGTACTAAAGTATCTCTATTATTTTTATTTCTAAGTTCTCAAATTGTACTGATGAGCGAACTGAGGATATGTAAAACCCAGGGGCAAACAGAATTTCTGGTTGGATTGAAGTGTCTTATAGACCAGAGTTTTATTTTGCACAAGGGTATGACTCTTTCCTAATTTATGGACCCTTCAGTTTTTTGTTATTGCCATGTGGTTTTTAAATTGTATTTTTTAATAGGGGTATAATTTGGAAGCATTTGCTCCTTGGAATAAAGATCTTACCTATTAGATTTGCATTAGTTTTTCAGAAAGTGCATTTAGGATAAATGTTAGCTCAAATAGGCTTTCTTCAAAGTTGGCAAAGACAAGGAAGGAGAGAGGTGCAGTGACCCTACTGAACTGTCTGGCCTTCCCACCTGGGCCTGGCCTCCTTGCCTCTTCCAGGAAGGGCCCGGTGCCTGCAGCAGCCTAAGAACAAGCTGCCTGAAATCCAGGTGGAATAAAGGTATTTCTGTTTCCCATCAGCATGTCTTCAGGGCAGAAATTAAAAAATGAAACCTGAACCTAGAAAGCCTCACTAATGGGAACCCCACATTTGGCAGAGCTTTGTTGGGTTTCTCATGGCCAAAAGTATGGGCAACACTTCCCAGCCTCCTTCCTTCCTCCACCACTTTCTTGGCTGTCTATACTCAGGCCATGGGTAACAATCACTGTTATCTCTACCTTCAACCTGCCCAGAAATTATAGCAGAAAAGATAAGAGAAGTTGTGAAGAATGGCTCTATACTGAAGGTGTACGCAGTTGCCAGGAACTATATATAAAAGCTTTTATGTAATCCCACAGCAATCCTACAAATAGTTATGATTAGACTTATTTTACAGATGGAAAAAAAATGAGGGTTAGAGATGTTATTTTAATTAGAAAGCCAAGGTTGCACAGCTAGTAAGTTGCTAATTGTGAGCCAAACTGAGGCCCTTCTGTTTCCAGTGTTCGAGTGCTTGTGAAGCTGCTCTAAGTGGGCAGGGCAAGTGGGAGCCCTTGCCTCTGCAGGGACAGAGCACTGGGGATGCCTGCATGGTGGGGTGCCTGAAAGTCTCTTGAATTTCTAAGCTAGAACTTGCAAATCTGTCCTTATTTCCCCCTACTTCAGAGTTTGCCTACAATTCAGTTGCCTGCTGACTTGGATGAGTACTCAGGGGAATACTTTTGATTTTTGTGTCCTGGGGCTACCTAGTCCAATAATATGGAGTGCTGTGAGAGACACTAGCATAGCTTTTCATAGAACAACCTTCAACAATGTTTAAAGAAACCTGTAATGAAACAACTTGAACCAGCATTACCCCGTTTTGCTGATTTCAGCAAATGGGCCCCAACTTGAAAACATGTCACTATTCAAAGCTCATTTTTAGGTTGGTTGTTTAAAATTCAGATCACATTTTCAGAAATGGTATTATAAATGGCAGTTAGGCTTCCAGGCTACCTTATAAAAACCTACTTACCACATAACATAGCTGGAATACTTTGTATTTATAATAAAAAATGGTAGAGAATAATACTATTGTAATGCTACAAATTAAAATAAGTAATGATGGTGGGCTAATTAACTTTTATGTAATTCGTGTGGCCTCTAGCTTGAGGAAACACAGTGTAACAGCTATGAGCTTGCTCTGGGGTTAGAACATCTGGTTCAAATACTAGCTTTATGGCCTACTTATTGGTGTGACCAAGGGACAAGGTATAACTCACTGAGCCTCAGTTTACTCAACTATAAAATGGGGATAAAAACACCTCATAGGGTTGATGTGAGCATTAAGTGAGATAATATGTCTAAAGCGTTGGTGTCATAGAGCTTGACACCTACAAAGTTCCTGGGGTATGATAACTGTTGTGGACATGATTGATACCTGCTGATCATTAAGTCCTTCCCACTGAACGGACACTGTGCCAAAGATGTTGCCTACAATTTAAACCTATTAGCCCAGTGAGGAATTAGTCCCATTTTTACAAATGTGTGATTGAGGTGCTCTGAGATTAAGCAACTTGCCCAAGGTCACATCAAAACATGTCAACTTGTCTAGACCACAGGGTACCCAGATATTTGGTCACACGTTATTCTGGGTGTGTCTGTGAGGATGGTTCTGGATGCAATTGACATGTGAATTGGTGAACTGAGTAAAGCACAGTGCCCTCCTCAATGTGTGTGGGGCTCATTGAATCTGTTGAGGGCCTGATTGGAACAAAAGAGCTGAGGAAGGGAGAACTCTCTCTCTCTCTGTGAGTGTCTTTGAGCTGGAACAGGGCTCTTCTCCTGCCTTCAAACTTTGACTGGAAGTTATGCCATCAACTCTCCTGCTTCTCAGGGCTTCAGACTTGGACTGGAATCGCATTATCAGCTCTCCTGGGTTTCTAGCTTGTCAACTGCAGATCTTGGACTTCTCAACCTCCATAATCTCATAAGTCAATTTCTTATAATAAATCTCTTTAGGTAATGATAGATGAAAGATAGATGGAGGGATAGATAGATAGATGAATAGATAGATAGATAGATAGATAGATAATCCTATTGGTTCCATTTCCTGGGAAAGCTTTGATGAATATAGTCACAGAGATGGAAAGTGAAAGAATGAGGCCTGGCATCCAGGTCTATAGGTTTGAAAGCTGAGAATCCTCTGAGGTCTGGCTGTGACTCCCTTTGGGTCCATGGTTGGACAGCCCAGTTCTTACTCTGTGCCGGGTGGCACTGCCCAAACCAGGAATGGGGACTGTCAGGATTATCAGGGCCAGAAAGAAGGAGGAGAAATAGGAAAGAGCAAGTAATCATGTGAGCCAAGGCAGAAATGGGTCCCCAGTTCTTATCAATTGTTGCTTAATTTAACTTTGGAGTTTCACCAAGTTTTATCAAAGACTCCTTTCAACTTCTTCCAAAACTTGATGGTAGGAGCCAAAAGTCCTTCAAGGTCACATGACTTTATGGCCTCCAGCACCATGCCTGGCACATAGCAGGTATACGAGAAACCCCATTAACTCTGAGTAAGATGTCACAGCACTTACATAATTTTTCTGCTATTTCCAATGACTTCAGATTCATTGGGAAGCAGTAATGAAGGATTTGATTTCTAGAGGTCTCTTATCTGTCAGAGCTCCACATTGCCACCACCTACCTTCAAAGTGACTTCTCTATTAGGGAGCAGGGGGACGGTTTCGCTAACCATAGATGCTAAGACAGAAATTTAAAAATGCAGTACTCCCACGCTGAACCCAAGTTCTATGTTTTCCCTGACCAGAAGGAGTCTCTCTCCCACTTTACTCACTTGGCTCCCAGCTTTTCCATTTCAGGAACTGATCCTCACCAGATGGTGTTTAACTATTGTCAATGCAATGATTATGTTTATTTATCTAAATGTCCCTGAAGCTTCGACTGATGAACTTGGCTTTATTCATCTCTCTTCTGACTCAGTAAATTCTCTAGAATATAATATTTACAATCTAAGCTTAATAGAACCTCACGACATTGAAACATGATATGATTTTTTAAAACACAGATTAATAAATAAATCAGTACAAAAATTAAATACATGAGGATGAAGAGAAAGAAAGTGATCACAGAAAATCTGGAAAACAAAAAAGTAAAAAGCAGATGAAGCTTTCTTAAGTAGCACAAGCTAAAGAGAACAATGACCATTGGCACTCTGCAGTCATGCTTTCTGCTCTGTTATTTTTAACTTTTTATTGTTTTTGTTTGTTTGGTTAACATGGTTTCTTTTTCCTTTGCCAATTTGTAATAAATGAAGTAAAAGAGATTTTGTTAGAGTATTAACATGAGGTTCAAAAGTATCTGCTGCTCCTTCTGTTTCTTCGGACCAGCCTCGCTGCCTTCACCACCACCAGTGCCAGCTGCTGTCCTGCAGGCACTGACGCTGCTGTGTGGCCCAGGCTGGAGCTTCCCTATCACCATCGTCTCTGCATTTCTCACTTGTGAAAATCCTGGAAAACCCAGGATGCTGAAAATATTCAACTCAGTGTTTCTCCACTGGAATTCACTAGTTTCATGTTGTTACCTCGGTTTCCTGAAAGGCTGAGGTCAATCTTGAAAAGGTGACAGACAGCCTTATCTACTCGGAACCTGGCTGCTCTGTTCTTTGGAACCTGGCTGCTCTGTTCTTTCGTCCCTTCCACGTGCTTTTTCTCTGTACAGAACTGCTGACACTGAAGCAGATATTTGTACATGGAAATGATACACAGAATGCTGAAAGAGACTGGAATCTCTCCCCTTATCTACCTCCATGTGGCTGCTGACAACAGAGATATATAACTTCTGGGGTACATCCAACACATGAAAGGTTAGAACATCCGTATATAACCCACTACTTTCTTTCAAGAGGAGTTTCCTAATTTTTGCAATCACTTGGCAGGTCTATATTTCACTGCTTTATCCACTTTCTCCCCGCCCACCCCCCAACCCCGCTGATTGCTGATATAAATGTGGGTAGCAAAGGATCATTCCTAAGACTTTTGCCTGGGTTTTATAGTTGCTACCAACAATTTTGCCACAAAAACTACAAATAAAAATAGGCTCTGCAATGAATAAAGTAAACAAGGGGCTTGTAGAACCCCATGAATTGGCGTCTAGAAAATGGGCTTTTCATCTGTGTGCAGGCTCTTGGCAAAATATGTGCATGTTCACTAACCCATATGCTAAATTACTAAGTTTTACCGCATTTTAAATTATTTCACGTCCAACCCATATTTGCAGAGATATGTGGCAATCATCCAATTTTTTTTTCCTTTTTGGCTTAAGTTTTCCCCTTCTATGGATAAGAACAGAGGCAGACTTAAAGTAGAACTCTATTAGGAAAAATCTGCACGCTGCATAGGCTAACTGCAAATATAATACTTTAGTGTGTCTAGCAGTTGTGGATTGAAATGTGAAGTTGCCAAAAAAAATGTTTAGGGCAATTCTTTATACCTATTAATGAATGACTCCCAGGAGAAGGAAATAAAGTAAAACTCAGCATATGCCAACAGCTGGTGTGAATATGAAAAGTCATCTGGCTTGATTAAAGTCAGCAAACTTTGCTCCCCTGTCCTATCATACATTCAAAGTAGAATGATGCTGGAGGTATGACTAACAGCAGCGAGATTAACTTTAGAACAAAACTAAACCTCTGGATAAATGCTATCTGCCAAAGAAATAGGCCTGAACGTCTGTACACATGTTCCTGTGACCATACCAATTCCCCAAACTTCTCTAGGATCCGTCTTTTGTGTCAGTTTGAGCCATATAGAAAAATTATGCTTGCTATTTTCTGATAATCAAATATACTTCCAAGGATCTATTATAATTGATTATATTATCAAGCTGGATCTCCTTATGGATTATAAATAGGTCTATTAAAAACAACCAAACACATGTAGTAATTGACTACCTTGATCATTGCCTGTGGATGAATGTTAACCTATGCCATGAGGGCAGAAGCTTGAGTTCCACAATTTGAAATGTCCAGGCACCTCTGGAGGGAATGTGAGGAAGGCCTGCCATGGTTCTATTTGCATTGACACAGACAGCCATCAAGAAAGCAAGACTTTTAGAAAAGACCCTAGGTACTAAGGCAGTCCAAAGACAAGGTATCAGCATTCGGAGAAGGTACACTTCTGAGGCTTGTATGCTATCTGTCACTTCTACAAGTTTCTGCCAACTGGGAAGAGGAGACTTCAATTAGAACTGAAAGTGCTGCTTCACTAAGTGGCTGGAAGTCCTCAATAACAGAGTGTGGGGCAGCTAAAATTAGAGAAATGCTATTTTCATTGTTATTGTGGATCTAGGATTTCTCCTCCAGTTTGGAACTATCCAGGAAACACATCAGAACCACCTATCTAATGAAACAACTCAACAGACCTAGCCCTTCAACATTTAAAACAATTGTGTATGGAGTCCTCTTAGAAATACTTTTATAATATGTTGCCAAAGTATATAAATTATCACAAGAGTTTTTATGTCATGGAGGCACTACAGTTTAGTGACTTTGAAATAAAACGAGTGTGGGTTTGAATCCCAACCCCACCACTCACTATATAGATGCCATCGAGCCAGTCACTTGCTCACTCTAAGACCCAGTTTCCTATTCTGAACCAGAAAGACAATTGATTAAATACTTTATCTCATCACAGTTGAATTTCTGATTGCCCAACTGAAGTCCTTGGGAATTAAATCTGCCTCTACTTTTCTTGTTAAGTTTCCCAACTGCTAATAAAAGGCTCCTGTTTGTTCAGATAACTGCCTGTATAATGGTCTTTTAGATATGATTGGCCAGAGTAAAAATGACAAAAACAATGGACCTTTCCAAGCTCTGTCTTGTGGCTCTTTGCTTGTGACGTGTCATCCTGCAGCCCCTCCTGGGAACAGCAGCTGTGGGCTGAAGCAGTGATGGCTCCTCTTAGACCTACCTTAATCTATAGTCTCTCCCTTTCTTGCAGAAATTATTCTTTTTCTTCTACAAACTCTGCAATCTTTCTCCTGTTTCTTCCGCATACTGTTCAAAATATTTAACCTCTTTCTTACTATCACAAGGCCTGTCACCCACACTTTGGAAATGTTCTAGAGTGAACAGAGGAAAGCAAATTCTTCACTTACTTTATCATTTCCCTCCTGGAAACCTCTTCTCTGATCTCTCTGACTCCAATCTTGTAGTCTTTCCAACTAGAGCAGGAACAATTTTTCTAGAGATAAAAATGATCATTTCTCTTCTCATCCTTCCTCCTTGAATTATTTCAGCTATTCCCGTGTCCTTCAAGTTGAAGGTGACACATCCTTGCATGACTTACTTCACCCTTTTCAGTCTGGCTCCTGCCTGCTCCTCAATGCATTCATTTTCTCCCTCTCAAAGCTCCCACCAGACCTTCCCCATGCCATGCTCCCTCTGGTTTCAGAGACTTAACTCACCCTGCTGTCTTGGCCTCAAGAGCACATCTCTTCTTCCCTGCCATGTTGCTGAGCTCACTGCTCCTCATTCAAGAGCCAATATGGGCCCTGCTTATTCCATAGTCTTCCCTGGTACCCTCTCACTCTCTGCAGTCTTGGCAGGTGCCACTAGCATATGATCAGAAGGGTCTATGATGGGGATTAAAGGAGATAGGGCATGGGAAAACACATGCCGCATAGTAGGCTTCCAATAAATGTTACTCTCCTCTAGTGACAAAGACCAACTCTGAACATTATCTAGTCTTGTTCCTGCATTGCCTTTCAGTAATTCTTCAAAACATTACTTTCTCTTTCTTGAACCTAATGCCTCTTCATTCCTTGCTGCAAACATACTGAGCATCTTGTCAGTTGCATAAATGACTATCCAACCTCCAAAATTTATTTTCTGAAACATTCTTATCAGTCCTTTATTCTGGGATAAATGTGGCCTTATCTATACCCTTAAATAGATAGGGTTCTAAGGATCTCTATAAAGGTCTCTTCCAGCTCTAACATTCTTTGATTATAAGATTTATTTTATTAAAAACTCCTTAACACAGATGAAGTCAAATTTCTGGAACTCGATCATACAATTTAAAGATTATCTAGGGCCTTGGTTCCTCCTCCTCCTCCCTTCGCCTCCCTTCTGCTACATGCCCTTAAGTCATTTTTACTACTCACGAACTTCTCTGGCAGGGAAGTAGAAAGGAGACACAATGCTAGCACAGCAGCTTTAGTGAAAGGCACGATGGGAGAGGTGCAAAAGGTTGGCTGAGGAAGATTGTTGAGATTCATGATACCTCCACCTCTTTAAACTGATCAAAAGTAGGTTAGCTGGAAAATTACTATGCTGTCTCTGATTTTTTTTTTTTTTTTTTTGATGGAGGCTCATTCTGTTGCCCAGGCTCGAGTGCAATGGCACAATCTCCACTCACTGCAAACTCTGCCTCCCAGGTTCAAGTGATTCTCCTGCCTCAGCCTCCCAAGTAGTTGGGATTACAGGTGTGCACCACCATGCCAGGCTAATTTTTGTATTTTCAGTAGAGACAGGGTTTTGCTATATTGGCCAGGCTGGTCTTGAACTCCTGGCCTTCAGAGATCCACCTGCCTGGGCCTCCCAAAGTGCTGGGATTAAAGGCATGAGCCACTGCGCCCGGCCTTTCTCTGATTTGTTAAAATAACAAATGCTTTGTCCAAATAATTCACTAACTCCAGGCCATGTCACTCACCATTATATTTAATTCCAGTGTCCTGCTCCAACTTTCAATCCTCTCTCCTCCATCTAAGCAGGCTTGGGGTTTGTCCTGCTTCTCTCTCTGTGCCCTACCACACTCACATCTTTTTATTTGGGAGAAATATGGAATGAAGGACATGAGGACTTGCAGGCTTGGAACATGTAGCTGTTTCAACCTGGCATCTTCTATTCCCCTAAGGAAACCTGACTGAAATTGCCGGTGAAGGCTATAAAGAGATCTCCTAGTTGTAATGTCTGAAACCGACCTGGGGATTTTATGTAGAACTCTGCAATGTCAGCAGCTGCTTAGCTACACGTATTCCACACACAACCCCTTTTATAGCTTTGACTTAGAGCCAACTTCTGTTTCCAGCACAAGTGCCAAGAGCCAATGGCTGCTTAGATTCATGACAGCTCATTCTTCCCTAGAACTTTCTTTTCAGTTCAATTGACAGAGGCAGAGCCCTGGGGTCCTTATTCATCCCAGGGAATATCATGACGCTGTTTGCAGAATTCGGATTGGGTCCTGGTACTAAGCCCGAGTGCTGAATCCTAGGACTTTGCTATCCTGGCTCTACAGTTTGTTACAGGCATCTTCCTCAATGAAGGGACCTGGCAAGGCAAACCAGTGAGTCCAGTTCTGGTTTGAGTTTAATCATTACTGACTTTTTTTTTTTTTAATTCTTATACATGGCCAAGAGTGTTATGGCAAAGTTTACCAAACTTGAATTAGGTGGAGAACATGTATAATGTGTGACCAAAAACTTTTCTAAACATTTTAGCACCTTATATCACTTCATAATACAGCATTTTCCCCAAAATTGGTCTTGCTCCCAGCCTGTGAAATATGAGAGGGGAGGTTAGGAGAGGAGATGGCCCACTATGGTGATGGTGGGGATCTGGCCTCACTGTCAGAGCAGTGTCTTTGATGAAGGTAGTGACCCTGCTTTGAATGATGAGGACAATATGCTATTTCTTAATTGTGTTCTATGTGTGTGTGTTACTTTACATAATTTTCATGGTGGTTCCATCAGTTCCGTAGTAGTCTTATCCTCATTTTACAAATGAAAATGCAGCACAACAAGTTTACATGATTTTACTAGACTCACATAGCTCATGTGAGACAGGTTTGGACCTTGACCCATAGTGACATGCCTTCAGAGCCTGTGTTTGTCCCAGTATTTTATAATGTTTCTTGGGTATATTGTAACTAGGTTTTCCCCTTCTTCTTTGGTCACTTTCCCAAGTTATAATTTTTCTATTCAAGTTTAATGCAATCACCATGATTCAGATAAAGCCTGAAAGGACATAGTCACCTTTCACTTTAGGTATGGTGGTTGGGTGAGTTCTATCATTAATTCAACAGGTATTTGCAAGTATCTTACCAAAGTCTGGTTCTGAGCTAGCTCCTCATGGTAATATAGTTTTACAGGGGACATAGGCTCTAGGCAAATTGTTACAAATGCGATGAATGCCATATAAAGGAATTTATCAGGCATCGCAGATCATGATAAGTCCAGAGGACACACTGGAAATGGGAGGATAAATAAATAGGAGTCAGTTGGTCTTCTGAGGAGGCTAGAGAAGAGTGTTCTAGGTTGAAGTGGGGCATGCTTGAAGCTTGGAGGCCAACTAGAGGCAGTTAGCCAAGATTCTGTGGTTCCCCGGGAATCACACCTGGAGGCTGAAGCTCCTGGCTGTGACTCCTAGGCTACGCATGCAGGGACATCTGAGGAGTGTGCGAACCCAGGCTGGGGCCTGAGGCCAGATCCGCTCCAAAACTTTGAGTGCGGTCCCAGGACAACCTCTTACTCAGTCCACATCTGTGGAGCTGTGAGGAAGTTTGGAAGCCTAATTCTCAGTTTCAGTCACTCCAGGGAGTTGGGCTGGGAGGGAAGGGGCAGACTGACTCTAAACCACCATGGATCAGCACAGGGATCCTGGCTGAATAGAACTCAGGATGGACTCTTACACAAAAATGTAATAAAGCCACCCAGCTCAAAATTTAGAGAAAGGAGCCAGATCTTCCAGTGGATTGTGATTGTGTGTTTTTTTATCTCAAAATTATGTCAGAGTTTATTATTCACTAATTATTTAAAATTTGGAAGGGAAATGTTCTATGCGATAGATCAGGACTATCCATTAGAAGTAAATAGGAATGGTCCTGTTACGTTTTATTTCTGGGGAGTTTGTGTCTCTTGCTGTCACAATTACAGTTTCCTTTATTGAGTGAAGGCATTGCTTCTGTGATTATGGTTGAGCTGGTAACTCATTAAGCTGCTCTTTATTGATGAACATCTCTGTGTAGATTTGTTCATTGGGTTGAGAGCTGGGCTACATAGGTGAAGGCAAGAGAGTAGCTCTCTTGTGAGTCAGACGAGGAAGGAGATCCATTCATTCCAGCATCCCCCAACTACTTGACGCCTGTTGCACTTGATGCCAGTCACTGGGAAAACGCACACCTTGCTGGAGACCACTGGGGCACCATGGTTATGGTCTCTTGAGCAGAGAAGGCTGGGGAAAGAAGAGACTAAAAACTGAGCTGAGAGGACCACGGACAAAGCTCACCTGCCTTCCAGGTGTATGCAGTGAGCAAACGGGGCAAGGAGCCGGCACTGAGAGGAAGCGCTGACATAAGGAAGATAATAAATGTTCTGAGATTTCAGCACCATCGGGAGCCTTGACACATGAATGCCAGGGCTTAGTTCTCTCTCTGATTCACATTTCTTCTTTGCTACAGGATCATTTGGTTCTTGAGCCTGTAGAATTACTGACTGATTCCTTTCTGGTCAGATTCTTTTTAGCTACACACAGACTCCTCTCTTGTAATGAAAATCAGGTTTCCTGTTACAGTTTGCTTTACATTTAGGGAACATGTTGCCGTCTGGAATGAGCAAGTGTTGCATTTGAGTCATATTTTCCACGCTGATGCTAAGCTTTCATGCTTCCTATGTCTGGTGCTGAAGGGGAGACTAGGAAATAAGAAACTGCAGCTAGGTCAGAAAATTTATATTTTACCCAAAGGGTTAATCGGCTTCTGGAGGGAACAAAGACATGGCGCTACTGTAGCTGCTTCCTGCGTACAAGAGAGTGAAGCGAAGACCATTCTAACTCAGCATCAAGGAGGGCTCCATGTGGGGTGGCCTCGGTCAGTGGGGACTGGATCCACCTCTTCGTGGTGCACACTTTGGGAGAAAAGCTTAAAGAAGTCATCTGATCTTCTGTATCTCTGAGAACCACATTGTGAGTTGCTGTCAAAGATTCAGAGCCCAGTTTTAGGTCCTCAGGGAAGCAAACTGCTACTGGGAGCTATTTTCTTCGGGGAGTTGTGTAAGTCAAAACAAGTGTTTGGGAAAAAGTCCAATAATCAGCAAATGACAAAGTTCCATGCCAATGTGAAAATTGTGTACACACTAACAAGACATTGTTTGTTACTAAAATGGTTAAATAAAATTTAAAAATAGTAATTTGGACTCATTTGACTAGAATTACTTCCTCTCCAAAAGCAAGGATAAAGTAAACCATGTTTGGGTGACTATAACATACACATGCACACACATGCAAATATGCACACAACACACACATACACACATATACATAAATGTATACAAAATACACACATACAGTCACATGCTCATACATGTACATACACAAAACAACACACACATATATGTACTTACACACATATGTGCACATATGCACACACAGACATATATGAAAGGCAGAATGGGGAGAAAGAATTTCAAAAGCCTGGTGCTACTTTGAACCTATCTTCTTAGGAAGAAGGCAAAATCATCTTTTAGTGAGGAAGATACCTTAAGATAATTACAAAAATAAGGCCACTTGGGTAGGCCTTAAATAGGAAAAGAGAATAATAAGAATTTGGCAATTTGCAGTATGAAGGAGAATCTCTTGAAGAGGAGAAAATCCTGGGAGATGGGAAGGGCAGGCCAGGAAAGAACTCCACTATGGTGTCAGATGGCCCCTGGGTTCTTTCTTTAGTAATGCCCAGAAGTGAACTTGGAATTATTTCCTGTCTGGTGCTATAGTTCCTCTCAGCTACCCCAAAAACCTTACATCCTATTCTCTTGTATTGAACTTTGTGAGGAATGAAGGAAGGAGTAAGAGCAATAGGAAGGAGGTTATCAGATGTAGAAGCAGAGAGCAGGGTGAGACTATGACAAAGCCCATTTCCCCAGGTGTATTTGAAAGTGACTCTGGACAGCAGGAGTGGGTCCGGGAAAGTAGGCGAGCGCTTGGGTTACTCCTGCACTCGTTAAGTTGCCTTCTTTTGAGTCAGGAAAATATTTCCAGCAGCCACTGTGTTGCTCTGTGGCCCTCCCACAGGCTTCCTCTTTGCCCTCTGTGAGAGGGCTGAAGAGGTAAACATCTACAGCATTAGAGATTTTCCTTGGCTTGAAGTGAGTCTGAATGTTCGTGTGGATGCGAAGAGGCATTTGACCCCTAGAGGGTGATCACACCATATGGTAAAGGAGAGGACACCAGGAAGGCAAAAACAGAGAAGAAAACCGCACTAAGTTCCTTGTGTCCATTCCAGCTGATGTGTAATGGTATGTATAGTACCCCCGTGGGTATGGCAACCTCTCTCTGGGTATATCTCCTGGATTGTAAGGCAGAGTCTACTCTGGACTTGGAGTTTGGTGCCTTCCTGATGCAAAAAGCAGGGAGCTGGTAAGCCCCAGTCCTTCTGGTCACTCACAAGAGGTTTGGGAATGAGACTGGGTGAGGACCGGGATTCCCTCTACTTCTGCTGGTGAGACCAGCAGTCTCTGATGAAAACTGACTTTTCTGCAGACGTTGTGACTGCAGCTAGGCAGACCATGCCTGCAGGAAGGAAAGTGGGCCACCTCAGGGTGACTTCGAGACTGAAAACTAGGAATTGGGAGCAATAAAATAAGGCAAAATCACCCTAATATAACTGACTCTTAGCAGAGCTTTGGTGCAGCTTCCTAGTGTTGTGAGGCCCAGGGTTGAAAATGGAGTGACCCCATCCAGTCTCCACAGGACACAACTTCCCCTCCAGCTCCTGCCTCCTTAAAAGCCTGCAGCTGGCCGGTGAAGCCAGCTTCCCTCTTCTAAGGTGTGAGCCCACAGGCTCTCCTTCAGCCCAGGCAGGCTGCAGGAAGTCCCCAGCATTCCCCAGGGGGACGTGGAGGCCAGAACAACGTGTACATATTCCACAGCCTGTCCCTAAAAACAGGTAAAACCCAGAGACAAACCAGAGCTTTTTCATGTGCACTTTTCAATGAGTTTTGACAAAATTATATACGTATATAACCATCATCACAATCAAGACACAGAACACTTCAATCACCCCCAAAACTTTCTTGTGCCCATTCCCAGTCAGTTCCGCCTAACTCCCATCTCCACACACCCTCTGGCTGGCTTTTCTATCACTATAGATTGCTTTGGGCCTTCCTAGAGTTTCGTACAAATGGCATCAGATAGTATGTACTCCTTTTGTATCTAGCTTGTGTCATTCTGCAAGTTTTTGAGGTTCATCCATGTTGTTCATTTCTTTTCATTGCTAGCTAGTATTCCCGTGTATGGATGTGTCATAATTCATGTATTTACATGCTGATGGGCATTAGATTGCTCCCAGTTTTTGACTAATATGATTATAGCTGCTGTGAGCATTCATGTACAAGTCTTCCTATAGACCAGTGTTTTGATTTCCCTTGAGTAAATAGCTAGGCATGGGATTGCCAGTTGTATGGAAAGTGTGTGTTTAACTTTGCAAGAAACTTTAAAACTTTTTTAATTGGTTGTATCATTTTATGTTCTGATCAACAATGTAGGAGAGTTCTCATTGCTCCATATCTTCTCCAATGCTTGGTATTGTTGATCTTTTTTATTTACTCATTCTAGGGAGTGTGAAGTGGTGTCTCATGGTGACTACTGACACTGAGCATTTCATCATGTGCTTATTAGTCACTTGATTATTTTCTTTTGTATAGTGTCCGTTCAAATATTTTCCTCATTCTTTGTTATGTTGTTTGTCTAATTTAGTTGTTGAGTTTTAAAAAATATATTGTGGCTTGCCTTTTCATTTTCTTAACAATATTTTCAAAAAGCAGAGTTTTTAATTTTCATGAAATCCAATTGTCATTATTTAATGGTTTGTGTCCTAAGAAATCTTTGATGCTCTCTACATGATGATTTTCTTCTGTATTTTCTTTTAGCAGTTTTATATATTAGTTCTTATGTTTAGGTTTATGATCCATTCTGAGTTAAATTTTATGTATGGTATGAGAATAAGGGTTGAGATTCCTTTTTAAAAATATGGATATATATTAAATAGTTGTTGCCACATCATTTGTAGGAAAAGCTATTATTTATCCCATGAATTGTCTTGGTGCCTTTGTTGAAAATCCATTGGCCATGCGTGTATGCATCTACTTCTGGACTCTCTGTTTTATTCCATTGATCTATGTCTTAGTGTATTTGGGATGCTGTAACAAATACCATAGGCTGGGTAGCTTAGAAGCAACAGAAATTTATTTCTCACAGTTCTGGAGTCTGGGAAGTCCAAGATCAAGGTGCTGGCAGGTTTGGCACCTGGTCCATCCCTCCTTATTTCTCAAGCCCCACCAATGTGAATTATAGCACAGGCCCACCTCTAAGGGAGAGAGAGATGATTCTAGGCAGTAAGTTCAGATTATGTTCCAGGTTGCTTCTGCCTAATAGATCTGTTTAATACATTTGTGACTATATATCTTCTTTCTCTGTAAACAATGACAGCTGCACTTAAAAATATCATTGACTGAATGGGACAATTCACCTGAGAGTTACACATATGAGATGCTCATACATAGTGAAATCATTACCGATCTCAAAACAGTTTTCTTAAGGGAAATCTTAAATAAAGAAATAAAGCAAGAGAGAGATAAAAGTAACATTCCATAAATATTATCTGCACTGTAATAGCTTCCATACATTGTTAACCCCATCCTTCCTGCTTCTACCTACTTGAAGCCCAGTCATGCCTGGATGTGTGTTGAAATAAATGTTAGCATGAAGCATCTGCTATATAAGTGGCAAAGGGGAAAGAAAAAAAATCTTTTTTTTTCACAACCAAAAACAACAACGACAACAAAAAGACTCTGCTTATGTGATTGAAGATAGATTTTATATACAAATTATCTCAGATTCAAGGAAGAAAATCAGAGAAACTTAACTGGAAAAAAGCTGGTACATGGCTTTAAAAAAAAAAAAATTTCTGATATTAGATTTCTTTACCTGCTGGACTATATCGACATTTTGCAAGTTCTACATTTGTCACTCCATTTTCAACCCATTTTGTAAAGTATGATAAAAACATGAGTGAATATTTACAAATTTTGTTTTGTTTTGCCTTATTTTGGGTCAGACTAGTGTTTAAACCTAAACGTCAGCCAATATGCTAAATACATCATGATACAATCACGAACAATTGCATGGATGCCTCCTGGTTTCCCTTGGGACACCTTTGTTCATGCCAAGAACTGTCTCTGTGTGGATGTAGATGAATTATTTTCTGGGAGTAAGAAGTGGAGAAAAGCAAAGGACATCTCCCTCATTTCTTTAACCTTGGGGATAAATCTGGTTTTGGCATCTCTCAGAGGGAAAGAATATCTTGACACATACATAAAGCTCTTGGAGAAAGCTTAGTGTCCATTGGCAAGAAAGGGCAAGATTCTGAATACATCTAAATAATCGGCATAGCATTAAAATGCCTGCCTATGGCAGACTGTGCACCAGGATATAAATCATGCTGCTTGCCACGTGCAGCACATCAGACATAGAGTATGACTCTGGCTCATCTAATAAAATGGCTTTTATGAAGTTTCTGTAGATAAATTAAAGCAGCATTGCTAAGAATTATTTTCACAATCCAATTTTGAGAACAGAGCCGAATGGGCAATGCTACATCTATAATGAAAACTAAGCGTCTGTTGAGATGCACGCAGGCAGGCAATTGATCAACGCATTAAGTGTGCAAGAAATCCACATGCTTCTCTGAAAAGTCAGGAGTGACTGGTGTGAATTTTGGCATTCATCCTAACTACTAAGATTTGTTCTCAATTTATTCTCAAATCACAAGGTACAAGACCCTCTTGGGGGCAATGATTATAAGGACTCTGCCTACCCTGGGGAGAAATTATGCCTCCGGAATAACTTCTTGTTCCCCAGGGTGTCATGTTTTGCTAAAATATTTCTAACGTTGAAGTTAGGGTTCCTTTGATATCTTCCCAGGAATTTTTCTCCAAATAGTTTAGGCCAAAAATAAAGCAAAAGGCATCTTACTTTTCTTCTCCTCATGTTATCTAGAGGATAATTTTCTATGCTTCCCTCCAAGTGAATCTGGCTCTGAATCCAAGAAAGAGGATTGCTCTTTTCCTGAAAGTCCATTATGGCCAACACAACTTGAGCCTGTGTAACGGGGACAGAAGTGTGGAAGATCCCCCAGGAGGTAAAGTGGGAGTCAAGCAGGCAGTGTTTAAAAGACTCCCAGTTACCTGTATGGTAGGTTCCGCTCTGTCCTGATCTGAACATGATTTTTCTTAGTGATGTTATTCAAGGGTCAAATTCCTAGGTTCTTCAGTGTATATAAATCTACTACGTGTAACTAGTCTGCAACAGAAGGCACATCGCCGTATATAGAATGTCAGAGAGGCTTCTCTTTGATGAAAAAAAAGTTAAATGTTTATACAAAATTCTGTTGGTCTGGATACCATTAACTTTCAACGATTAATAAAAGTGACACTAGGACACAATAAATTCTAGTTTTCAAAGAAACAATTTGACTTTATACATTGCTTCTGCCTCACTGGTGTTTGAGATGAAAGGGACAGTAATTGAAATGAAACTCATCAGCATTAAAGAAGGCCTCATGGAGAGAAGCCGAGGGGGGCAGCGGTAAAGAAGCCTGTGGAATCCTGAGGCACCGGCAGGAATTTACGGGTCTGAGAGGCAGCCATGGGGACACGAATCTACTTAGGAGCAAGACCAGGGCCTGGTGAAACTATTTTAAGTTTTTAAAAGTTGAAAGAATAAGCAAGGGGCGAGTTAAACACATTTCGTGTGTTACCTTCCTTTGTTCCGGCTCTATTTAAAAAATCCTTATACTTTGACTAGACAGGTTTCTAGAAACTGACTTTAGAAGCTAATGGAAAAATAGATATAATATGCAAATAAGGAATAAACACGTAGCTGACATGGTCCTAAGCTATCTTGCCATTCTGGGGCCCTTCTTTTGAAATCTAAATAGGTCTAATAGCTAACATTTGTCAAGTGCTTGGCGTACGCCATGTGCTCTTCTCAGTGCTCTCTGCACCTCCTATCATTCATTCTTTACTGGAACCTCTCTGATCTTCCATATCTAATCTTACCTTCTCCTCCCCTCTCCCCCCAGTCCATTCTCCACTGAGTATTTGAAACGATCGTTTCAAAGCAAATCTAATTTTGTCATTCCCTTGTTCTCAACCTTTCAATCACTTCCCATTACTCTCAGGAACATATGCCAGGTTTTTTATTTGGCCTCCAGGGTGCTGTCTGCTCTCCTGGCACTGTGCTTCCCGCTGTTTTGGGACTGTGGAGCGCTGGCCTTCTTTCCTTTTGTGATGTGCTCACACTCCCCACCCCACACATGCACACAGGGCCATTGCCTACGCTGGACCGCTCCTAGGCTACTCTGCTGTGATGAGCTCCCACGTGTTGCTCAAATGCTGTGTCCTGGGGAGGATGATCCCAACTCCTCTTATGAGGTCCATCCCACATCGCACGTTCTCACTGTACCTGTAACTCCTGGGTTGACCTCATCATAGTGGTAATTGTTCATTTGGAGGGTGACCCTTTGCTTCATGCACGTCTTTTCTACTAGACCGGAATTGCTATAAGGGGAAGGGTCACTTCTATTTTCATTTCAAACAATTTCCTCAGCCCCCATCACAATACCTGGCATAGAAAAGGTGCTCTATTCAGACTGACTGATAGAGTAGATGGATGGATGCTGCATAAAACCAAAGACCAACCTGACTTGCCTTAACACGGGGGACTTATGATCCAGGGAACCAATTGTTCACATAGGAAGAAGAACGTGTACATCAAGCTGATTTACTCTTAAGAGGCTACCTTTGTTTTTTACTTTTTTTTGGAACTCAGTCAGCAGTGAGCAGGTGGGGTTAGAGTCTGCATCCCATAAGCTACATTTTCTTGAAGGCTCACATTGGTTACATAACCCTTTCTCCCTTCACAATATTTCAGTCATCCTCTACTTCACCTCCCTGTCTTTACTATAATTGCATCCCTCCTGTAATTTTTTATGCAAAAGCTCCTTTGTTTTGAAGCTCGTATTCAATTTCAATGGCTTTCCCCCTTCCTGCTGCTTCATTACATTCCTTGAAGTTGGAGGTGCCCGATTCATAGTCTTCCTCGTTAACTAAATTTCTTCTATTATCTGGGAGATTTTGATCTTCATGAAACTCATTCATGCTAAGCACTGTTCTTACAATTTCCCTCATCCACCACCACCAGAGCTACTCCAGGCATCACTCCACTGCATTCTCACACACCTCTCACTCCAACTCACACTCACTCCTCTTGCATCAACCTTCTAACCACACATTTCCAGCCCCCTCTTTCCTTCACTCCTAGTAGTCAGCACCCTGTACTCTCTCTAGACCCTCATCTCTCTAGAAAGCCTGTCCTGAAAATTTCCCAAGTCTGGATCAATCCCCAAACTGATCCAGAGGAGGTCGTCCCCACTCCTGTATCTGAGCTCTCCTGGAGAAGCCCCACACCTGTGTGGATCAGTGTCATGGCACATCGGTGGTCTGCAGCAGCAGCTGAGCCCACAGTTCTGTTTGGAATGTCTTTCTCCTCTCCTTGGAAGCAACCTGTAGCAGCAAGCAAGGCTTCACCATGCTCCTCTCTCCCCTGCCTAGTCCTCACCAGCACCCTACACAAATGGCCTAGCCTCCAACTGTATCAAGGAAATGAAAGGGAAATGATGTGAATGGCTTCATCATTCATCTCCCTTTCATCTTCAAATTTGTGTGCAACCACATCAATCCCTCTAGCTGCCTGAATCCCATAGAGTGGAATATCCTCTCTGTTGATTAAGGACAGCCTCCTTCACCTCTGCTTTTGATCAAATCTCCTCCTACTAGCATTTTGCCACCCTAAACCGTTCCCTATTTACTCTGCTTCAGCCTCTTTAATGTATCGGCAAGCTGGCGGCAATGCCCACAGGGACTCATGTCTTGCGCTGCTCTGGAATTCCCCAGTCTTACCTCCCTCTGCCTCTATCTTCAGCCTCATGGTTTCTCGATTCCTTTCTTCATTTAGCACCCTTAGGTAGTCGGCATGCTTTCGGATATCTGGCCATTGTTCTCGTCTTTTATTGCTTCAGGACACTATTTCTAGAATCCATGATTTAGTTCCATGCATAGTACCCTCAAGCACTAGAATCTGTCAACATGCAGAAATCCTGAAACTGACCTAGCTAGGTGCAGGCCTTTGAGCTTCCCTCCTCCCAAACTGAAAAAGAATGGAAGTTTGAGACACTTGCATTGTAAGAAATGCTGTCTTCCCTTTGAATGCTGTCTCTTCTTCTTCTTCAAACTTCCAAAATAGAGTCTACATACATGATCTACATGTATATTTGATTAACTAATCATGGGTTGATCTCATCAAATGTGAATGTAATATGCAATTTGCTTATGAGCAAAAATGGGTGTGCAGGGAGGAATAAAGGTATGAATAAAGGAAGAAATAAACAATTTAAAATCAACACTTAGACACAAAGTCATGATATGCGGGCTATAATTTATTACTCTTATTTTCTAAATCCATAAGGTAGAATCAAAACTGGGAAATTTCAGAATATAAACATTTCCTATTATACTTTCTTAAAACACAGGATGAATTAAAAGGCATATGTTCTTAAGAATATGATAAATCTATGTCCTGGAAAAATATATGCTTGACAAATAAGGCAAATAAGAGTAGGCAAAAAGTTCTCATCTAGTGAGCTGGGCATCCTGGTTTATTACGTAACTTCTAAGTGCCACAGTTTCTCATCTGTAATGAAATCTCCCAGGATCTCTTCAAGACTGAAATTCTGTATTACCTGTCTTCATCTTCATAGACCCAAGACTTATAAAGCACTTGTCTAACTCTTAATTTCATATGCATTTTAGATTTACATGTAATAAAAATTTGATATCTCCTCAATGATCAGATAAATTAAAAGAAAGAGAGAGAATTTGTTAGAAAAATTATTTGCCTGAGGAGCCAGCTCACTGTCCAAAATCACATCCATGTGTCCTGGCAGTAGGCTTGGGACTGCAGGAGAGCATTCTCAATTCCAGAGATCACTCTTGCTACTGTGAGAACAGACACAGTCTAGAGGGGTCTCTCTCATTCTGCAATTAGTGCTGCCATTTTTTTTTCAAGTACATAGTTGAAACCTACTGATTGTATCTTCTTTTCTCTATGCATCTAAAATTTCCCCAGACTTCCTAGGAAGAATATGCAAATCTGCAGTGGGGGATGAGAGTGTTGGCAGTGTAGGGTGAAGGGAATAATGAGTGAGGCACAGACTGGAAAGGATACTGATTCCAGATCTCTGGGGGTCCCAGTGTCCTCTCTCCAGACCCTTCACCCTGAGAGAGAGGTGTGTCCTGTCTCTCAGCTTTCTGTGCAGTTCTTGTGGGTCCTGACTTCAGTAAAGCCCTCTGTAAGTTTTCTACAATTTCTAGGGGATTGAAAGATTTATGTTGATGTTTTATTTTGTTTCTTTTCCTAACCCCTCAAACATGTTTCTAGAGAACAAGTTCCCAGATATTTGCGTATCATGCCTTAAAATTGAGGACATAGTTTGCTTCACTACAATAATTTTTAAAAATCCTACTAAACCACAATCTAGAATTACCATTATTTTATTTAATACTGAACATTATAACACTAAAAAGGTAAAATAGAGAGACAGCCACATCTTATGCCATAGTATTATGTCTACTACCAGAGTTGGGAAGTTTACATGTATGTATTTGAAAACACAATATTATAGTTACTTTTCTCATTTTGTCTTCAACCAGTTAAAGTTTGACCACAAAATGGCACCAGTCATCCATGTTGGGATTGCTCTCTTAGGGATGATTCCTACTTGCAAACTGATGGCTCTTTTATCTACATTTTTAGTAACACTTCTTTGTTAGTAAACCCTCAGAAAGATCTGATCTGTCCTTTCTCTCAGTGGATGTGTGTTGAACATGTTTAGCATAGCAGGTGCTATATTGCATTGTGTGTTCTTCTCTCACACATACTGGAAGAGCAGGGACACTTTTGTGGTCTACAAAGAAGAGGGTTTGACTGGTTTCACTGGGAGCTGGTCTCTTGTTTGCCCAAAGAGGATATCACTGTCCACACACATGTCCAGTGATCATGGCTGCTGATTCATTACCCCCAAAGGGGAGCCAGAAAAAAATAGTTTAAACAAGAGTTATTTTTTCCAAGTCAAATGGATAAAATTTTTAGAATAAATACAAGAGCAATAATTTTCTTTTTAAAAAATTATTTTTGATTGGCACAATAATTGCACATATTTATGGGGCACATAGTGATATTCTATAAAACACTAGAATTTATTCCTCCTGTCTAGCTGTAATTCTGTGCCCTTTAACAAATCTCTCCTTATCCTCTCTTCCCTCCTACTCTTCCCAGCCTCTAATATGCTCTGTTCTACTTTTTACTTCTATGAAATTAATTTTTTAAAGCTTCTACATATTAGTGAGAACATGCAGTATTTAACTTTGTGTTCCTGGCTTGTTTTACTTAGTACAATGTCCTCCAGTTTCATCCACGTTGCAGTAAATAACAGAATTTTATTCTTTTTTATGGCTGAATAGTAGTCCATTGTGTATATATACCATATTTTCTTTATGCATCTGTTGTTGGACACTTGGGTTGATTCCATGTCTTGACTATTGTGAACAGTGCTGCAATCAACATGGGGCTGCAGACCTGTCTTTGATATACTGATTTCCTTTCGTTTGGATAAATGGCCAGTGGTGGGATTGCTGGATCATACGGTAGTTTTATTTGTAGTTTTCTGGGGAACCTCCACACTGTTCTCCATAAGGGTTATACTAGTTTACATTTGCACCAGTGGTGTATAAGAGTTTCCTTTTCTCTGCATCCTCACCAGTATTTATTATTTTTGTATTTTTGACAATAGCAATTTTATCTGAGATGAGATGATATCTCATTGTAGTTTTGATTTGCATTTCCCTGATGATTAATGATGTTGAACATTTTTACATATATTTGTTGAAAATTTCTGTATTTTGAGAAATATCTGTTCATATCATTTTCCCATTTTTAAATCAGGCTTTTCTTTAGTTTTTTTTTTTTTCTGTTGAGATGTTTGAGTTGCTTGTATAATCTTGAATATTAATTCCTTGTCAGATGAATAGTTGCAAATATTTTCTATTTTGTAGGTTGTCCATTCACTCTGTTGATTGTTTTCTATGTTGTTTAAAAGCTTTTTCATTTGATATAATTTCATTTGTTTATTTTTGCCGTAGTTGCCTGTGCTTTTGAGATTTTATTTATAAAATATTTTCCCAGACAAATGTCTTGAAGCATTTCCCCCATGTTTTCTTCTAGTAGCTTTATAGTTTCAGGTCTTACATCTAGTCCTTGGATTCATTCCGAGTTGACTTTTGTATAGGGTGAAACGTGAGCATCTAGTTTCATTCTTTGAATATGGATATCCAGTTTCCCCAGGACCATTTATTGACGAGGCTGTCCTTTTCCCAGTGAGTGTTCTTGGTGCCTTTGTCAAAAATTAGTTGGCTGCAAATCTGTGGATTAATCTCTGAAATCTCTATTCTGTTCCATTGACCTGTGTGTCTGTTTTTATGCTAGTGCCATGCTGTTTTGGCTACTCTAACTTTGTAGTATGTTTTGAAGAATAGTAATGTGATACCTTCAGCTTTGTTCTTTTTGCTCAGAATTACTTTGGCTATTCAGGGTCTTTTTTGGTTCCATACAAATTTTAGTATTATGTTTCTCTATTTCTGTGGTATTTTGGTAGGGACTGCATTGAATCTGAAGATCACTTTAGTTAGTATGGCCATTTTAACAATATTAATTCTTCCAGCTCACGAATATGGATGTCTTTCTATTTTTTTGTGTTTTCTTCAATTTCTTTCATCGGTGTTTTATAGTTTTCCTTGTAGATATCTGTCATCTCCTTGGTTAAATTCTTTTTCTAGATATTTTATTATTTTTGTAGTTATTGTAAATGGAGTTGCTTTCTTGATTTTTTTTTTCAGCTAGTTTGTTGTCTCTATATAGAAATGCCACTGATTTTTGTTGTTGATTTTGTATCCTGCAACTTTACTGATTTCGTTTATCAGTTCTGAGTTTTTTGGTAGAGTCTTTAGATTTTTCTATGTATAAGATCATTTATCTGCAAGCAGGAACATTTTGACTTCCTCTTCTCCAATTTGGATGTCCTTTATTTCTTTCTCTTGCCTAACTGCTCTGGCTAGGACTTCTAGTACTATACTGAATAAGAGTGGTAAGATTTTGTTCTCATTCTGTATGATTTTAGTTTGTTATATGTGGCCCTCATTATGTTGAGGTACTTTCCTTCTATACCTAATTTATTGAAGGTTTTTACTATGAAGGGATGTTGAATTTTGTCAAGTGCTTTTTCTGCAGCTGTTGAGATGATCATATAATTTTTGTCCTTATAATTCTGCTGATGTGATGTATCGTGTTTATTGATTTGCTTATGTTGAAACATCCTTACATCCATAGGATGAATTCTACTTGATCATTGTGTGTGATCTTTTTGATGTGCTGTTGGATTCAGTTTGCTAGTATTTTGTTGAGAATTTTTGTCTCTATGTTCACTAGGGATATTGGTCTAGAGTTTTCTTTCATTTTCGTGTCCTTGTCTGGTTTTGGTATCAAAGTTACACTGGCCTCCTAGAATAGAAGAATTTGTATTAATTCTTTAAGAGTTCAGTAGAATTCAGCTACGAAGTCATCCAGTCCTGGACTTTTCTTTGTTGGGAAGTTTTTATTACTGGTTCAATCTCATTACTTGTTTTTGGTCTGTTCAGTCTTGCTATTTCTTCTTGGTTCAATATTGGCAGGTTGTATGTGTCCAGGAATTTAGCCATTTCCTCTAGGTTTTTAAATATATTGGCATATAATTGTTCATAATAGAGATTAATAAGTTTTGAAACTGAATTTTTCTGTGCTCTGTATCTGATTTCTAATGAGAATAGATACATTACAGTATTTTGAAACTGAGTCCTTCTGTGTTCTTTATCTGATTTCTAATGAGAGTAGATACATTACAGTATCTAAATGTTTTAAAATCTAATAATTTTACGACTAATGTAGGAGGTAGGAGTAGGGAAACAAAGTTTGTCTGGCAGTATGATTGATTATTGTTGAATTTTTGGTGAGGAAATAGACCCCAGACCTTGATCTAGAGGGAGGAAGAGTAAGACAAAGAGCACTATATTGGTTGCCGATTAAAACAAGGAGCATTTAAATTTTTCATGGTAACTTAAGAAGGAAAGAGTGAGAGGGCTCTGGATGAACAGGAAGCAGGGCCAGCTGCATGGAAGGCTGTAGAAGGCAGGGGTCAGCCAGTGAGATGCTTCCCGGGGGGAAATGGCCAGGAGACTTCTAGGATCAGGAGGGTCGCATATGGACTAATAGGCAGTGTTCAGTCATATGCTCCTTTACCTCTGACTCCTTAATAAATTTTGTTAAAACTACCCAAAGATGGTAGTTTTATCAAAATTAAAGTTGTTTAAGTTAAGAACTTTAACATTAAAGTTGATTAACAGTTTTAATCATGGAAAAGCATCCATGTTTTCACATTTCGTTTGATGCAGAGTGGAGAGAAATAGCAGATGTAAGCATTGAGAATCCAAGTGAAAGATAGTTAAACAGAAGGAGGATATTAGAAGAGGGAGTAACTGTGAGAAATGGAAAGTCCCTGAGATTCCTGAGAAATGCAGGGAGTTGACTAAGTGAGGGATGGGGAATAAACTCATTTTTATTTTAACATTAAAGAGAAGAGTGCTCTCATAAGATGGAAGTCTTGGAAACACCCACACAGCAGATTCTTGGGTTGCACTAGCAAATACATCTGACACTTTTACAAATGGCAACTTCTCCTGACTTGTTACTGACAAGTTGAGCAATGTCTTCAACTTTATAGCGTAAACAGAACTGGGAATCCTGCCTATAACATCCAACATCCTCATGTCATGGGAGGATCATGGTAGAGTTATTCTCAGCACCCAGAATTCTACATAGGAAAATGATTATAAGGGTAAGCCATATTCAAAATAATCTGGTTTTAGTGCCTAAGCCCACAAAGCTGCATTATATAAAATATTGCTTCCTTTAAAATGATGGTCTTGAGAAAACAACATCAAACAGAACTTTCTGAGATCAAGAACAGGAAATGAATGATTCAGCAGGCTGGATATCACCCAAAGAGCTGTCTTCACAGCTGTAAGGAATAGCTGCAAAAAGTTCCAGGGGATTGCCTGGTACCATTTGAAGGCAGTCAGGCTGGGAACCACAGAGAGCTCCACGGAGTGTGGTGAAGGATAATTAGACAGTCCAGCTTCGACTCCCCAGAAATATGTCAGCCTGGTGCCACTGCTTTCTTGACTATCTTCTAACTGCCTCTGAGTCCACATTTGGAGATGCTCCAGGGTGACTCAGGACTTGAGAGAGAGCAAGCATCATCCATGGCAGGAAAGTCAAGGTGTTTGTTCTGCTCTAAGAGCCTGAAAGGATGATTTATCATGGAAGCTGACACTGCTGCACTGTTTTTCAAAATCTAATATAGTGCTGGTTATCTGGCAAGGACTGCCTTTGGGCAGAGCTTGGGTGAGAGTGCAGTTAGTGCTGATTCATTTGTGTGATCTCTCTCTCTCTCTCTCGTGCTCTCTCTCTCATATTAAAGTACAATTAGCAAGCACCCAGATTTTGACTGCTATCATCCAATGCCTGCCCAGTGATTCTCACCTGTACAACACTGCTGACTCTGTGGAGTATATTATGCAGGAAATTGCCCAGGCATTAATATTTGAGACCTGACATTGGAAAAGAGTAGTAGCCCTCAAGTGTGTCTTCTTGAACACATTGTGCCTTGCTTTAGCAGAACAGCAAAGCCCATCTACATCCTATAAGCATTTCCACTACTTAGTCCTGATACGTGTTCCACAAAGCCTTCTTCATCTTCTCCATCTTTCTAAAACATGTTTTTTCATCATGTCACTCTTTTGCTCAAAAATCTTCAGATGTATCTGCAGTATCTTTATAGTACCAGATAGGTTTTTTTCTGAGTCTTATCTTTGTTCTGTTGTGTTTTATGCATCTCTGCAGCTGCATACAACCTTTTTGAGATGAGCTGGGGTATACATGTAAGGAATACATGTAAGGACACATACATGCCTCATATGTAATAAGACATCCATTAGACTTTTTCTGTCATCTAACACTTCCGTTGAAGGCCCCAGGCTGAGGACAAGGATTGAAAAGTACTTCATATTCTTCCAAATGCGCATATCTTCCCCAGGAATTGTTAAGAGATAGCCAAAGTAGTCTTACAAGTCCCTGTTCCACTGTCAAATATTTATAGAAAGAGAAGAGTATAAATGTTAAGGGGAGTTAAATGTAGTGGAGGAAGTTTTAGCAGTTTTCATGTTGCATTGTTGCCTAAGTGGGGACTGCCCAGCATTTCCCGTCCCTCAAACCAGATGAGAAGGGCTCTAAGAAAACTGTGGATGGAAATTGTGGTTGCTGAGAGAAAAGAAGCCTGCATTTCCCTCCACAGTGAGGTGATTTGCTGAGCTATGGTGTCTGCAGGCCTTCCCCAGGGCTTCCAGTCCAGCAGAAGGAAGATTGGTGAGGGAGTTCTCAGGATAATTTTGTGTGTCTCTGAAAACTTGTGGTGTTTGTGAGTGTGGACAGCAATGCTCACTTCTGACCTGGAGAGTCCTGATGGCAGGAAGCTGGATTGAGCAGGTGCAATTGCAGGGTAAGGACAAAGGTCAGGTGCATGGCAAGGATGCTTGAATTTTTCAAAGTGCACAGACATGGGAGAAGAGAACCAGCCTAAAGGCTTTTTAAAGGTACCCTTATGAAGAGGACTAGCTTTGGGCTCCATGCCAGCTGTGAGCATCTTTGTCAGGAGTACTTCTAGGGACAGGTGCTTGTGGATGGTCACAGAGGAGAGCTGGAGAGCACATTAGCTACATTAGTCTGCACATGGCTTCTAGAGAGGTGGCACATGCACCCCATGAGAGATGCCACTTTAGGCCAGCCCATGGTGACCAAAAGAACTACATCAGCAGGAACTGTTAAATAATATAAACTAAAAACATTTCCTCCACCCCATTCTCAATACCTGAGAGGGACCATGGCATCTGACTCAGATGTTGCTAAGGGAAGGGAGGGGTTGTATAGCATATTTAAGGTGCTGGAGGAAAAAATAAAACTGTTTGTTGTTTTTACTCCAATGAGTTTAGTCTGTGCAATAAGCATTTTACTTGTATATATATATATATGCACGCAACAAAGCTAAGAGTTTTATTATTTTTAGAAATTAATTCAATAAACACTTTGCAGATCTAATATATCTTAGCAAGATGCATGGCACTTATGATATAGAAAGAAATAATTAACACTTCTTTCTTTAAGGCATTTCTATGAGGAAGTATACATATATTTTTGTAGTCATAAAATCATGTGAATAGGCTGGGCATGGTGGCTCATGATGGTAATCCCAATTCTTTGAGAGACCAAGGCAGGAGAATTGCTTGAGGCCAGGAGTTTAAGACCAGTCTGGACAACATGGTGATACCCTGTCTCTACACAACATAAAATTTAAAAATCAGCTGAGTGTGGTGATGCATATCTGCAGCTACTCAGGAGGGAGGATTACTTGCCTAGGAGTCTGGGGCTACAGTGAGCTATGATTGTGCCATTGGACTCCAGCCTGAGTGACAGAGCAAAACTCTGTCTCTAAAAAGAATAATAATAAACAATAAAAATTATTTAAAAAACAAATAGAGTACAATATATATTATCATTTAACAGATTTATTGCTTACTTACTTTTTATAGTTTGCACTAAGCAGGCTGAAATATAGTGTATGGGAATGCAGAGTGACGAGCATCCAATGGGTATTCCTTGCTCTGATGACTTGGCCACGACTGAATTGAGTTTTATTTATCACTACTTCTTCAAAAATCTACTTCTTTGCTATTCTACAGAAGAAAATGTGTGCTTCTCTCTCTCCTTGTTTTACTCACTTATTGACTTGTGCTATGGTCTGAATATATGCATCTCCCTAAAATTCATAAATTTGTATGTTGAAATGTTAATGCCCAAGGACATGATATTAGAAGGTGGGGGCCTTTGGGGAAATGATTAGGTCATGGGATTGGTGCCCTTATAAAAGAAGCCCAGAGGGCTCCCTTGCCGGTTCCACTATGTGAGGACACAGTGAAGAGATGGCTGCCTTTGAACCAGGAAGCGGGTCCTCACTGGACACCAAATCTGCTAGCACCTTGATTATGGACTTCCCAACCTCCAGAACTGTGAGAAATAAATATGCCTCGTTTGCAAAAGTTGATAGATGAGTTATAAAACCAATTTACCAAACTACCATGTTAATGGCTGAGTAAAGTTTTGAATCGTTTTAGTAGAATCCCCAATGGATCCAAGTTTATGGGCAGAAGGCCAAATGTCTGTGTTTTATTCCCCAGCTTAGATTTCTGGGGGTTTCTAAATAATGTCAGTCCTTTTCAGTGGTGTCATCTTTTCTAGGGAAGGTCTGGGCTCTAGAAATGCCCTGTGTGCTGCTTGCTGGGGATTTATGGCTGAGTGTCTCTGGTGGATTCAGGCCATCCTTTCTGGGAATTTTGGCAGCATTTGCAACTGCATTCCTGCAGCATAGCCTACTGTATAGCTCCTGTCCTAGGACCTGTCATCTGTCTTCATGGTTTCTCAAGTATTATGTTCTCCTCTTTTTGATTGAATTTTTTGTTTTCCCAAGGCACATTCTTTAGTAGCTTTTAAAGAATAGGTACATGAAAAGCACATTCTCTAAATCCTTGCAGGTATGAAATTTCTATTTTGCATGTACACTTTATGAATAGTTTGAAGGATTTAGTTGTTCTTGTTGAATGTAGTTCATCCATCATAACATTTATCCTTTTAAGTTGTGCCATTCAGTGGTTTTAGTGCATTCACAAAGCTGTGCACTCATCACCACTATCTAATTCCAGAACATTTTCATGATTGACTGGGTACTTAATTTTAGGTATTTATGTATCCAATCTCCTATAAAAAATGGAATTGGGAGTAAGGACGACACATCATATACCTAGTGCTAGGCAAAAGCAGTTGTTCATGTACGTAAACATAAATGGAACTCTAGAGACTGCCACTGGGCTTGATGAAGTAACAGGCTATTTTGGGAAAGCCTGTGTGGTTAGTGTCAGGCCTCTGAGCCCAAGCTAAGCCATGGTATCCCTTGTGACGTGCACGTATACGTCCAGATGGCCCAAAGCAAGTAAAGAATCACAAAAGAAGTGAAAATGGCCAGTTCCTGCCTTAACTGATGACATTCCACCACAAAAAAAGTGAAAATGGCCGGTCCCTGCCTTAACTGATGACATTACCTTGTGAAATTCCTTCTCCTGGCTCGAAAGCTCCCCCACTGAGCACCTTATGACCCCCACCCCTGCCAGCCAGAGAACAACCCCCTTTGACTATAATTTTCCACTACCTACCCAAATCTTATAAGACGACCCCTCCCCTATCTCCCTTCACTGACTCCGTTTCGGACTCAGCCCGCCTGCACCCAGGTGATTAAAAAGCTTTATTGCTCACACAAGCCTGTTTGGTGGTCTCTTCACATGGACGTGAGTGAAAGTCAGGATCTGTGGGCAACCTACAGGAGCTGAGGGAGCCTCCAACTAATACCAGCAAGATGCTGGGACCCTCAGTCTTAAAACTGCAAGGAAATTAATCTGCCAACAGTCTGAGTGAACTTGGAAGCAGATTCTTCCCTAGTGGAGCCTCCAGGTGAAAACACAGCTCAGGCAATCTCTTGATTACAGCCTTGTGAGATTCTAAGCAGGAAATTCACCTAAGCTGTGTCCAGAATCCTGACCCACAGAAACTGTTTCCAGAATACCGACCCACAGAATCTGTGAGATAATAAATGTGTGTTACTTTAAGCTGCTAAGTTTCGTGGTAATATATTACATAGCAACAGAAAACTAATACATTTGACCTCAACATCTTCCTATTGTTCATTTTAGTGATTGTTCCAGCATGGGGCAGCCAACCTTCATTCAGCATTTGTCAGCACCAAGAATGGGGCCTTCAAATTGAAGGAAAGGCCCTAAGATGTTATAAATTTACTCCAGCTTTTGAAGAAGTCATTATTCTTCACATTCCTTTGAGGACAATAGTTTGGAAGTCCAAAAGCAAATCTGCAAGGTCTTGACATGATGAATGTCTTCATGAGTCTTCCCTACCATAGGCAAAGAGCTGAGGAATACGGAGCTGATACCAGCATTGCCATTGCTAGGACTGAAAATATGAAAGAGGCAGAAGGTATCATTTGTTGCAATCCCATATTTGTTTGTTTGTTTTGATAGATGAGGAGACTGAAGCCCACAGAGATCTGATAGAAAACAGCTGGATGTGCTAACAGAGCATCAGACTTGGAATCAGGTGGATCCTAGATTGGCTACTTCCTAACCTCAGAAAAGTGACATAATGTCTATGGTGAAGTCATCCATCTGAAACACAATGCAGTGAAATCCACTTTAAATTTTGATTGTGGTGAGTAATTAGCAACATGTAAAGCATTTAGGATGAGGTGGCATTTAGTACACGCTCAAGTTTCTTCCTAAACTTCCTGTTTTCACTTGCTCATGGTCACAAAGTTAGTTACACCTAGAGGTAAAACGACTCCAAAGTTGTTTTTTTGTTTGTTTGCTTGCTTAACTTTTCCATCCTAATTCCTGCAGTGCTTCTCCTGGAGGAGTCTGCCCAGTCCTGACCCAGGCTGCTGTGCAGCACAGCTAATGCTAGTGCTGAATGTCAGCCACCCACCTGACTCTGGGGCCAAACCTGCACCCTGAGCTTTGGAGCCAAGCAGGAAACAAATATCCAGGGGAATGAAGTGTAGGATTTCATTTATTTATTGGAATTTGCTTTTCTGTATTAAGTTCTGCTGTTATCAGTCTTGCAGGAATCTTCTAGGAAACATGACTTGAGGCATGTGCTGCTACTTTGCTCCAATTTGCACTGGACCAGATACTCATGACTTCTCCTGGTTTTCACACTCCTTGATTTGGATGGAGCATGATAGTTAAACACTGAGAGCATGGTCTTCACTGCCTGAGTTTCACATTGTTCTGAGGGGCCTTTTTATGCTTCCCAGGGACAGGTTTTCCTGAGTCTTCACTAAATTTTCTGGGCAGAAGGAATAGCAGAAAAAGCACAGAGATGGGAAAACATTTGGAGTTTTTGAGGAACTAAAAGAAGGCCAGTGTGTTTGGAAAATGATAAATATATGTTAGAGAGGTGGTAAGTGAAACTGCAGAGGTGGAGAGGGCTGAGCTGAGCAAATCCCTGCAGGTTGTGGTGAGATGCTTTTCCCTAATTGAGATGAGGTTTTTACTTTTTAACAATCCAATTAATCAAGTAAACGACAAAGCTTAAGCAATAGAGCATGACTAATAGTGTCAAACACCTTCTTGTGCCTCTCATTGTTACTACTCCCATCCTTCCCCAGCTAAGTTTCCACTATTGTGAAATTTACATTTATGAATCACTTGCTTTTGGTATGGTTTTGCCTCATAAGAATGCTTTCCCAAACACAGATATTGTGATGCTTCATATAATTTTGACTTTTATGGAAAAGGAACAGTTCTACCTGTCTTCTTTGGCAACTGTATTGATGTCTCAACTTTTCATTTTCCCAACTCACCCATGTAGATGTGTGCCAGTGTAATTATATTTCGCTATGTATAGTATTCTATTGCATGGCTATACCTATAGACAGCAGCTGTTTCCAGTTATTATTACAACAAATACTGGTGTTATGTACATGTCATATTGGATATGCTTGCAAGCATTTCTCTGGGACATAAAATAAGAGTAAAATTCCTGAGCCATACCTTATGCATATCTCCAAATTTAAGAGAAAATGCCAAATTGTTTTCTAAAATGGTTGAACCAGTTTACATTGTCAGCAACAGAGTATGAATCCCCATTGTTCTACATGCTCACAAAATGTTTTTCATTTCTTAAAATTTACCAATCTTTTGGGTTTAAGAGTGTATGTCATGATTTTAATTTGCCTTTGGTTCATTATTAACAAAATTGAGCATCATGTCATTTGTTAATTTGTTTTCATTTTTTTTAATGTGTTGCCTATTTATATTCTTGCCAATTTTCATGTTACTTTTTAAAATTGATTTATATAAGTCCTTTCAAAATATTAGATAATAATCCCTTTCGGAGATCATGCATTGAAAATATTTTTGCCTGGGCACGGTGGCTCATGCCTGTAATCCCAGCACTTTGGGAGGCCGAGGTGGGTGGATCACGAGGTCAGGAGATCGAGACCATCTTGGTTAACACAATGAAACCCCGTCTCTACTAAAAATACAAAAAATTAGCTGGGTGTGGTGGCGGGCGCCTGTAGTCCCAGCTACTGGGAAGCTGAGGCAGGAGAATCGCATGAATCCGGGAGGTGGAGCTTGCAGTGAGCTGAGATGGCGCCACTGCACCCCAGCCTGGGCGACAGAGGGAGACTCCGTCTCAAAAAAAAAAGAGAATATCTTTGCCCAATTTGTGACCTTTTTAGGTTTAATGATAACAAGTTCTTTCGTAATAATAATAGATTCTTTCATAAACAGATATTTATAATATGTACATAGCAGAATTTATTTTCTTTTGAGTTTTGCTTTTTGTATCTTATTTACTGAATCCTTTTTTTCCTGGAGATAATAAAGATCCACCTTCTCTTCCAAAGTTATCAAGTTTTATTTTTAAGTCTTTAATTCATCTGGAATTAATTTTTCAGTTGGCATAGGGGTATAAGTCTCTTATTTATTTTTCTATGAGATTAATCCATCGGTCAAGCACTAGGAATTAAATCCTTTTCCCATTGCTCTGCCATGCTTCTTCTGTATATAATATTTATTGTATCTGAAGTTGTTCTGGATCTCTTCCTACTGTCCTGCTTTTCTTAGATGTTTGCTTAAGAATTTCTTACACTATTTCAGAAGTTTGGTGATTTTTTTAAAAAAGATTTCTATGCAGCATTTTAAATTCTTTTCAGTAGGAAGTTTAGTCTAAAGAGCTGGCCTGCCATTTTCAACATCTGCAGATTATTTAACTTTAAATCAGTCCTACATTTCTGGGATAAACTCAATTTAGCCATTGCATATTTATTTTTAACGCTGGTGAATTTGTACTGTCAAATTATGTTTAGGATTTTTGCATACATATTTATGAGTGGTACATAATGTTCTTGTACATAATTTTCTTGTACATAATGTTCTGTTTATTTTGTCATACTAATCTTAGGTTCATCATATAATGAGTGAGGAGTGCACCACCATTTATGCTCTCTGGAAGACTTTAAATAACACTGGAATACTTTGTGATTTGAAAGTTTGGTAAAATTTTCCAGTGCAATATTTTGGGCTTGGTGTTTTCTTTCTGGGAAGATTTTAACCAATTGATTCAATTTCTTAATGTTGCAAGATTTTTCTTGCATTCTATTTGCTAAGTTATATTTTGTAAAAACATGCCATTTTCTAAGTATTTAAATATGTTGATTAAGGTTGACTTTTAAAAGCATTTTCTTTATATTGTTCATGTATGCCTTTTCTTCCTTTTGTCTTGAGCAATGTCCTTAGAGCTTTGTCTCATAATTCTTTTCTGATAACCAGCTTTAGGCTTTGTTCATTGTTTTAAATTTTATTTTCTATTTCATTAATATCTGATATCATACTTATAGCTTCTATCTACTCTATCTACTTTTTTTTTTTTGAGTTGGAGTCTCACTCTGTTGCCCAGGCTGGAGTGCAGTGACACAATCTCAGCTCATTCCAACCTCTGCCTCCTGGCTCAAGCGATTCTCCTGCCTCAGCCTCCCAAGTAGCACGGATTATAGGCATGCACCACCATGCCCGCCTCAGCCTCCCAAAAGCCTCCCAAATCCCATGCTAGGATTACACATGTGAGCCACCACACCCAGCCCTCTTCTATCTGTTTTTTTAAAGTTTATTTTGTGATTCTTTCTGCAGCTTCTTTAGCTGAATACTTAGCTCATTAATTTTATTTCTCCTTTCTTTCTAATAAGACATTTAAGACTAAACATTTTCCTCTAAGAAACACTTTAGATTTAACCCATTTTAAGTTTTAAAATGTAGTTTTTATGTACCATTCCATTCCAGTAGTTCATACTTTAAAATATGATTTTGACTTTTACTTGTGCATTATTTAGAAGCACATTTTAAAATTTCCGTATAAATACAGTCTTTTTTTTTTTTTTTTTTTTTTGAGACAGAGTCTAGCTCTATCACCCAGGCTGAAGTGCAGTGAGTGATCTCAGCTCACTGCAACCCCCTACCTCCCGGGTTCAAGCGATTCTTCTGTCTCAACCTCCCGAGTAGTAGCTGGGACTACAGGCGTGCGCCTTTTTCTTAGCCATCTTTTCGTTTTTAGATTTGTAAATTAGTTCCATTGCTGTCAGAAAACACAATCTGGCTGATACCAGATTTGCTGAGATTTTTTAAGAGCTTAGTATGTAATGTTGTAATAAATATTACAGTGTATATAAAGCAGATAGAAAATGTATATTCTTTAATTATTGAGTACTTAGTTTTCTATCTACTTATCTATGTATTTATCTCTCTCAAGCCTGTAAATTGTATTGTTCAAATTTCCTGTATCTCTACTATTGGGGATGTTAGTTTGACTTATCAATAACAAATGTTAAGTGATTCCCACTATGATAGTGAATTTGTCAGTTTCTCTTTGTAATTTTATTTATTTATTTATTTATTTATTTATTTTTTGAGATGGATTTTCGCTCTTGTTGCACAGGCTGGAGTACAATGGCACAACCTTGGCTCACTGCAACCTCTGCTTCCCGGGTTCAAGAGATTCTCCTGCCTCAGCCTCCCGAGTAGCTGGGATTACAGGCATGCACCACCACGCCGGGCTAATTTTGTATTTTTAGTAGAGACGGGGTTTCTCCATTTTGGTCAGGCTGATCTCAAACTCCTGACCTCAGGTGATTCACCCTCCTCGGCCTCCCAAAGTTCTGGGATTACACACGTGAGCCACCACACCTGGCCTCTCTTTGTAATTTAAAAAATAATTTTGTTTGTATACTTGAGATATTAGGTTACTTGATTCCTAGTAATGTGAAATTTTTTCATTGTGTAGCAACTTTTTTACTCTCCAATAAATAATCTTATATGAGAAATCTATTATGTCTGAAATTCACAGAACTACACTTACTTTGTTTGGTAATTTGTTTAGTACATTATTTCTATCCTTTTATATTTAATCATCTAATATCCATGATATCTTCTTCTTATTGTACAAATGTCTATTTTCTATATAGTCAACAATTGTCTTTTTTTTTATTTGTTTAGTTTCATACAATATGACGTATCCAAACTCTCTCCTGTTTAACAAAGCCACCTGTAAACACTTCAAACACATTAGGTGTTGTATTGTTTTCATTTTCTTGGAGACTTCTGACCTACTCCAGAATGCGCTAATTGTTCTCTAGCTCTACTACTTTTGCTGGGATTTTGGGAATGTGTTTGCCTCTTTCCTGAGTTGGAAGCTGTTTCTTGGATCTGATTTCTTTCCTGCTTTTGGCAACCCTCATTGTTGGGTTTAGGAGAGTGTGCTGCACAGACAGTCTTAGTTGCCCCACAGATCCACTCTCCGGACTTTTCTACTACTTTGTGTCCTGCGAGGCTGATTTTTATGCACTGCATAAATCTCTTGCTCTCTGACTTTGCTAGTGGACTAGGCCAGCAGGAAGCACCAACAGGAGACAGAAGAAGAGGGGCACAATGCCAGAGTGTTTAACCATGGCTTCCCTCTGTCCTAGTCCCCACTAGCTGTCCATGTTCCTTCACTGAATTCCACAAGTTCCTAGGGCTGCCCTGACTGAAAGTAAAGCTACTCTTTTTCCAGAAACCACTGCCCTCCTCGGCCCTTCTGGCCTAGGGATGATAATTGTTTCCCATCATTTCTAGCACAGGAGTGCTTCATCCCCTTTCCTCCTTGCTGCCTGCCCCACACCTTTGTAAAATATACCTCAATTAGACTCGATTTCCCTCCTTTTCAGTGTGCCCTTTATTTCCTGCTGTCAACCGAATTGATGTAGGTGTCACTGGCTTCCTGAGAAAGTATGCATGGGAAATAAATATTTTATACCCTGCACATGTAACATTTTTATTCTACCCTCACAATAGAGTAACAATTTGATACCTATGTAATTCTGTTCACAAAAAATTTTAATTAGAATTTCTAAGACCTTATTCCATTGCCTTCTATGTTCCAACATGGTTTTTACAAAGTACATTCTTAGGATCTCTTCCTTATCCTCAGTATACTGAAATTTCATAATGTCATCTGTTGCCTGCCCAGTTTCATCCATTATACTGGGTACCAGATGGTAATTTTCAATTTGAAAATTGTGTTCTTCATGTCTGGAATGTTTTTGAAGTATCTCTGTTCACCCTGGACTGATTTTCTAAGTATCATTTGTATCTTTGCTGTGTCCATTGTTTTCCATGTTGTCCTTTTGCTCTATTTTTCTGGGAGACTTCCTCTATCTTAGAACTTTTCTGCTGAGTCTTTCATTTCTGTCAATGTGATTTTTATTTCCAAGTGCTCTTTCCAATTTTATTATTATTTTTTAAAGCACTCAGTTCTTGTTTTGTGGATGCAATATAATTTCTTATTTCTCTGAAATTAATAATAGATTTTTAAAGTATTTATCTCCCTTTATAGTCTGTTTGATCCATGCTGCTTTTATTTATTTTTGTGGACTTTGTCTTCTGTGCTTGAGAACTTCTGCTGCAGTGCTGTTGTTCTTGGCTAGTTGCTGATTGCCAGAGCAGAGTTCTATGTTGTTGATTGGCAGCTCTGATCACATGGCTGGAGGTTCTTGTCTGTAGATTGCCTATAGCGTGAACTGGTCTCACCATTTTCCTGGAAGTCAATCTCTTTAGGTTCTTTTTGTTTGTCAGGTAAGATTATACAAAGAATAAATTTGCATTGCCTATCCTCCATGCCTTACCCTTCTTTTTTATATTTTCCATCTCCTGAGCTTTCTATGCTGCCTATTAGGTAAGTTTCTTTATTTCTAACTTTTACCTTACTAACTCTCATTTCAGTTGCCTAATCCATTGAGGGTTTTTGCTTTTACTGAAATAATTATATCTATTTCTAAACCTGATCATTTTGGTAGTGCCACACTGCTTGCTAATTTTTTACAGTCCATATTTATCTTGAAATATTTCAAACATATTGACTTTATGTTGTAAATGTGATCATTGTAACACCAGTTATACTGGAGAGGCTCTGATCTTTGTTCTTTATCTGCTTACTTTTCTACCAAACAGTGTGGTAGGTTTCCCCAGTGTATGGAAATACACTCTCTGGTATTCTAAGCTCCTACTTAGTTGAACATGAACTATTGTATCACTGGCGATAATTTTTTTCAGAAAAATGTGAGTTTGATATGAATAACATGTTAACATTTAATTAAACTTTTTTGGGCTTGGATTTTCCTGTATGCAGGAAGTGTGAATTGAACCCTAGATCTGCTGGAGAGCAGATTTAGGATTGCAAATTCTTAGTGAGAATCATTATTGTTTTATCTCATTTGTAGCAGGATGAAAAGGACAGGCAACTATGTATCAGTCAGAATAGGCTGAGTAATGCTGAGTAAGAAACAACAGCCAAATCTCAGTGACTTACCCAAGAAGAGTTCCTTTTTCTCTTGTGCAAAGCCTGATACGGATCTGAAAATCTCTTTTGGAGAGTTGTCCTCCATGCAATGGCTTTCAAAACACACGGCTTCAATTCCATGGTGTTTTTAACTTAATGTGATGTGTTAGAATTTACCACAACAGGAAGAAGAGAGCTTGGGGGAATTAAGCACCAAGAAATCTACATGGAAGTGACACATGTTATTTTTTCTTCCAAATGATAATTGAGAGAAGAAAATTTACTGAAGAAAAAAAAGTAAATGAGAAGGAAAAAATGATTGTAAAAAGAAGTAAGCAGAAGGAAAGTTCTAGGAGGTGAAGTAGAGTCTTCCTTTGTTTAAGACATTAGGGACCCAGCTGAGGAAAGCATTTCTCAAATATGGCATCATGGTCACTATTTTTACTAGAACTACAAGCTCCTGTTGCTTTGGGGAGTAGTAGGTCTAGAAGGTTCATATTTCCCTACCGTAGAAGACAAACAACTTTCATACATTGCTGCTTTTGAGTCTTGGTTATTTCCATATCTATCCAGTGCAGATTCAGGGAGAGGGCTGGGAAGTGATTGATTCAGCACCAATGACTAATTTGAGTAATTCAGGATCTCAAACATGACTTCTTATTTAATTAACTGGATGTTGCACATAAAGCTGTCGCATGCCCTTAATTTTGATTATTCTTTTCTCTCTCCAAATTTTTATTCCCTGCCTCCTTTTTATCCCCCTTCTTTCTATTCATAACTCAGACTAGCCATTGGCCACCATCAGTTTTTACAAGGTTATTACTGTTAAAAGTATTTATTAACCATTCAATATATGATTAGCCATTTTCTATTTGTCCAATTGTTTTATGTGTTAGATAATTTAATATTCATGATCAAACTGTGTGGTAGGTTTTATAATTAGCCCCATTTCTCAGGTGAAGAAGTGGAAATAAAGTGGGGTTCAGCAAATTGCCCAAGGTCACTCAGGGAGTAAGTTGTAGAGCTGAGGTTTGAACCTATGTCTTTAGGAATCAAAAGCCTGCATTCTTTATCACTCTGCACTGATACCTCAACTTAAGGCCATTTATGAAAATCAATGGAGGATTTGCACTTAG